>NC_000003.12:61222121-61525151 GCF_000001405.40 Homo sapiens | reverse complement strand
AGTGCTGGGGACAGATGCCAGAACTCAGGGAAATGAGGAAGGTGTGGGCGGGGAGGAAATAAGAATCAACCTCTTGGCAGCAAAGCAAAGTATAGAAATGGGACTGGAGCAGAACCAAATGATGGCTTTTTCGAAATCAGGGTGACCTGTGCATGGTTGTCCACCAGAAATGACGTTTTGGCTGATTCGTGACAACCCAAACTTAGAAAGGGATAAATCATGGCAGCTGAAGGATCACTCTGAATAATGATTCTCTGCTTTGCAAAAGAATTCTCAATAGAATCCAAGTGGCCAAAAAACAGGAAAATATACCCAGCCTCCACGAAAAATCAGTATCAGTTAAAATAAGAATGAGATACATTTTCCTTTTTTGTTTTTTTGAGACAGGGTCTCGCTCTGCCACCCAGGCTGGAGTGCAGCAGTGTAATTACGGCCCACTGCAGCCTTGACGCCCTGGGCTCAAGCCGTCCTCCCACCTCAGCCTCCCAAGTGGCTAGGACCACAGGTGTGAACCACCACACCTGACTAGTATTTTTAAAATTTTTATAGAAACAGGAGTCTCCCTGTGTTGCCCAGGCTGGTCTCAAAATCCTGGCCTTAAGCGATCCTCCCACCTTGGCCTCCCAAAGTACTGGGATTGCAGGCATGAGCCACCATGCTCAGCTGAGATACCATTTTCATTGATAAGACTGACCAAGATGAAGCATATGATAATATAGAGAGGGGATGAGGAAGTGGGAATGTAGGGAATGTCACACACTGTTGTTGGGATTGGAAGTTGGTATACTTTTTTGGAGAATATGCTTTGAGAATGCCTGCCAAATTTGACATGCACATACTCTTACCCAGCAATTTTACTCCTGGGAAATTATTCTATAGGTATTCTATATATTATCCTATATATATATTTACATATATATTTATTTATATATATTACATATTATTTATATATTCTATATACATATAATAACATATATATTATTATATATTATTTAATTATATATATCTACAATATATAAAATATAAAAATATATAAATATAAATAAATATATAAATATAAAAAAATATATAAATATATATTATATATAAATATATATAAAATATAAAAAGATATATTTCTAAGGATATATTTACCAGGATGGGGTGTGTGTGTGTGTGTGTGTGTGTGTGTGTGTGTGACAGAGAGAGAGAGAGAGAGAGAAACAGAGAGAGAAGAAATCACCTAAATTTCTGTAAGAAGAGGAATAGTTACATAGACCATAGATATTACATATCATGGTACATCCATTCTGCCATTGCAAGAATGAGGGGGCTCTGTATTTCCTAACGGGTGGTGTCTATAATGCTTTGATAGAGAAAAAAATAACAAACAGGTTTTATAAAATCATCAAGGAATATGCAGTGAAAATGGCTGGGAAACAAGTAAGGGTTAAGTTTATTATGTGGGAGGAGTTGGAAGGAGAAGAAGTGACTATTACATCTCATTACTTTTTTCTCTATTGTGTGTGAATTTTTTTTTTAACCCCGAGCATGTATTACTTTTAAAATAAAGCGCTGATTTGAAAAAGGCCCCTGAAGAACCCTTTAAATCTCTAAGGCTCTTCATATACTTAAAAAAAAAATTCCATTTATAAAAATTTGATTTATTCACTCTTTTTTCTGGAACACATCTACTGCATTAAGGTACACCAATATGGTTAAATGACCCATCACCAATGGGTTTCTATAAGGACTTTCTTCTCCACTGGCCATTTCCTCTGTTACGGAGACTAACAAATTGCCAGGGAGTTAAAGAGTCTTACAACCTGTCATTAGAAACCTTTCAACAGTCTCAATGCAGTCAGGCTCATTTGATACGAGTTTTATGATTACAAAAGATTGTTTGAAGACTCTGCCCCATTCTGGATTAGCAGATGAAATCTCCCAGATCTGGTTGATCAGTATAAATAATCCCAGAGGTATTTTTTTTTTTAAAAGATGACTCCTTTATCACCAATCCCTCTTTTTGACTTGGTAAGTCAAGGTCAGAATCTTTTTTTTCTCTTTTAAGTTCTCAAGACGATTCTAATATAGAGCCAGGTAAGGGAACTCCTGTCTTGCACTGATTGAAATTTCTTTCTTTTATTTCTTAGAAATTACTATGCAATGGTGCAAGTCATTCTCTCTAGAAAAAGAGTTCCTATTTATTGGCTCAGCAACAGAAATATGTTTACAGTTGCCAGAAGTCCATGGACATGCAGAGGGAATGCGCTAGTGAGGACAGTGTTTCTTAAGGTTCTCCCATAGTGTTTCAGCCATAGAGAAAGCCTTCTAAAAGCTCACAGCTATGACATCGGCTGCACTATGATTGCAGGAGGCAGGGCTGATGAGTGTTTTAAAAAGCAGTACTTCCCAGTGATCTAATGACCTTCAGAGCTTGTCAAGGCAGTTTAGGGGGAAGTAAGCATTCTTGCTAAAATAATTTCCCCTAATATCTACCTTTGTCAGAGCCTTGCTTATGATTCACTTAATAGAGATGGACATCAGTCTTGGAGAATACTCAGTTTTGTCTTCTATGTGGATACCTTCCCCCTCCTCCACAGTGTGTCATTAACACATTATCCAGCAGTTGGACCAAACTAGGCTTGGCAACAAGAGAACTGCCTTTTACTGTATTTTTTTTTTTGTTTTTGGACTCCTGGTAGAGACTTAATCTGCTTTTCTTTGGTTCACACTAATTTAAGACGAAACTTGCGCTTTCATACTGAAAGAAAGCATATTTGCTGGCCCTGCCTGTCTCTCCACATTAATCTCCCACTGTCCCCACTGTTTTTGTCCCCTTAGCTCTGACCCTTCTGAACTGCTTACAGTTCCCTGAATGCTCCAAGCTGCCTCTACCCCGTGCCTTTGTTCTTTCTGGTCTTTCTAGTTTGACTAACACCTACCGTTCAACTCTGCAGTCAGCCCACAGGGCAGGCCTTTTCCAGCTGTGGCACCAAGTTAGGTCTCCTCCTCCAACTTCATCTTAGTAATTATCATTTTACTCTGTAAAAATTCCATTTATTTACTTTTTTTGCATAGAATATTTCTGGACAGAAATATTAGAAATAACAACTGTTTGTGTGGTTGTCTAGAAAATGTGGGAGACGTTTCATTGTATGTGTACTTTTTGTTTCTTTTGAACTTTTGTACTTCATATACTTATTCCAATAAATACAATTCAAATATAAAAACAATAACAAATCTCAGCTGTAGAAGCAATTCTATTCTTCACTATTCTCAGATTAACATATTTTAGGCAGATTTCCATATATACTTTAAAAAAATCTTTACTTTTAATTTCACAATATGTAAATTTTCTCTATTATAAATGCCAATGCAAATTAGTCTTTCTGCTACCAGACTTTTCTGACATAATACTCATGTAATTTCCATTCTGGTCTTAAATGTGTTTTAAATTGAGTATATTAAAAAATGTTTTTCTGGAGTGTATTACAAATCTGAAGAGAGACAACTATTTACAAAATGTGAACTTGGGGTGTTTTTAAATTAGTAACATTGAGTTTTGTTGAAAGAGGTAACTGTCTCACTTTTCCTGGAACTAAAAGGGGAGGCTAGACTTTCAGTGCTAAAACTGGGGAAGTCCCATGCAAACAGGAATACAGTTGTCACCCCAGGCATTCAACCAATCAGAACAAGGGGCCTGACCAGTCAGAATGAACCCTGGCCCAAAGAGAAGAGATGTTTGATGTAAAACCCCACACTGGGTACTGGTGCATAGCAATTAATTACAAGTCCTGGTTTCACAGCTCTTTCTTCATCTTTCAAGAGTTGATTGCTCATCAACTCTGTGACATTTTAAAAAGAAATACCTTAAATTCTATGTTAAACTTCATTATAAAATACGTGGCATAAAGAAGGAATTTCCCTGACATTTGATGCTGTTATGTTCTTAACTGAAGCTTGAAGATTTATCACCTTTAATGGTGCATGCAAAGTAAATCTTATTTTTAACTTTAGACTCCTATAAAAAAAAATACCATTCCGACAGTTTTTTTTTTTTTTTTCCTGAAATAGTCCAAGGTTTACTAAGAACCACTGAATACTACTGGGGCAGTATGGCAGAGATAAATAATTAAAAAGTAAATTAGCAGGTGAAACTAATGAGTTTGTGAGTGGGAGGAGCAGAAAGGCCCATAAAAAGTATTCAAGCTGAGAAGAAAGTGAAGATGATTAATTTCAGTTAGAAGTTGATATAGAAAATTTATTGCATTTTCAGCCTAATACTGAAATGCATGCTGAATATGGCTGTTCTAGACTTCATTAACCAGTAATCCATGTACATAAGAGTGACACTAAGCAAATAAATGTGGCAGACCAAAATAAATAAGTTTTCCGAAATGAATGTCTTTTAACAGTGGTTGGCTAATTAGTTAAAATAACAGAAGTCCAAAAAGCAGGTCTATGAAGAAGTTTTCTTCTTTGACAATTTCTTCTCTGTTAACAACTTGATTTCCTTATATCAGGAACCTACCAAGAAAGGGAGCAATTTTATATATTCTATGGTTCTTTTCAAAAAGATGAAACCTATAGACTGGAGACTTTGTCTACACGTGGGTTAGTCAGATCCCATGGAACATTTTTAAACTGTTTACTCTGGCCATTTCTGCTGGTTTTGGGGGACGCAGAATAGGAATTCTTTACCTGGAAACCTTTCTGGAGGCACAAAATCATTTGAAATTATCTGCGACATTTTGCGTTTATGTATCTATGTGTGTTTTCCTGCAGAAGATATCTTCAGCTTTCTTTAAACTCTAAAAGGGTTCTGTTACCCCCAAAATATTTAGTAAAAATTGAAGTGCTGGCCGGGCACGGTGGCTCATGCCTGTAATCCCAGCACTTTGGGAGGCTGAGGTGGGCGGATCACAAGGTCAGGAGATAGAGACCATTCTGGCTAACACGGTGAAACCCTGTCTCTACGAAAAATACAAGAAAATTAGCCGGGTGTGGTGGCACAGGCCTGTAATTATAGCTACTTGGGAAGCTGAAGCAGGAGAATTGCTTCAACCTGCGAGGCAGAGGTTGCAGTGAACTGAGATCGTGCCACTACACTACAGCCTGGGCGACAGAGCAACTTGGTCTCAAAAAAGAAAGAAAAAAATTGAAGTGCTACACAAAAGTGCTCCAGGGTCTGCATGCTCTTGTGAGTTCTCCATCTCTCTCTCTCGCTTTTTTTTTTTTTTTTTTTTTTTTTTGGGACAGAGTCTTACTCTGTCGCCCAGGCTGGGGTGCAGTGGCATGATCTCAGCTCACTGCAATCTCTACCTCCTGGGTTCAAGTGATTCTCCTGCCTCAGCCTCCTGAGTAGCTGGGATTAAGGGTGGGCACCGCCACATCTGGTCAATTTTTGTATTTTTAGTAGAGATGGGGTTTCACCATGCTGGCCAGGCTGGTCTTGAACTCCTGACCTCAGGTAATCCGCCCTCCTTGGCCTCCCAAAGTGCTGGGATTACAGGCGTGAGCCACCGCACCTGGCCTCTCTCTTGTTTCTTTACACTGTTCTTCCCCAATATTTTGGTGAAATAGTTTTGTAGAATTTTCTGTTTGGTTTTGCTTGTAAAAGGCTGAGAATCCAGCTCTGCAGGCAGAGTGAATGATACTTATTTCTTACTCATTGTTGCATACAAAAATACATGCTTGATATGGTTTGGCTCTGTGTCCCCACCCAAATCTCACTTGTAGCTCTCATAATTCCCACATGTGGGAGGGACCTGGTAGGAGATAACTGAATCATGGGGGTGGGTCTTTCCCATGCTTTTCTCATGTGGTGAATAACTCTCACGAGATCTGATGGTTTTAAAAAATGGGAGTTTCCCTGTGCAAGCTCTCTCTCTTTGCCTGCCGCCATCCACATAGGATGTGACTTGCTCCTCATTGGCTTCCAGCATGATTGTGAGGCTTCCCCAGCCACATGGAACTGTAAGTCCATTAAACCCCTTTTCATGTATAAATTACCCAATCTCAGGTATGTCTTTATCAGCAGTGTGAGAACAGACTAATACAATGCTATGGATAAGTAGATAGATCCACACACAGAAGGCTTGTTGATTGCCAGGAAAAGGTGGGAAAATTTGCATACATTCCCAGAAATCTTCAGGGAATAAAGAAATCTAGATCCCAATACATTCCCTTTCTAGTTTAAGTACATTTCTAATGGACTGAGATAGCCCTGAATAAGACCAACTGACTTTTAAAAAAAAAAAACAAAAGGGAGCTCACTTCAATGGTGAAAGTAACCCTCAGTAAGAGTGAAATCTGAACTGGTAATTTGGACTCTATATGATGTCAGAAAAAAATACCTAAAACTTGGAAATAGGGAAGAGGTTACTGGCTGTTCTTTCAGTACAGTGCTGGGTTAACTTTCTTTTGTCAGGGCTATTTCGCAACTCATAGGGGCAAAGGTAAACTTGTAGATTTTTTTGTCTGAAAGGGTTTAGCCAGATGAAATTAGTTTCTATCAGGTGGAACACATAACTCCAAGGGTTACAAATTATGGCCTCATTGGACATTAACCAGTTCTTTTTAAAAATGGGGTAAAATTAATATAACATAAATTAATCATTAACCATTTTATTTGAAAATTTAATTTATTAATTAATTTAGAGACAGAGTCTTGCTCTGTCCCCCAGGCTGGGGTGCAGTGGTGCAATCATTACTGCAGCCCTGACCTCCCAATCCTCTCACCTTAGCCTCCTGAGTAGCTGGGACCACAGGTGCTCACTACCATGCCTGGCTAATTAAAAAAAAATTTTTTTTTGGCTGGGCGCAGTGGCTGACATCTGTAATGGCAGCACTTTGGGAGGCCGAGGTGGGCGGATCACGAGGTTAGGAGATCAAGACCATCCTGGCTAACATGGTGAAACCCCGTCTCTACTAAAAATACAAAAAAATTAGCCAGCCATGGTGGCGGGCACCTGTAGTCCCAGCTACTCAGGAGGCTGACGCAGGAGAATGGTGTGAACCTGGGAGGTGGAGCTTGCAGTGAGCTGAGATCTCACCGCTGCATTCCAGCCTGGGCGACAGAGCGAGACCCTGTCTGAAAAAAAAATTTTTTTTTTTTTGTGGATTCAGGGGCTTCCTATGTTGCCAGGCGGGTCTCGAACTCCTGGGCCTAAGCAATCCTCCCACCTCTGCCTCTCAAAGTGCTAGGATTATAGGTGTGAGCCACTGTGTCTGGCCTCATGGACTATTTTAAAGTATACAATTTAGTGGCATTTCATATTTTCGTGATGTTGTTTGACCACCACCTGTATCTAGTTCTGAAACATTTACATCATTTTTGCCATGTGTTTGACCACCACCTGTATCTAGTTCTGAAACATTTTCATCATTTTTGCGATGTGTTTGACCACCACCTGTATCTAGTTCTAAAATATCTTCATCACTCTAAAAGGAAATCCTGAAATCCTATACCCATTAAGCAGTCACTCCCTATCCCACCATCCACTTGGACCTTGGAAACCACTAATCTGATTTCTGTCTCTATGGATTTGCTTATTCTAGATGGTTTATATAAATAGAATCATATAATATGTGACCTTTTGTATCTGGCTTCTTTCATCTAGCATAATGTTTTTAAGGCTCCTTTGTGTTGGCTGTAGTATGTATCAGTACTTTATTCATTTTTAGGGCTGAATAATATTCCACTCTATGTGTATACTACATTGTGTTGATGCATTCATCTGTTGATGGACATTTAGGTTATTTCTACCTTTTGGCTATTGTGAACAGTGATACTATGAGCATTCAAGTATATGTTTGAATGCCTGTTTTCAATTCTTTTGGGTATTTACCTAGGAGTGGAATTGCTGGTCCTGTAGTCAATGCTTAATTTTTTGAGGACGCACCAAACCGTTTTCCATAGCAACTATACCATTGTACATTCTAACCAGCAATGTATGTATGGAGATTTCAATTTCTTTACGTCTTTGCCAATACTTACTCTTTCACCTCCTTTTTTTTTGGTTATGACCAACTTTGTCGGTGTGCAGTATTATCTCACTGTGGTTGTAATTTGCTTTTCTCTAATGACTAATGACATTGAGCATCTTTTTATGTGCTTCTTGGCCATTTGTATGTCTTTGTTGGAGAAATGTTTAAGTCCTTTGTCATTTTAAAATTGGGTTGTTTGTCTTTTTGTTGTTGAATTGTAGGAATTCTTTGTATATTCTGGATATTAAACCATTATCGGATCTATGATCCACAAATATTTTCCCCCATTCTGTTGGTTGTCTTCTCACACTTGATTAAGTCAAATTTATCTGTTTTTTAATTTTGTTGCTTTTGCTTTTGGTGTTATATCTAAGAAACCACTGTCAAATCCAAGTCATGAAGATGTACTCCTATGATTTCTTCTAAGTTTTATAGTTTTATAGTTTTAGTTTTTACATTTAGGTCTTTGATCCATTTTGAGGTGTTTGTATATGGTATGTGATAAGAAGGGTTCAACTTCATTTTGCATGTGGATAATCAATTGTCCCAGCACCATTTGTTGAAAAGACTGTTCTTGCCTCATTAAATGGTCTTGGCATACTTGTAAAAAATCAATTGACTATGGATGAATGGGTTTATTTCTGGACTTTCTATTCAATTCTCTTGATATATATGTCTATACTTATGCCAGTCCCGTACTGTTCTGATTACTGTAGTTTTATAGTAAGATTTTGAATCAGCAAGTTTGAGTCCTGCAACTTTGTTCTGCTTTTTAAAGATGATTTTGCCTATTCGGAGCCCCTTGTAATTCCATATCAATCACAATTCAGGGTCCACTGCAATCCCATTGACCTTTTTCATTTCTTCAAAAACTACCATTGGGATTTTGATAGGAATTGCAGTGAATCTGTGGCTTGCTTTGGAGAGTGACATTAACTAGTTTTGTATCAAAACAACCACCTTAAGCTAATATTGCATATATATATGTGTGTATATATATATATATATTTTTAGAAGGAGTCTCACTCTGTCGCCCAGGCTGGAGTGCAGTGGTACAATCTCGGCTCACTGCAAGCTCCACCTCCCAGGTTCACGCCATTCTCCTGCCTCAGCCTCCCAAGTAGCTGGGACTATAGGCACCCGCTACCATGCCCGGCTAATTTTTTGTATTTTTAGTAGAGACGGGGTTTCACTGTGTTAGCCAGGATGGTCTCGATCTCCTGACCTCATTATCTGCCCGCCTGGGCCTCCTAAAGTGCTGGGATTACAGGCATGAGCCACTGTGCCCGACCCATTGCTTGTAAATATTTAGCTCCTGAAACGCTCTTTGAGGGTGGTTTTGCCATATTACTGGCTCACTTATTGATGAACTGAATAAATTTGGCATATATGTTTTATATTTGCATAAGAGTCATGATTTTACTTTTTGAAAGTGATATTTTAATAATGAAGTTACACATTATTTAGGAAAGTTGTTCTCAACCACATTAGAATCACTAGGAGAGCTTTAAACCATACTATTGCTTAGGTCACAACTCCAGAAATTCTGCTATAATTGATCAGGGGCATAATGTGGGCTTTGGGTTTTCTTCTTAAAGCTCCCCAGGTGATTCTAATTGCACCTAGAGGTGAGAATTACTGTCTTAGAGGAAGTTCTAATGCAGCTGCTTCTGATCCAGTCTCATGGGTGCTATGGGATCCTCACTGGGAAAAGTGGCTTTGAGTAGGTGTCACTGAAGAGTTGTAATGTTGGGAGCCCAGTCTGATGTTGGCTGTGAGTACTCCTAGGTGAAAGGAACACTAGGAAAAGGGAATATTTTTCTTGTATATCTTGCCAACCCTGTGGCTCCTTTCTGTTTAAGAAAACCGAAACTGAGTCCTTGTCATCAAAAGGGTGTCTTTTGTCACAATCTTTTGTCTTCAAGACATTGGTAAGAAAAACAGCAACTTAAAGCTCAAGTCTAGCAGGGGGAAAATACATTATGAAACAAACAAACCGAAAGTAATGAAGGAATGGATAGAGTAAAAGTAGATGCCTTGGAAGAAGAGGTTAGTAACTGTATTAGTCTGTTCTCACACTACTATGAAGAAATACGTGGGACTGGGTAATTTATAAAGAAAAGAGGTTTAATTGGCTCACAGTTCTGTAGGCTGTACAGGAAGCATAGCAGCCTCTGCTTCTGGGGAGGCCTCAGGAAACTTACAATCATGACTGAAGGCAAAGAAGGGAAGCAGGCATGTCACATGACTGGAGCAGGAGCAAGAGGGTGTGGAGGGGGAGGTGTTACACACTTTTAAACACGCAAATCTCATGAGACCCTTTATCACAAAACAGCACCAAGGGGATAGTGTTAAATCATCCATGAAGGATCCACCATGATCCAATCACCCCTACCAGGCCCCACCTCCAACACTGGGGATTACAATTGAACAAGAGATTTGGGTGGGGATAGATCCAAACCTTGTCAGTAACCTTGGCAAGTTCATGGAGATAGCTTAACTACAGTGATGCCTTCTCTACTTTTGCAGAAAGAAGAAAGAAATACAGGGGATTAGACTTGGAATAACTTGGTGACACAGGGAAAGTCACTCAGTCATATTGGAATCATTTGTCCACTTGTGTTCTCCCTCTTTCCCTGCATTGTCCCTCTACAAATCTGTTCTTCAGATTAATTCCTTTCTTCTGGCTCTCCCCTTACATTCTAATGGAAGCTTATTTCTAAGAAGTTTTGTGTAGAAGCTGGGCACACAGTCTTTGAAGCCAAGCTGCCTGGGATTATAGCCCAGCTCTGCTACCTACCAGATGTGAGATGCTGGGTAAATTACTTTATGCCTTACTGTTCTCATCTGTAAAATGGGAGGGATTGATAGTGTCTTCTTTATAGAATTATTGTGAATTAGTTCATGAAAACACTTAAACTAGTAAATGGCAAAGAATGAGAGCTGAGTAAATGTTAGCTATTCCATAATTATATTATTGTTATTATTGCCCAGGAGTTACAGCCCTCAGCTGGAGTATTACTATTATTTTTTTTTTCTTTTTAAGACAGAGTCTCGCTCTGTCACCCAGGCTGGAGTGCAGTGGCGCCATCTTGGCTCACTGCAACCTCCGCCTCCTGGGTTCACACCATTCTCATGCTTCAGCCTCCCGAGTAGCTGGGGTTACAGGCGCATGCCACCACACCTGGCTAATTTTTTGTATTTTTAGTAGAGACAGGGTTTCACTGTGTTAGCCAGGAGGGTCTCGAACTCCTGACCTCGTGATCCATCTGCCTCGGCCTCCCAAAGTGCTGGGATTACAGGCGTGAGCCACCGCGCCTGGCCTGGAGTATTATTTAGGTACAGAAGTCTTCAGGGTCTCTGAGGACGAAGTGTCTGAAGAAGAGTTATCCATAGAGGACATGTGGCCTTGATGCTCGCAGTGAGCAATTCTGCATAAAAAATGACTCGCACAGGAAGTAGATTGGATGGATTAGGTCACTGCTTTGAAAAGCCTGGTAGTTTCTGTCACTGCTGATTGGCCTGGAAGTTACAGGTTCTTTGTGGGAAATGAGGCTCTGTTTAGGGGAGGGGCAAGAGGCCTCCCAAGGGGGATTTTACCCTCTGTTTCCTGCTGCTGTGGCTCTAGAACCTTCCCAGACCACAGAGAGTAACTCAAAACCTTTCATTGTTTTTTGTTTGTTTGTTTGTTTGTTTTTCTTTGAGACGGAGTCTCACTCTGTCATCCAGGCAGGAGTGCAGTGGCACAATCTCGGCTCACTGCAACCTCCACCTCCAAGGTTCAAGCAATTCTCGTGCCTCAGCCTCCTGAGTAGCTGGGACTACAGGCATGTGCCATCATGCCAGGCTAATTTTTTTATTTTTAGTAGATATGGGGTTTTGCCATGTTGGCCAGGCTGGTCTCAAACTCCTGACCTTAAGTGATCTGCCCACCTTGGCCTCCCAAAGTGCTAGGATTACGGGCATGAGCTGCCATGCCCGGCCAAAACCTTTCATTGTTCACATGTCTAATACTTCTGCTGTAACACTGTGGTTGTCCTCTTAACTATGACAAGAATATGGACAATACTTGACCCTTCCTCTTTGCTCACAATTTCTGCTCAACCCCTGAGCAGACCAAAGACCCCTCCTCATCCCAGGGCAGAGCAAATAGAAGTATAGAAGTATAGAAGTAGGTGAATCCAAAGTAGGGTTCCCAGCTGACTGATGAGTCCAGATTCTTTCTTGCTGCTCTGTCATCTTCAGTGTATCAGTGACCTGTGTTTCTTCATAGCTGCAAGATGCAGCTGCAAAAAAAAAAAATAAAATCTGTCTCCAATAATGTCCAAAAGTAGGAAGGGTGTGAGAGAGTATTTCTGTTGTTTATTTCTCTGCTTATTGCAGTCCCATTGGACAGGACTTCATCACATATCTAAGCACTGACTCAAAGAGGTGCAGAAATTGAGTATTTGGATTTTCAGCTTCTTGGAATATGAGGAAAGCTCTGCTGGCAAAAAAAAAAAAAAAAAAAAAAAAAAGCAGGGTAGGAAAATGGCTGCTAGAAGCTGGGTGCATGGCATGTGTTTGTAGTCCCAGCTACTTGGGAGGCTGAGGCAGAAGGATCACTCGCATCCAGGAGTTCGAGTCTAGACTGGGAAACATAGTGAGACCCCTGTCTCTTAAAAAAAGAAGGACAAGAAAATGACTGTTAGGTTGGCAATTAAAAGTGTCTGCCACACAATGATAATACCACTTTCTGTTATATGATTGTTTTACATTCTAAATTATCACACTTCAGCAGGCTAACATATCTTGTTGGGACTAAATAGATCTGCTTAAAGATGTTACTGTCTGCAGGCAAATCCTTCTGTCTTTCCATTGACCACCCCATCAAACCGCGTCCTGATTCGATATTGTGGTGGCTAGGGAGCCCTATGTCTTTTTCCTTTAGGCTTCTGTAGAATTTGTGATCCCCTAAGAACCAATTTAATTTAATTAATCTAATAAAGGACAGCACAGGAG
Organism: Homo sapiens; assembly: GCF_000001405.40. NCBI lineage: Eukaryota > Metazoa > Chordata > Mammalia > Primates > Hominidae > Homo > Homo sapiens. The sequence goes on along the minus strand of NC_000003.12, from coordinate 61,512,179 downwards.
AAGGCTGCTATTGTGCTACAATGCTCAGGAGGTAGCTTTGTGTTTGCTTTTTTTTTTAAAGTTTGATTAAAAATCCAATAGAACAAACAGGTTACAATGTATAATTATCATTAATCTCAGCACAGATTATCTTCATGAATTTATAAAAAAAATACTCCAGTAATCTTACCTAGTCTTGCATTATAGAGGTAAATTTGCTGGGGAGTTCTTTTTTATCTTTCTCCCAGGTTCTATTCTGTCCCAATGTTAGAAACTTTAATTATTTTTCAGTGCATATTTTCTATTTTATTATTATTGTTGTTATTATTTTTAAAACTATTTACTTATGATTTTTTAAATCCAGTCAGATTTAGCAGTGGAGAGTTATTTCCCACCCTTTTGCTTAAACTTAAAAAAAAAAGTTCTTGTTTAACAATGCATGTTGCTTATAAAAGAAAATACAAATAATATAAAACAATAGTAAAAAGTAAAAGTTCCCTCCACTCTCCATCCATGCCTCCCTCTCCATCCCAACTCCCCAAGGCCCCTGCCAGCCAATTCCCTATCCTGAAGTCCCCCTCCCAGAGCTGTCCACAGTTAACAATTTCATTCTTGATCTAGGCCTGTACAAATATGCATATATTCATATGCACTTAGAGAGTTGTATGCTTTTTAGAAACCACATTATATATTATTCTGTAATTTTCTTTTTTATTTAATAATGTATCTTAGTCAACTTTTCATATGCATATGCTATATTAAATATATCTATTAAGTATAGATATATTTCATACTTTTCATCATATTATATTTCATATAATGTATCCTTTGCACTTTTCAAAATATTTTTACCACCTGCTCACCTCTTTTTTTCATAGAAAACAGCTCCCCTTTATTATAATTACTTTAAGGAGTTTTGAAAACAGCTCTAATTAACTTTATTAGTACTAAAATCTTGATAAAACACAATCTTGGAACTGTGTAGAAGACTCTAGCTCTGATTTTATAGTGATGATGGTTATGATGCCTCCTACTTGTATTTATACATTTTAAGACAATTTTCTATAATGGATTTCATTTAAACTCCATCTAATAACATTTTTTCTGGAAGTGCCTGCAGATTATCCTGATAACTGTTTTTATTATAATAAAGTCTTACCATATAAATCTTGAACAGCAAGATAATATTATTATTACACAATCATTATTTAATAAAGATGAAAATTAGTAGCTCTAACATTACTCCATGTCCAGCCTTACCCAAATTTGAATGTAGATTTCCTGACTACATCTTTTTGTTTCCTACTTCTAAGCTTCCAATTACGTGAAAAACAAAATCAACAGAATTAAAGGGAAAAAGACAATTCCACAAGTGTAGTACTGAATTTTAATACACTGTCACAACAATTTATAGAAAAGCTAGCCAAAAAAAATCAGTAAAGGCTTGGAAAATTTGAATAACACCATCAACCATCTTGATGTGATTGATACTTATACACCAGGAGCTGCTGAATATACCTTTTCAAGGGCTTAGTATACACTGATAAAAATAGACCATAAGCTAGGCCATAAAACAAGTCTCAATAAATTCAAGGAAATTAAATTATATAAGCTATTTTTCTGACTATAGAGGAATTAAATTAGAAATTAATAACAATATAATATTGAGAAAACTCTTACATATTTTGAAATAAACATTTTTCTAAATAACTCATGGGTCAAAGAAGAAATCATAGAAGAAATTAGAAGGTATTTTGAACTATATGATAAAGAACTTATAACTTGTTGAAATTTGTGGGATAAAGCTAGAACAGTATTTAGAATGAAAGATAAAAGTTTACATTTGTATATCAATGACTAAAGGTTATACATTTACAAGAAGATATAATAGGAGGAACAGAGTAAACCCAAATAAGTAGGAGGAAGAAACTAACAAAGAGCAGATCAATGAAAAAAATCTCAGATGAGCAATAAGGAAAATTAATCAGTCAAAAAGTTTATTCTTTGAAACGATCAACAAAATTGACAAACCCCTAGCTAGAATGATCAGGAGAAAAATTAAATACAAATCACCAATATCAAGGATTAGATGTTCTTGTTACAGATCCTGTGGGCATTAAAGGATAATACACTGTTACAAACAATTTTATGTCAATAGATTCAACAAGCTACATTAAACCAACACATTTTCTGAAAAATACAACTTATTTAAACTGAGCAGGATGAAACAGAAAATCTCAGTAGCTATATAGCTATTAGAGAAATTAAACACATTATTGAAAACCTTTCTACAAATAAAACATCCTCCAGGTCCAGATGGTTTTACTAGTGAATTCTATCAAACATCCAAGGAAGATGTAAAACCTCTATTACACAATGTTTAACAGGAAAGAAAGGAGAGAATACTTCCCCACTCATTTTATGTGGCAAGCATAACCTTAACCCTCAAACCCGAGGAAGACATTACAAAAGAGAAAGTTACAGATAAGTATCACTCAGGAACATTGATGCCAAATCCTTAGCATAAAATTAGCAAATGAAATCCAACTTCTATGAATGCAAGATTTAAGATTCAGAAAATCTGTGAGGTGGGCAGATCACCTGAGGTCAGGAGTTCAAGACCAGCCTGGCCAACATGGTGAAACCCCGTCTATATTAAAAACACAAAAATTAGCTGGGCATGGTGGTGGGCGCCTGTAGTCGAAGCTACTCGGGAGACTGAGGCAGGAGAATTGCTTGAACCCGGGAGGCGGAGGTTGCAGTGAGCCGAGATTGTGCCACTGCACTCCAGCCTGGGCAACAAGTACGAAACTCCATTAAAAAAAAAAAAAAAAGAAACAAACAAACAAACAAACAAAAAAACTCCCACAAACTCTTTTTTCCTGCCAGGCCTGAGACTATTTATTTCTGCCAAGAGATACCAAGAGATACCAAGGCAGGCATGTGGAACTTGCAGGAGAGCCCCAGCTATATCACATTGCCTGGTCTAGGAAGCTTCTTCATTCTCATGAGCTCAAAACTATCCTCTCTCATCCAGAGACGCCAAGGCAGTTGGGGACAACAGTAGGTAAATCGCACCTCATCCTTGTCTCACCAAGAGACATCTGGTGGCCTGGTCTGGTCTGAATAAAACTCATCTATCCCTTCAGCAGCACCAGAGGCATCAGATAAACCAAATACATCAAAATAACACCCCAAACTCTCTGAAAATTAAACTCCTGTTGAAACCACGCTCCACAAAAGTAGGCCAAGACTTACATGCTAAACCTAAACACGGTGACTCCCAAAATAAAAGATTAACATAGGACCCAGAGTGTCCTAATTAAATAGAAAAATGTACAGAATGCAATTAAGAATCACTCCAAAAACCAATAACTAAGAAAATCACAATTTAATAAGAAACAATCAACTGACATCAACATTGAGATAAGATTCTAAAGCATCCATCATAAAAATTTTTCAACAATCAATTACAAATTCTCTTGAAACAAATGAAAGTGAAAAAATAGAAAATGTCAAGAAGTAGATGTAAAAAGGAAGAAAATGGGAATCACAGAACTGAAAAATATAATAATAAAAATTTTAAAAACTTGCTTGATGGGGTCTATAGTAGTGTGGACATGGGAGAAGATAGAATCAGTGAACTTGAGGCTAGGTGTGGTGTCTCACGTCTGCTATCCCAGTGCTTTGGGAGGCTTAGATATGAGGATCACTTGAGGCCAGGAGTTCAAGACCAGCCTGGGCAACATTGTGAGAGCTTGTGTCTATGAAAAAAAAACAACAAAAAAAAAGAATCAGTGAACTTGAGAACAGAACAATAGAATTCACTCAATCTGAACATATAGAAGAAAAAGGCACTTCAGGGGCCTGAAGAAAGTAATATGACAATCCAGCATTTGTATCACCAGAGTCTCAGAAGGAGAGAAGAAAGAGAGTGGGGCTGAAAGAATGTTTGAAGAGATTTGACTGCAAACTCCCTAAATTTGGCAGAAGACACAATCTTACACATCCAAGAAGCCGAGCAAATCCCAAGCATGAGAAACCCAAGGAAGTCCATGCCAAGACACATGATAATTAAACTTGCAAACTAAAGATACAGAATAAAAATCTTGAAAGCAGCCAGAGAGACACAATGCATTATGTATAGGGGACACCAATTCAAACAACAGCAAATTTTTCATCTGAAACCAAGGGGGCCAAAGGAAGTATCACATTATTTCTAAAGTGTTGAAAGAAAACAACTGTCAACCATAAATTCTATATCTGGTGGAACTATTGTTCAGGAATAAAGAGAAAAAAGAAAACAGTGGCAGACAAGAAAAACTAAAAAACTTTGTGGCTGGTAGAGCTACCATTAAAGATTGGCTAAAGGAATTTCTTAAAACAGGAAGGAAATAATAAAAAATAAATCTTGGAGCATCAGGAATGAAAAGGGAAGAACAGAAAAAGCAGAAACATAAATATATACCGTAGGCTATCTTTTTCCTCAGCAGTTTAATAAATCATATTCAATGATTGAAATAAAAATTATAACACCATTTGATGCTAGAGGCAATGATATTTAAAAGCGGAGAAAGTAAAGGGACCTAAATGGAATTGGGATTCTATACTTAGAAAGGTAAAATGGGCCGGGCGCGGTGGCTCACGCCTGTAATTCCAGCACTTTGGGAGGCCGAGGCGGGTGGATCACCTGGGGTCAGGAGTTTGAGACCAGCCTGGCCAACATGGTGAAACCCCGTCTCTACTAAAAATAACAAAAATTAGCTGGGCATGGTGGCAGGCGCCTGTAATCCTAGCGACTCGGGAGGCTGAGGCAGGAGAATCGCTTGAACCCAGGAGGCGGAGGTTGCAGTTGGCCGATATCGTGCCATTGTGCTCCAGCCTGGGCAACAAGAGCAAAACTCCGTCTCAAAAAAAAAAAAAAAAAAGTAAAAGTAAAATGATACTGGTACGTGTTATGACACATGTGTATATTAAAATACCCAGAGTAACACTATACAAAGATATGTAAACAACGTGGGGGTTAGAGGCACCAATCCCCTGGCAGTCAAAAATCCATGTAAAACTTTTGACTTGCCCAGAGCTTAACTACTAATAGCCTCCTGTTGACTGGAAGCATTACTGATAACATAAACAGTTGATTAACATATATTTTGTATATTATATGTATTGTATATTGTATTCTTTTAATCAAGCTAGAAAAATGAAAATGTTATTAAAAATCATAAGGAAGATAAAATATATTTACTATTTATTAAGTGAAAGTGGATCATCATAAAGGTCTTCATCCTTATCATCTTCACATTGAGCAGGTTGAGGAGGCAGAAGAGTTGGTCTTGCTGTCTCAGGGATGGCAGAGGCAGAAGAAAATCTGCTGTCTTGGTCTCTTCATTGTTGCGGTAAAGGAATACCTGAGGCTGGGTAACTTATATAGAAAAAAAGGTTTATTGGGCTCACAATTCTGATGGCTGTAATGTTTAAGATTGTTCATCTGCATCTGGTGAGGGCTTCAGGCTACTTCCACTCATGACAGAAAGTGAAAGGGAATTGGCTGTACAGAGATCACATAGTGAGGTAGGAAGCAAGAAAGAGTGGAGAGGTGCCACGCTCTTTTAAACAACCAGCTCTCAGAGGAACTAACAGAGTGAGAACTCATTACTCCTAAGGGAGGGCATTAATTTATTCATGAGGGACCTGTCCCCACTACCCAACAGCTCCCATTAGTCCCACCTCCAACATTGGAAATCAAATTTCAACATGAGGTTTAGAATAGACAAACATCACAACCATAGCATCTGCATATAAGTAGACCCACACGGTTCAAACCTGTGTTTAATATAGTTGTCAACTATATTTTTGAAAAACGCTATAAATAAGTCAGGATGGAATTCTAAAAAATGTTCAAGTAATGCACAGGAAGTCAAAACAGAAACAGTAAAGTGAGATCTAGAGGAAAAAAAAACAACTCAGGCCAAGATGGCCAACTAGAAGCAGTTACAGTGTGTGGCTCTCACGAAGAGGAACAAAAGGGGTTAGCAAATACAGCACCTTCAACTGAAACATCCAGGTACTCTCACTGGGACTAATCAAGGAAACAACTCAACCCAGGAGAATGAAGAAAAGCAAGACAGGACAATGGCTCACCCAGGAGCAGCAACACGGAGCCAGGGGAACCTCCCCAAACCAGGGAAGCGGTGAGTGAATGTGCGGCCCTCGGAAATCATGCTTCTCCCATGGATCTTTGCAACCCTCATCAGGAGATCCCCTCGTGAACCCATTCCACTAGGGCCTTCAGTCTGACACACATAGCTGCATGGAGCCTCAGCAGAGCAGCTGCTCAGGCACATGTGGAGGCCCAGGAGCTTTACATACTCTGGCTCCAGGCTTCCCAGCAAAAGTGACTGCAACTCCAGCAAGGTGGGAGGTTGGACCTCTGTACATACTCGTAGGAAGGGGGCTGAATCCAGGGGGCCGAGCAGCAACGGAATGAGGGCCCCACTTCCATGGTGCCTCACAGGATAAGACCCAATGGCTTGGAATTCCAGCCAACCACCAGCAACAGTGTTGTCCCTACCTGGAATGGAGTTCCCATGGGGAAGGGTGAGCTGCCATCTTTGCTGTTTGGACGACTCAGCTGTTCTAGCCTGAGGGCTTTGGAGAGTCTAAACTGACTGGGGGCATACAGGATGCCCCAGCACAGCACAGCTGCTCTACCAAAACATAGCCAGACTGCTTCTTTAAGCTGGTTCCTGATCCATTCCTCCTCACTGGGCAGGGCTTCCCAACCAGGCCCTCTGGCTACCCCTGCCGGTGTTCTCCAGCAGACAGAGATTTGCATTCTCCCCGGGACAGAATTCTTGGTGGGAGGGGTGGGCTGCCATTTTGCTGCTGGGTGACTTAGCTGTTCCAGCTTCCATGCTTTTTTTGGAGAGCCTAAGCTAACCAGAGGCAGAGGCAGTACCCCCGCACAGCACAGCCACTCTACAAAAGCATGGCCAGACGGCTTCTTTAAGCCGGTCTCCTGTCTCATTCCTCCTGACTGGTTGAGATCTCCCGACTGGGGTCCTTCACCACCTCCTACAGATGGGTTTGTGCTGGCAACAGGTCCATACCTCCCTGGGACAGAGCTCACAGAGGAAGGGGGCAAGTTGTCATCTTTGCTGCATTGCGGTCTTCACTGGTGATACGTCTAGATACTGGAAAATCTGAGGTGATTAAGGACTGGAACCGAACCCCAGCAAACTGCAGCAGCCCTACAGAAAAGCGGCCAGACTATTAAAAGAAAAAAAAAAAACACCCATTCAAAGGTCAGCAACATCAAAGATTGAAGGTAGGTAAGTCCACAAAGATGAGAAAGAATCAGAGTAAGAATGCTGAAAACTAAAAAAGCCAGAGTGCTCTCTTTCCTCCAAATGACTGTATCACCTCTCTAGCAAGGGATCGGAACTGGGCTGAGGCTGAGATGGCTGAAATGACAGAAATAGAATTCAGAATATGGATAAAAATGAACTTCACTGAGCTAGAAAAATATGTTGTAACCAATGCAAGGAAGCTAAAAATCACGATAAAACATTGCAGGAGCTACCAGACAAAATAGCCAATATAGAGAGGAACATAATGAACCCAATAGAGCTGAAAAACACAATACAAGAATTTCATAATGCAATCTCAAGTATTAATACAAGAATAAACCAAGCAGAGGAAAGAATCTCAGAGTTTAAAGACAGGTTTTCTTGGCTCGGTGTGGTGGCTCATGCCTGTAATCCCAGCATTTTGGGAGGCCAAGGCGGGCAGATCACTTGAGGTCAGGAGTTTGAGACCAGCCTGGCCAACATGGTGAAACCTCGTCTCTACAAAAAATACAAAAACTAGCCAAACATGTTGGTGGGTGCCTGTAATCCCAGCTACTTGGGAGGCTGAAGCAGGAGAATCTCTTGAACCCGGGAGACAGAGGTTTCAGTGAGCCAAGATTGTGCCACTGTACTCCAGCCTGGGCGACAGACTGGGGCTCAGTCTCAGAAAAAAAAAAAAAAAAAAGGTAGTTTTTCTGAAATAAGACAGGCAGACAAGAATAGAGGTAAAAGAATGAAAAGAAATGAATAAAACCTCCAAGAAATATGGGATTATGTGAAGAGACCAAATCCATGACTAATTGGTATACCTGAAAGAGATGGGGAGAATGGAACTAATTTGGCAAATGTATTTCAGGATACCATTCATGAAAACTTCCCCAACCTCACTAGAAAGGCAAACATTCAAGTTCAGGAAAGGCAGAAAACGCCAGCAAGGTACTCAGTGAGAAGATCAACCCTGAGACACATAATCATCAGATTCTCCAAGGTTGAAATAAAAGAAAAATGTTAAGGGCAGCAAGAGAAAAAGGCCTGGTCACCTACAAAGGGAAGCCCAACAGACTAACAGTGGACGTCTCAGTGGAATCCCTATGAGCCAGAAGAGATTGAGGGCCAGTATTCAGCATTCTTAAAGGAAAGAAATTCCAACCCAGAATTTCATATCTGGTCAAACTAAGCTTCATAGACAAAGGAGAAATGAGATCCTTTTCAGACAAGCAAATGTTGAGAAAATTCATTACCAGCAGACCTGCCTTACAAGACTTCTGAAGGCAGCACTAATTATGGAAAGGAAAGATTGTTACCAGCCACTACAAAAACAGATTGAAGTACACAGAGCAGTGACACTATAAAGCAACCACATAAACAAGTCTGCAAAATAACCAGCTAACATCATGATGGCAGGATCAAATCCACGAATATCAATACTAACCTTAAATGTAAATGGGCCAAATGCCCCAATTAAAAGACACAGAATGGCAAGCTGGATAAAGAACCAGGACCTGGCTGGGCACAGTGGCTCACGCCTATAATCCCAGCACTTTGAGAGGCCGAGACGTGCTGATCCCCTGAGGTCAGGAGTTTGAGACCAGCCTGGCCAACCAGGTGAAATCCTGTCTCTAGTAAAAATACAAAAAATTAGCTGGCCATGGTGGCATATGCCTGTAGTCCCACCTACTCGGGAGGCTGAGGCAAGATAATTGCTTAAAGCTGGGAGGTGGAGGTTGCAGTGAACTGAGATTGCGCCACTGCAATCCAGCCGGGGGACAGAGCAAGACTCCAACACACACACACACACACACACACACACACACAAAAGAACCAAGACCCATTGGTATGCTGTCTTCATGAGGCCCATCTCACATGTAATGACACACATAGGCTCAAAATAAAGGGATGGAGGAAAATTTACCAAGCAAATGGAAAACAGAAAAAAGCAGAGGTTGCAATCCTAGTTTCTGTTTGACCACTGTGCAATCAAATTAGAAATCAAGACTAAGAAATTCATCCAAAGCCACACGATTACATGGAAATTGCATAACCTGCTCCTGAATGACTTTTGGACAAATAACAAAATTAAGGCAGAAACTGAAAAGCTCTTTGAAATTAATGAGAACAAAGATACAACATACCAGAATCTCTGGGACACAGCTAAGGCAGTGTTAAGAGGAAAATTTATAGCACTAAATGTCCACATCAAAATGTTAGAAAGATCTCAAGTTAATAATCTAACATGACAACTAAAAGAACTAGAGAAACAAGAGCAAAGAAATCCCAAAACTAGCAGAAGACAAGAAATAAGCAAAATCAGAGCTGAACTAAAGTGGATTGAGACATAAAAAAAAAGCCATTCAAAAGATCAATGAATCCAGGAGCTCATTTTTTGAAAAAATTAATAAAATAGACCACTAGCTAGTCTAATAAAGAAGAAAAGGGAGAAGATTCAAATAAACACAATCAGAAATGATAAGGGGGGATTACTGATGCCATAGAAATATAAACAACCATCAGAGAATATTATAAACACCTCTATGCACATGAACTAGAAAATCTAGGGAAATTGATAAATTGTGGATACATACCCCTGCCCAAGAATGAACCAGGAAGAAATTAAATCCCTGAACAGACCAATAATGAGTTCTGACATTGAGACAGTAATAAATAGCCTACCAACCAAAAAAGCCCAGGACTAGGTGGATTTACAGCTGAACTCTACCAGATGTACAAAAAAAAGCTGGTACCATTCCTACTGAAACTATTCCAAAAAATTGAAAAGGAGAGACTTGTCCGTAACTCATTCTATGATGCCAGCATTATCCTGATACCAAAAACTGGCAGAGCTACAATAACAAAAAAAAAAAAAAAAAAAAAAAAGAAAAGGAAACTTCAGGCCAATATCCTTGATGAACATCAATGCAAAAATCCTCAACAAAATACTGGCAAACCAAATCCGACAGCACAACAAAAAGCTTATCTACCAGCTTCATCTCTGGGATGAAAAGTTGGTTCAACATATGCAAATCAATAAATTTGATTCATCACATAAACAGAACTAAAGACAAAAACCATATTATTATCTCAATAGATGGAGAAAATTATTTCAATAAAATTCAACATCGCTTCATGTTAAAAACTCTCAATCAGCTAGGTACTGAAGGACCATACCTCAAAATAATAACATCCATCTGTGACAAACTCACAGCCAACATCATACTGAATGGGTAAAACCTGGAAGCATTCCCCCTTGAAAACCAGCACAAGATAAGGATGCCCTCTTTCACCACTCCTATTCAACATAGTGTTGGAAGTTCTGGCCAGGGCAATCAGACAAGAGAAAGAAAGAAAGGGTATTCAAATAGAAGAGAGGAAGTCAAATTATGTTTGAAGATGACATGATCCTATACCTAGAAAACCCATTGTCTCAACCCGAAAGCCTCTTAAGCTGATGAGCAACTTCAGCAAAGTCTTAGGATACAAAATAAATGTGCAAAAATTGCTGGCATTCCTACCCACCAACAACAATCAAGCTGAGAGCCAAATCATGAATGAACTCCCGTTCACAATTGCCACAAAACAAATAAAATAACTAGAAGGACACCCAACCAGGGAGGTGAAAGATTTCTACAAGGAGAACTACAAATCACTGCTCAAAGAAATCAGAGATGATAGCAACAAATGGAAAAACATTCCATGTTCATGGATAGGAAAACTCAATATTGTTAAAATGGCCATATCGCCCAAAGCAATTTATAGGTCCCATTAATTGTATTTCCATTAAACTACCCTTGACATTCTTCACAGAACTAGAAATAAACTATTTTAAAATTCATATGGAACCAAAAAAGAGCCTGAATAGCCAAGAAAATCTTAAGCAAAAAGAACAAAGCTGGAGGTATTATACTACCTGACTTCAAACTATACTACAAGGCTACAGTAACCAAAACAACATGGTACTGGTACAAGAACAGACACATAGACCAATGGAACAGAATAGAGAACCCAGAAATAAGATTGTACATCTACAACTATCTGATCTTCAACGATCCTGAGAAAAACAAGCAATGGGGAAAGGATTCCCTTTTCAATAAATGGTACTGGGATAACTGACTAGCCAGGTGCAGGGGATTGAAACTGGACTCCTTCCTTACACCATATATAAAAATCTCTTTGAGATGGATTAAAGATATAAATATAAGACTCTGAACTATAAAAACCTGGAGACAACCTAGGCAATACCATTCAGGACACAGGCATAGGCAAAGGTTTCATGATGAAGATGCCAAAAGCAATTGCGACAAAAGCAAAAATTGACAAATGGGATCTAATTAAACTAAAGAGCTTCCGCACAGCAAAATAAACTACCAACAGAGTAAACAGACAATCTACAGAATGGGAGAAAATTTTTGCAATCTATGCATCTGACAAAGGTCTAATCTCCAGCATCTATAAGGAACTTAAACAAATTTACAAGAAACAAATGACCGCATTAAAAAGTGGCAAAGAACGTGAAGAGACACTTCCCAAAAGAAGACATATATGCGGCTAACAAGCATGTGAAAAAAAGCTTAACATCACTGATCATTAGAGAAATGCAAATCAAAACCACAGTGAGATATTATCTAACACCGGTCAGAATGGGTACTATTAAAAAGCCAAAAAAATAACAGATGCTGGCAAGGTTGTGGAGAAAAAGAAACGCTTATACACTGTTGGTGGGAATGTAAATTACTTCAGCCATTGTGGAAGACAGTGTGGTGATTCCCCCAAGACCTAAAGACAGAAATGCCATTCAACGCAGCAATTCCATTACTGGGTATATACCCAAAGGAACGAAATCATTTTGTTATAAAGACACATGCATGTATATGTTCACTGCAGCAGTATTTACAATAGCACAGATATGGAATCAACCTAAGTGCCCATCAATAATAGACTGAATAAAGAAAATGTGGTATGTATACCATGGAATACTATGTAGTCTTAAAAAAGAATGAGATCATGTCTTTTGCAGGGACACGGATGCAGCTGGAGGCCACTATCCTTAGCAAACTAACACAGGAACAGAAAACCAAATACTGCATATTCTCACTTGTAAGATGAGAACACATGGACACATAGAGGGGAACAACACACATTGGGGTCTTTAGAGGATGGAGGGTGGGAGGACAGAAAGGATCAGGAAAAGTAACCAATGGATACTAGGCTTAATTCCTGGGTGATGAAATAATCTGCACAATACTGCCCCATGACATACGTTTACCTATATAACAAACCTGCACATGTATCTGTGAACTTAACATTAAATAATTAAAACATAAAATGACAGATATATGTGAGAACATAACAATTACCTTAAATGTAAATGGTCTAAATACACTAATAAAAAGACAGATTGGTAGAGTGTATAAGAAAATGTGACCCAACTGTATGCTGCATTTAAGAAACTCAGTTTAGTCTAGGTATGGTGGCTTGGGCTTGTAATCTCAGCACTTTGGGAGGCCAAGGTTGGCAGACTGCTTGAACCCAGGAGGTCAAGATCAGCCTGGGCAACACAGCAAGACCCAGCCTCAAAAAAAGTTAATTAAATAAAAAAAAAAACTCAGTTGAAATCAACAACATAGGTAGATTGAAAGTAAAAGGATGGGAAAAGCTATACCATGCAAACAATCGGTAATAGTAGAAGTGTCTATATTAATATCTGATAAAGTAGGTTTCAGAAAAAGAAAATTACTAGAGACAAAGAGAGACATTACAGCATGAAAACAGAATGAATTCATCAGGAAGACATAATGGTCCTAAATGTGTATGAATCAAACAACAGAGCCTCAAATCACATGAAATAAAAATTGATGGAGCTGAAAGGAGAAATAGACAAATCCACGATTATGTCCCCTCCTCGCACATACTATACATGCTATTTAAACAACACAATCACCAACAAGGCCTAACTGACATACATAGAAAACAACCATCCATGGGACATTGGTCAAGATAGGCCATATCCTGGCTATAAAGCAAACCTCAACAAATGTAAAATAACTGAAATTATACAAAGTGTATTCTGTGATCTTAACGGAATCAAACTAGAAATCAATTATAGAAAAACAATAGGAAAATCTCTAAAATGTGGAAATTAACATACTTCTAAATAATCCATCAATCAAAAAGAAAGTCTCAAAGGAAATTTAAAAATACTTTAAACTCAATGAAAATGAAATCACAACTTATCAAAATTTGTGGAATGCAGCTTAAAGCAGGACTGAGAGGGAAATTTATAGCAGTAATGCTTATATTATAAATGAGGAAAGATCAAAACAGAGAAAAAGTGAAGTGAAATCTAGAGGAAACAAATTTTAAAAACCCAATAAAATGGCAGATTTATGTGACAAAAATTATCTTAAATGTAAGTGATCTAAATACACTAATAAAAAGACAGACTGGTAGAGTGTATAAGAAAATGTGACCCAATTGTACGCCACATATAAGAAACTCAGTTCAGATGGGTGCGTTTAAAATCAATGAACTACAGGCCAGGTATGGTTGCTTATGCCTTGTAATCCCAGCACTGTGGGAGACCGAGGCGGGCAGATCGCTTGAGGTTCGGGGTTGGAGAGCAGCCTGGCCAACATGGTGAAACCCCACCTTTACTAAAAATACAAAAATTAGCTGGGGGTGGTGGTGGGTGCCTGTAATCTCAGCTACTCGGGAGGCTGAGGCAGGAGAATCGCTTTAACCTGAAAGGTACAGATTGCAGTGAGCTGAGATCGTGCCACTGCACTCTAACCTGGGCAACAGAGCGATACTCCATCTCAAAAAAAAAAGAAAGGAAAGAAAAAATTAATAAACTACATTCCTACTTCAAGAAATTAGAAAAAGAGGAGCAAAATAAACTCAAAGCAAGCAGAAGAAATAAAATAACAAAGAAAAGAGCAGACATCAATGAAATAGAAAATAATAGAGAAAAATCAGTGAAAAGAAAACCTAATCCTTAAGAAAAAAATCAACAAAATGGACAAACCTCTGGTAAAACTTACCAAAATAAAAACAGTTGAGAAAGAAATCTCCAATGTCAGAAATGGAAAAGCTATCACTGTAGATCTTGTAGCCATTAAAAACATAGTAAGAGAATACTATTAACAATTTTATCATCATGCATTCAACAACTCAGAGGAAATGAACCAAATCCTCAAAAGCCGCAAACTACCAAAATTCAACCAATATGAAACAGACAATCTGAATAACCCTGTAGGTATTAAAGAAATTGAGTTCATAACTGAAAATCTCGTAAAATAAATCTTCAGGCCAAGATGGCATCATTGGAGAATTCTGTGAAACACTTGAAGAAAAATTAACCTCAATTTTATATAATGTATCCCAGAAAACAGAAGAGGAAATACTTCTCAACTTATTTTCTGAGGTTAATATTACCCTGATACCAAACTAGATAAAGATAATACAAAAAAAGACAACTGCACATCAATGTCTTGAATCCAGGAGGCAGAGGTTGCAGTGAGCCGAGATCGCACCACTGCACTCCAGCCTGGAAGACAGAACGAGACTCCGTCTCAAAAAAAAAAAAAAAAAATTAAATTAAATTTAAAAAATTGAGTTTTTATTGACAAAATAATTTCTTTTAACTTTTAAGTTCAAGAGTACGTGTGCTGGTTTGTTACATAGGTAAACTTGTGTCATGGGGGTTTGTCGTACAGATTATTTCATCACCCGAGAATTAAGCCTAGTATCCATTAGTTATTTTTCCTGATCCTCTCCTTCCTCCCACCCTCCGCTCTCTGAAAGGCCCCAGTGTGTGTTGTTTGTCTTTCCGTGTCCATGTGTTCTCATCATTTAGTTCCCACTTATAAGTGAGAACATGCAGTGTTTGTTTTTCTGTTCCAGTGTTAGTTTGCTAAGGATAGTGGCCTCTAGCTGCATCCATGTCCCTGCAAAAGAGATGATCTCATTCTTCTTTATGGCTGCATAGTATTCTATGGTGCATATGTATCACATTTTCTTTATCTAGTCTATCGTTGATGGGCACTTAGGTTGATTACATGTCTTTGCTATTGTGAATAGTGCTGCAATAAACACACATGTGCATGTGTCTTTATACTAAAATGATTTATATTCCTTTGGGTATATACCCAGAAATGGGATTGCTGGGTTGAATGGCATTTCTGTCTTTAGGTGTTGGAGGAATCACGACACTGTCTTCCACAACGGCTGAAGTAATTTACATTCCCACCAACAGTGTATAAGCGTTTCTTTTTCTCCACAACCTTGCCAGCATCTGTTATTTTTTGACTTTTTAATAGTAGCCATTTTGACTGGTGTTAGATGATATCTCATTGTGGTTTTGATTTGCATTTCTCTGATGATCAGTGATGTTGAGCTTTTTTTTCATATGCTTGTTGGCTGCATGTATTTCTTCTTTTGAAATGTGTTGACAAAACAGATTTTAAAATTACATGTAGATGCAAATAAACTGGAATTGCCAAAACAAAGAAGAATGAAGTTAGAGGCCTCAGTGTACATTGGATTGGAGCACATCTATTCTCTTTCTATTATTGTATTCATCATGCTTTACTGTAATTATTACTAAAGTAAGAGACCTGTCTTAAAACCATCTCTGTGTCCCTTAACACAATCACAAATGTTTTCAGTAAAATGTGTTGCATTAGTTTAAAAGTAAATACAATTTTGTATTCATATGATTTTTATTTGAGAGAAAAGGAAAGACTGGGCATCTCAATCACTGAGCAAGTGGGCAGGACTCTCTGGCAACAACATCAGAAATACAGCCATCTTTTTCTTTTTCCAAGAGCAAGATCCAGAATCTTGGGACTGTGGTTTCCATTTAACACGTGGGGAACATCCCTTGAGGTTATTCAGTGAGTTTGGTTTTACATCAAGGAATTACTTACAGTCTGGCTTCAGCCAATCCTGGATTTAATTATTCATGGCAATTATTGCTTGCCTATTAACATCTTTGTTTATATTGACTCTGATGATTCTAGTCTTTGATTGCATGTGGCTTCTCTACCTTTAACATCATGCATCACTCAGTTCTCCAAGGTGAGCTGAGGGCTTTCCCCTTTCAACATTTAAGGTAAACTCCTTAGTTGTGGACAACACCAGCCCATGGATTTTACATCTTGCCAATTCTTTAATACTTTATTCTTAATCCATAGCGTTGTGAACTTTAAAAAATAGCTCTGATAATTCCAAAAGACCATCCACTTTATCTTAACAGAAGTTTCACATTGGTATTGGTCCATGTTTGTTTATTTCCAACCATTATTCCTACCCAAAGTTGTTTATTTGTGATGAGATTTGGTCCAGTTTAGTGGCCGTTGAGATTATCCATCGTGGCTTTTGAAATCATCTGTTTTTTGACTGTTTATCTCCTGGAAACTTCACAGCAAACTACTGAAGTCATTCCAGCTGAAGCTGGTTTTCCCTTCCATTAGGTCATTAAGGACAGCATCAAATCAAGTATACAAAGAAGTTTTTCCATACAGAAAAAATTAAAGTGCTCCAATTCCGTTTTCTGGGTTTCTCATTCTCACATTTTCTGACCAAGAAGATTTAGATAGTGTCAAGGTGAGGCAAAACAAATAATCTGCTTAGATAAATATATTCAACACTGTCTTCTCTGAGGGTTGGTGTGGGTGACACAAACAAGGCATATGCATTGAATTATCAGACTTAATCTCACAGGTGTCATCTACAGGTGGATGCTGGAGTCTACATCCAACCAATCAGTGTTTGTTGGGCATCTAGAACATGCCACATTAACACTCTGAGGATTCCAAACATGAAAGAGATAAGGTTTCTAGACATAGGTATGCAAATCAGGCAAAGAAGTGTATAATAAAGAACAATGAAGAAGCATAAAGCAATGTTGTTGGAATTGAAGAGGGAAAAACCTTCCAATTGGCCAGACCCTAGGAGATTTCACGGCAGAACATGGTATTTGAGCTGAGCCTTGAAGTATGGATAACATTTCCATCAGGAAGGGAAGATATGCCACATGGATAAAACAGCACATGCAAAAACCTAGAAATTGCAAAGTCATAGGCTATGTGCATGGTCTTCTGGTCAGCTAAACTTCAATATTCCAGCTCCTTCCTTCCTAACAGTGAAGATATAGAAAGCAGTTGATAGGTTTGATCAAGAGCTAACTCTGAGCCAGGTGCAGTGGCTCATGCCTGTAATCCCAACAATTTGGGAGGCCAAGGCAGGCAGATCACTTTAGGGTCAGGAGTGCAAGGCCAGCCTGGCCAACTTGGTGAAACCCCATCTCTACTAAAAATAGAAAAATTAGCCGGGTGTGGTGGCACATGCCTGTAATCTCAGCTACTCAGAGGCCGAGGCATGAGAATCACTTGAACCTGGCAGGCAGAGGTTGCAGTGAGCCAAGATCCTGCCACCATACTCCAGCCTGGGTGACAGAGTGGGACTCTGTCTGGGGAGTGGGAGGATTAAAAAAAAAAAAAAAAGACTTAACCCTGGACAGAAGCCTTCTAGGGATTGCTCGTTTGCTGGAGTAGATACTCTTTCTCAAATAGTAGCTTACTCACTCAGGAGACTCCAATCCATATGTAAAGATATGAGTCCTATGCCCTTGCTCTGTTCAGGAGAAAAATGAGCCTCAGAGTAGTAATGTGACTTGTCCAAGCCAACTTGTAAGGTTGATGAAGACCTTGATCTCAAATTGAAGTCCCTGAAATTTCAGTTCAGTCATTATCCATACTAGGAAAAAGAACTGGATGGTAACATTAAATCATTTTACTCGAACTTGGAATGTGATTTTTATGTAGCCATTATACTATTTTCATGTAATTCAGAAAGTTAAGTTGACTTAATACATTTTGTTTGGTTTAAGCTGATATTAACATCAGTTTTCAAATTCTGAGCTTACTCTTCAGATATGACCATTAGGGTGGGGAAGAAATGCATCAGGAATGTACTGAGTGAAAAGTAGATGCAAACATTAATATGCAATATTTATGAATACTAACTACATGTAGGGTCTCAAGAGTTCACATACATCATCTCACTTAATGCTTGTAACAGCACTCAGAAATTGATACTATCATTTCTATTTTACACTTGAGGAAATTAATACAGTTAATTAACTTGACTAATTTCCCATAGCTAGTAAGTGGAAGAGCTAGGCAATCTGGCTCAACTACCTACCCTCAGCTGCTAGGCTAAGGACAATGGGGGTGAAAATGGTATGTCTCTCATAGAGTTGCTATGAGCATTTCATGAGTTAATACTTACGAAGTGCCTACTGCCACATCCGGTGCATCGTACTTACTCATAAATAATAAAACCTATGACTGGAAGATGAAGTTTCTTGCCTAGAGTTGTACATTGCTAGGCTGACTAAAGAGCACCATGCTGTTAACCCTTACAGTAATAATCATAATAATAATGTAATTTGTTGTTGCTTAATTTTGTTTCAGAAATCTTAACTTGTATATTTTCACAGGCCAGTAAAAGTAAAATTTGAATTCCATGTTATGCACGTACAAAACTAAAGTAAATATGGACGAGTTAATATTTTGACATCGTGACTTGAGCATTTGGAAATGATACATGCTCTACCCATGTTCATAGCAGCATTATTCACAATAGCCAAAAGGTAGAAGCAACCCAAATGTCCACTGGCAAGGGAAAAACAAAATGTGCTATATCCATACAATAGAATGTTATTCAGTGTTAAAAAGGAAATAAATCCTGACGCATGCTACAAAATGAGTGAACCCTGAAGACATCATGATAAGTGAAATCTGCCAGTCACAAAAGGACAAATGGTTTATAATTCCCTTTATTTTAGACACGTGGAGTAGTCAAATTCATAGAAACAGAAAGTAGAATGGTGATTACCAGGGACTGGGGAAAGGGAGAAATGTGGAATTATTGTGGTTGATGGGTACAGAGTTTCAGATTTGCAAGATGAAAAACGTTCTGGAGATTGACGATGGTGGCAGTGGTACAACAATGTGAATGTATTTAATGCCACCAAATTGTACACCTAAAAATGGCCAAAATGGTAAATGTTGTTATTTATATTATACTACAATTTAAAAGACATGTGCTGAGAAATTGAAATTTTATGTATCCAACCATAATGCAAAGGGCTTCACAATCATCACAGTAAAAATGAGGCATTTTTGAAAACAGGTAGAAGTCATTTCCTTGCTTACTCATTGTGAATGCTACTTGACAAAAGGTTTGTTTGTTTTGAGTATCAAAACATATTAATTGAGGCCTTTGCTATTCAGCAGTCAAATGCTGGGTTTCGATAATCCTCTTTGCTGTTTCTCTGATGTTCTTATTTCCAGAATCTAATTCTCCTGGGGAATGTACTACTCCCTTACAGCAGGTGAAGAGTTTTTATAATTTAAATATTCAAAAGTTTTTGAGGCAGCTGTGGGATGGGAGGTGATAGTAGGGAGAGATGCAATTATTTTAGGGACACCGTATTAAGATTAAATTGATTCTTCATTCCCTTCTAGAAAAAAGAATGAGAGCTAGTATTTTTTGAGCGCCCTTTAGCACCCATGGTTTGAGCAACCATGCTGGGCACTTTGTGTGTGTTATTGTATTTAATTCTGATGGCACAGGAATAGAAGAAAATTTGTCAAATCATAAGAGATTGCAAGTGTTTTCCCTCCTCTCTTTTTTATTTTTATTTTTTGAGACGGAGTCTCGCTCTGTCTCCCAGGCTGGAGTGCAGTGGCGAGATCTCAGCTACTACCACAAGGCGGGCCTCCTGGTTCTAACTACCACAAGGCGGGCCTCCCGGATTCATACCATTTTCCTGCCTCAGCCTCCTGAGTAGGTGGGACTACAGGTGCCCACCACCACTTCCAGTGAATTTTTTGTAATTTTAGTAGAGATGGGGTTTCACCATGTCAGCCAGGATGGTCTCGATCTCCGGACCTCGTGATCTGCCTGCCTTGGCCTCCCAAAGTGCTGGGATTACAGGCGTGAGCCACTGCACCCAGCCCCCTCCTCTCATTTTTAAGGGTGGAGTCTTGTTGACTCCTTACCCAGTGAACTACCTTTGTTGTAAACAAAATCAAGAGATGGAGAACTTCAGTTGATCCACATTTCAATACTCTGACATTATGTACAAACAGTATATTGGCTTGGGGCTGGCCTGCGTATTGTTGGATGTTTAGCGGCATCCTTGGCCCCTTGCTTGGGAATCATGTATCTATATGTTAAAGGGTTGAGGCTTGGAGGGGACAGGGAGTGAGACTAGAGAGGTGATAGAGCTGGATGTTTAGGACCATTTTTGGGAAGGAAAAAATGGGGAATTTTGGGGAGAGCTACTGCAACAATTCAGAAAGACGGAAGTCCCAAAATAAATTTCAAGAAGTTATCTATTAAGAGTGAATATTCCCCCTTACAATTTTCTTCAACGTTTACATCAAGATTTGAGTTGTTCTCAACTTTGCTTTTCTATTGGCTTGCTGTTTCTTTGAATGTGACTTTGTGTCCAAACTGGACCACATGGTAGGGTTGTGTGTAGATTTTTTGTGGGTTATACTTACAACAGTTCTTTGTAAAATCTTTAGGCTTAAATGACGTTTAATTTTCCTATTAGAAAAGTGGTAAGAATTAATGAAATGATAATCACTGATGGAATAGTGATAGAGTTTTTAATGAAAGCTCAAGTTCCTCTTTAACCTCATTCCTTAGTATTATTCACATTTTCTAGAAGTTGCCCTGACCTCTTAGAACAGTCAAATTGCATATTGTACCATTCTGTCATTGCTTTTTTTTTTTTTTTTTAATACTTTCACAAGAGCCAAACCATGTTTAGCTTTCTTTTTTCTGTTTTTTTCTTTTTGAGACAGGGTCTCACTCCATTGCCCAGGCTGGAGTGCAGTGGTACAGTCACAGGTCACTGCAGCCTCGACTTCCTGGGCTCAAGCAATTCTCTCACCTCAGCCTACTGAGTAGCTAGGTCTATAGGCATGAGCCTCCACAGCCAGCTAATTTTTAATTTTTGTGTAGAGACAGGGTCTCTGTATGTTGCCCAGTCTTGTCTCAAACTCTTGGACTCAAGTGATCCTCCTGCTTTGGTTTCCCAAAGTGTTGGAATTGCAGGCGTGAGCCATGGCACTAGGTCAGTTTAGCTTTCTTGAGCTTGTAAAAAGACAAGTAAGAAAAGACGCCCCTGTCCCCTGACCCCCTCATTTTTTAAATGATTACATTCAAAGGAAATTTGACATCTGACCATTAGGTCTGTCTGTACATTTCTTACTGCTGCTGTAATAAATTATCACAAATTTAATGGCTTAAAAAATATAAACATTATCTCACAGTTCTGGAGGTCCAAAACCAGTCTTAGTAAGCTAGAATCAAGGTGTGGTGAGGCTGCACTCCTTCTGGAGGCTTTAGAGAGGAGATTGTATTTCCTTACTTTTTCTGGTTTCTAGAAGCTGCCTGCATTCCTTAGCTTATGGCTTTGCATCACTTCAACGTCTGTTTCTGTCATCACATCTCCCTCTCTCTTTCACCTGCCTGCCTCTTTCTTAATAAGGACACTTGTGATTACATTGGGCCTACCTGGATAATCCAGGATCATCTCCCATCTTAAGATTCTTAATCACATCTGCAAAGTCCCTTTTGCCATGTAAGGTAACATGTTCACATGTTCCAGGGATTAGGATGTCGATATCTTTGGGGGCCATTATTCTAACTACCACGGTAAGGGTGTAAGAATGTGAACTGTGGCTGGGCACAGTAGCTCATGCCCGTAATCCCAGCACTTTGGGAGGCCAAGGCGGGTAGAACACCTGAGGTCAGGAGTTTGAGACCAGCCTGGCCAACATGGTGAAACGCTGTCTCTAATTAAAAAAAAAAAAAAATTAGCCGGATGTGGTGGTGGGTGCCTATAATCCTAGCTACCTGGGAGGCTGAGGCAGGAGAATTGCTTGAGCCCAGGAGGCAGAGGTTGCAGTGAGCTGAGACGGCGCTACTGCACTCCAGCCTGGGCAAGAGAGTGAGACTCCGTATATAAAAAAAAAAAAAAAAGGAATGTGCACATGTGCACTGTGTTTGGTCTCATTCTCATAATACGCTTGAATTGTTCCATGGACTTGATTTTTTTAAAAACATGTAAGCTGGCCGGGCGCGGTGGCTCACGCCTGTAATCCCAGCACTTTGGGAGGCCGAGGCGGGCGGATCACGAGGTCAGGAGATCGAGACCATCCCGGCTAAAACGGTGAAACCCCGTCTCTACTAAAAATACAAAAAATTAGCCGGGCGTAGTGGCGGGCGCCTGTAGTCCCAGCTACTTGGGAGGCTGAGGCAGGAGAATGGCGTGAACCCGGGAGGTGGAGCTTGCAGTGAGCCGAGATTGCGCCACTGCACTCCAGCCTGGGCGACAGAGCGAGACTCCGTCTCAAAAAAAAAAAAAAAAAAAAAAAAAAAAAAAACATGTAAGCTTAAACAACATTTAATTTTTACATTAGAAAAGTGATAAGAATTTATCAAATGATAATAATGTTGATGGAGTACTGAGAGAGTTTTTAATAAAAACTCAAGCTCCTCTTTAACCTCATTCCTAGTATCTAATTACCAGGTCCATCCAGAAGAACAGAGCAATGCCTACAGCAATTTCAACGGTTCTCCTGAAACATATGGCACATCTCACAGTTATATCTATGGAGTAAATCCTCTTGCAACAGATTCAAAAGGATCACACCCCAAGCACAGTGCATGGCACACAGTAGTGGCCCATGCATATTGGTTAAATGACTAAAAGACTGTACAGTCACACCTGGTTTTATTAATGTTGAAATACTTTGGCAGGAGATGGGCCCAAAAGCTGTTAAGCCATTTGCTATATATTTAGGGATAATGTGATTTGATTGGCACCACATAACTTCCAGTGACGCTCCTGATTTCAGTGTATTAGCGTTTATGGCATTTCATTTCATCTCTTCCTTATGAAGCTTATGCTGAAGCTGTTTTCTCTGAAGCTTCTCCTCTTTACTTAGTTTTGTATCGTGCTTGATGAGGCAAAATCCTGAATGCTTCAAAACAGCTCCTTCTGGAAGTTCAGTTGTGGGCTGAAGAGAGTATAGTATAGGAGTTAAGAGGATGGACTCAGCAGTCAGGCAGACGGTGGGCTCAAATTCCATCTCGGCCTCTGGAAGCCATAGGGCCAACTCTCACCCTCAGTTTTCTCACTGGAAAAGGAGGATAATAGTGCATCCTGACTCAGGGTTGTGGTGAGGATTCAAGGGGAACCATGTGAAATGTAGTCAGTGCCTGCCATTCAGTGCCCACTTAGTACATGGGAACTAATATTTGTCCAATTGAATTATTACCTATCAATCCATTGGGTGTAAAACAGACCTTCTAGCATTTTTTCTGTGTCCATGACTATTTTGAGGAGGCTTTTTGGGAAAAGCCTATTTAGACAAGAGGATATTTATGTTTCATCAACTTTTTGGAAAGTGGCGGGTATAAATAGATAAGAAAATGAATATATCATATGCACAAAATATTAACTAATACAATGAAAGAAGAGGCTCTGCCTGGTTCTCACCCTTTGCCCGATGCTTATGGGTAAGTGTGGAATGAACACAACAATCTGCTGATATTGTCTGAGCTCCTGTTCAGACAATATCTGAATATGTTCAGTGTTTGTCAGTGATGCATGAGAGATACAGGAGATGTGAAAATGCAGACTGTGTTGCTCTGCATCTTTGCAATTAACCAGTGACCTCCTATGAGCTTTGTAGGTATCACCCCTCATGATCATAACCTGCAATGTCAGAATTTTCCCCCATGTCATAGAAGAGGAATGGAGACAGCCCTGGGAGGTAAGGCAGCTGGCCTGTCCCATGGCTAAATGGAGTGTGAACTCAGGCCTGCATCTAACTTATATGGCCCAGTTCCTTCTCACTCTGCCTTCCTGCCTCCCACTCAACTAAACTCAAGAAGAATATGAGTTGTGGAGAGAGTATCTATATGCAGGAACAAAACCTATAACACTAAGAGATACGAAATGGGGACAAACTATGGGGTAGAGACAATATGGTGGCTCTGGGTGTTCCTATTAAGAGGACTGGAGTACCCATGAAAATGGTGAAGTCTGATCTGGGTCTTAAAGACAACAGCCATCAGAAACTTCAAGGAAATGGATAGGGTTGTCCAAGAAAGCAGGATGGCCTGAACAAAATGGTGATTAGAGGAGGCACAGGCAAGGAGGACGAAAGATTCAATTTTTTTTTTTTTTTGAGATGGAGTTTCACTCTTCTCACCCAGGCTGGAGGGCAGTGGTGCGATCTCCGCTCACTGCAACCTCTGCCTCCCGGGTTCGAGCCGTTCTCCTGCCTTAGCCTCCCGAGTAGCTGGGATTACAGGTGCCTGCCACCATGCCCGGCTAATTCTTTTTTGTATTTTTAGTAGAGATGGGGTTTCGCCGTGTTGGCCAGGCTGGTCTCGAACTCTTGACCTCAGTCGATCCACCCTCCTCAGCCTCCCAAAGTGCTGGGATTAAGGCGTGAGCCACCACACCTGCTGAAAGGTTCAAGTTTTATGTTTGCTCTTGGATTGATTGGTAGTGTACTAAGTTGGAAATTGTGAAGCTGTTTCCGGGTTAGAGAGAAGGCTGACCAATTGGCAATGTGTGCCTCAGGCAGGCTATTAAGTAGAGAAAGAGTCATGTGTTTGATTAAGAATTGCCTACATGACTATGACTGTACCCATTTAAGTAAAATACAGAGCAATGGGCAGAATATGGTTATAAGGGTAATAGAATTGACTTAGGGTTTTTAACCTCTTTCAAAAGAAGGCCCTTGACAGTGTAGAATGAGTAATGAAAATCAAAACGAGGTATAAAATGGTACAGCTGATATAGAAAACAAGTTAAACACAGAATTACCATAATACCTAGCAATTCCACTCTGAGGCATATACATGCATACCTTGGGGTTTTTTTTGCCCTTCCCTTTATCATTCCTCACAGATACTGTGTTTTCTACAGATTGAAAGTTTGTGGCAACCCTGTGTTGAGCAAGTCTGTCAGCACCATTTTTTCAACAGCCTGTGCTCACTTTGTGTCTCTGTGTCACATTTTGGTAATTCTAGCAATATTTTGAACTTTTCCTTATTATTATATCTGTTATGATGCTCTGTGACAATTCATCTTTGATGTTACTATTGTAATTGTTTTGGGGTTCCAGAAACTTCCCACATCAGGTGGCAAACTTAATCAATAAATGTGTGTGTTCTGACTACTTCACTGACAAGTCATTCCTCCTCCTCTCTCTCCCTCTCTCTCTCTTTGAATATCCCTATTCCCTGAGACACAACAATATTGAAGTTAGGCCAGTTAATAACCCAATAATGGCGTCTAAGTGTCTAAGTGAAAGGGAGAGTTGCGTGTCTCTTACTTTGAATTAAAAGCTAGAAATGATTAAGCTTAGTGAAGAAGACATGTCAAAAGCTGAGACAGGCCAAGCACAGTGGCTCATGCCTGTAATCCTACTGCTTTGGAAAGCCAAGGTGGGGGGACCACTTGAGGCCAAGAGTTTGTGACCAGCCTGGGTAACATAGCAAGATCCCAACTCTACAAAAAATTTAAAAATTAGCTGGATATGGTGGCATGTGTCTGTGGTCCTAGCTACTAGAGTCCAAGGCAGGAGGGTCACTTGAGCCCATGAGTTCAGGACAGCAGTGAACTATGATCGTACCTCTGCACTCTAGGCTGGCTGACAGAGTGAGATCCTGTCTCAAGGAAAAACAAACAAACAAACAAACAAACAAAAAACAAAGAAAAAGCTGAGATAGGCTAAAAACTAGGCCTCTTGTACCAAACAGTTTGCCAAGTTGAGACTGCAAAGGAAAAGTTCTTAGTTCTTGAAGGAAATTAAAAGTGCTACTGCAGTGAACAGTGCTGATAGGGAGAAAGTTTGGTCTGGATAGAAGATCAAAAAGTCACGACATTCCCTTAAGCCAAAGCCTAATCCAGAGCGAGGCCCCAATTCTCTTCTTCTTCTTTTTTTTTTTTCGAGGCAGAGTTCTGCTCTGTTGCCCCAGGCTGGAGTGCTGCAGTGGCACAATCTTGGCTCACTGCAACCTCTGCCTCCTGGGTTTAAGCAATTCTTATGCCTCAGCCACCTGAGTGGCTGGGATTACAGGAGTGTTCCCCCATGCCTGGCTTATTTTTTGTATTTTTTAGTAGAGACGGGGTTTCACCGTGTTGGCTAGGCTGGTCTCAAACTCCTGGCCTCAAGTGATCCACCTGCCTTGGCCTCCCAAAGTGCTGGGATTACAGGCATGAGCCACTGTGCCGGGTCCAATTATCTCCAGTTCTGTGAAGGCTAAGATAGGTGAGCAAGGCAGAAGAAAACTATGAAGCAAGCAGTGGTTGATTCATAAGGTTTAAGGAAAGCAGCTGTCTCCATAACATAAAAGTGCAAGGTGAAGCAGAAAGTGCTGATAGAGAAGCTGCAGCTAGTTATCCAGAAAGGTCTAGCTAAGATCACTGATGGAGGTGGCTACACTAAACCTCAGATTTTCAATGTAGATGAAACAGCCTTCTTTTGGAAGAATATCCCAGCTAGGACTTTTCTACCTAGAGAGGGAAAGTCAAAGCCTGGTTTCAAAGCTTCAAAGGACAGGCTGTCTCTCTTGTTAGGAAGTAATGCAGCTGATGACTTAAGTGGAAGCCAGTACTTATTGACTATTCCCCAAACCCTAGGTCCTTGAGAATGATGTGTAATCAACTGCCTGTGCTGTAGAAATGGAACATCAAAGTCTGGATGATACACATCTGTTTACAGCATGATTTACTCAACATTTTAAGCCCACTGCTGAGACCTAAGAAAAAAATATTTCTTTCAAAATATTATTGCCCATTGACAATGAACCTGGAGCTCTGATGGAGATGTACAAGGAGATGAATATTGTTCTCATGTCTGCTAACACAACATTCATTCTGCAGCCCCTGGATCAAGAAATAATTTCAACTTTCAAGTCTTATTATTTAAGAAATACATTTTGTAAGGACTATAGCTGCCATAGATACTGATTCCTTTGATGCATCTAGACAGAGTAAATTGAAACCCTTCTGGAAAAGATTAACCATACTAGATAGCATTAAGAACATTTGTGATTTAGGGGAGGAGGTCAAAATATCAACATGAACAGGAGTTTGGGAGAAGTTGATACCAACTCTCATGAACGATTTGGAGGGGATAAAGACTTCAGTGGAGGAAGTAACTGCAGATATGGTGGAAATAGCAAGAGAATTAGAATTGGAAGTGGAGCCTGAGGATGAGACTGAATTGCTGCCATCTGATGATAAAGTTTGAACGGACAAGGAGTTACTTCTTGGGTGAGCAAAGAAAGTGGTTTCTTAAGATGGAATTGACTCCTGGTAAAGATACTGTGAACACCATTGAAATGACAACAAAGGATTTTGAGTATTACATAAACATAGTTGATGAAAGTGGCAGGATTTGAGAGGATTTCCTCCAAATTTGAAAGAAGTTCTGCTGTGGGTAAAATGCTATCAAACAGTGTTGCATGCTACTGAGAAATCTTTCATGAGGAATACACGTCGCTGTTGTTTTATTTTAAGACATTGCCACAACCATGACAACCTTCAGCAACCACCAGCCTTATCAGTCAGCAGCCATCAGCACTGAGGCAAGACACTCCACCAGCAAAAAGATTACAACTTCCTGAAGGCTCAGATTTTTGTTAGCATTATTTAGAAATAAAGCTTTTTTTTTTTTTTTTTTTTTTTTTGAGATGGAGTTTTGCTCTTGTCATCCAGGCTCAAGTGCAATGGCACGATCTCGGCTCACTGCAACCTCTGCCTCCTGGATTCAAGCGATTCTCCTGCCTCAGCCTCCCATGTAGCTGGAATTATAGGCATGTGCCACCACTCCCGGCTAATTTTTGTATTTTTAGTAGAGACAAGGTTTCACCACGATGGCCAGGCTGGTCTTAAACTCCTGACCTCAGGTGATCTTCCTGCCTTGGCCTCCCAGTGTTGGGATTACAGGCATGAGCCACCACTCCTAACCTTTTTTTTTTTTTTTTTGAGATAGTGTCTCACTTTGTCACCTAGGCTGAAATGCGTTGGTGTGATCTCAGCTCACTGCAGCCTTGACCTCCTGGGCCTCCTCACTCTCAGTAGCTGGGACCGCAGGTGTGTGCCACCATGCCTAGCTACTTTTTGTAGAGATGGGGTTTTGCCATGTTGCCCAGGCTAGTCTCAAACTCTTGAGTTCAAGCAATCTGTCCACCTTGGCCTCCCAAAGTGCTGGGATTACAGGCGTGAGCCACTGGGCCCGGCCAAAGTATTTTTAAATTAAGGTGTGTGTATTGTTATTTTAGACACAGTGCTGTTGCACATTTAATAAAATACTGGATAGTGTAAATACAACTTTCATATATATTGGGAAAAAAATGTGTGTGATTCACTTTATTATGATATTCTCTTTACTTTGGTGTCTGGAATCAAATCTGCAATATCTCTGAGATATGCCTATACCAAAAGAATTGAAAACAGGTCTTTCAACAACATTTTATATGTAAACATTCATAGCAGCATTATTCACAATAACTAAAAGGTGGAAACAATGCAAATGTCCATCAACTGATAGATGGATCAACAAAATGTGGTGTATCCATGCAATGGAATATTATTTAGCCAAAAAAGGAATGAAGTATAATGCATGCTACTACATGGATGAACCTTAAAAGCATGCTAAGCAAAAGAAGCCAGACAAAAAAGGTTACATGTTGTAGAATTCCATTGATATGAAATGCCCATAATAGGCAAATCCATAGAGACTGAAGGCAGATTAGTGGTTGCCAGGAACTGGAGGGAGGAGGAAGGGGGGATGTATGCTTTATGGGTATAGGATTTCCCTTTGAGGCCATGAAATGTTTTGGACCTAGATAGAGGTGGTTGTTGCACAACACTGTAAGTGTACTAAATGCCACTAAATTGTACACTTTAAAATGCTTAAAATGATGAATTTTATGTTATGTATATTTTGCCACCACCACCACAACAACAAAATATGGGATGATCTGAAGGGTCTCCCTTCTTCTGAAATATAGGAGACACCGATGTTGGGTGAATATATGGGAATATTTGCATAAGCATCAGCTAGGACTTAAGAGAAGAAAATTAGAAGTTAAAAATTTCAGAAATAATGCCCTTAGTGTCTCTTCAGCTTGTTTTTTAAAAATTAAAGTCAAGTAGAATTAAATTTAATATTTTTTAAAACCATCTAAAATAGATCTGATTTTAGTAAAATATTTCTATTCATCTATCTAATCTATTAAACAATTTATCTATGTAGCCAACTATCTGTATGTATACAGCAACTTTCCATATTAATGTTCACCTAATACAAATAATAGTAATTTCTGGGTGGTGGAATTTGGGTCATTAAAGTAAGCTTTCTTCTTTTCTGCATTGGTTGGATTTTTAAAAAATAACAAATGTGTGTCATTTTTATCAACATCATTGTGTGATTTTAAAAAACATGAACCAACTAGCCTAGCCAGCAAACAGGCCAAGATGGTAGGATAATTAATTCTGTGCAAAACATAGTTAATTGATAATTCCTTCTTTGTACTTTCTTTCTGTTTCGTTTTTTTTTCCTAGTCAAGATCTGACTCTATCACCCAGGCTGGAGTGCAGTGGCACAATCATAGCCTTGAACTTCTGGGCTCAAGCAGTCCTCCCACCTCAGCCTCTGGGAGTAGCTGGCACTACAGGTGTGCACCACTATGCCCGACTAATTAAAAAAAAAATTCTGTAGAGATGAGGGTTTCACTATGTTGCCTAGGCAGGTATTGAACTCCCGGCTTCAAGTGATCCTTCCCCTGAGGCCTCACAAAGTGTTGGGAATACAGGTGTGAGTCCCTGCACCCATCCCTTCTTTGTATTTTCTTGAGGTGCTTTAAAAATTCCCAAAGTAATGTCGTATTTTATTATTATTATTTTTTTGAGACAGAATCTCACTCTGTCAGCCAGGCTGGAGTGCAGTGGCACGATCTTGGCTCACTGCAATCTCTGCCTCCCAGGTTCAAGCAATTCTCCTGCCTCAGCCTCCTGAGTAGCTGGGATTACAGGCGTGCACCACCACACCTGGCTAATTTTTGTATTTTTAGTAGAGAAGGGGTTTCACCATGTTGGCCAGGATGGTCTCGATCTCCTGACCTCGTGATCTGCCCACCTTGGCCTCCCAAAGTCCTGGGATTACAGGCGTGAGCCACCATGCCTGGCCTTTATTTTATTTAATTTTTAATTTTCATGGATACGTAATAGTTTTACATATTTATGGGTCTATGTGATATTTTGATACAAACATACAATATGTAATAATCAAATCTGGGGAACTGGGGTATACATCACCTCAAATATTTATCATTTATTTCTTTGTGTTGAGAACATTACAAATCTACTTCCTTATTTCAAAACATACAATTGTTAGCTATAGTGTTAGTTGTTGTGCTACTGAACATTATATCTTATTCTTTCTATTTACCCAATTACCAACTCCTCTTTATCATTCCTTCCCCACTACCCTTCCCAGCCTCTAGTAACCACCATTCTAGTGGTGGAGGTCGCTAGGGTTCAAATTCAGATTTGGTTGGCTTCAAAATGGTGATTCTCAGCCTTGAGTTAATCTTGCCATAAGTAATATAGCTTTGTTTTTCAAAAATTCAATCTCAATGCAATTTTCCCCTGGATTCTAATTACTGACTGAGTCCTACATCTGCCCTTCAAAATGCCAAGACTGCAGAGGAGGGCATTGTTTGCTCTTCCTCTCAAGAACATGTTCCAGTTCCAGGAAATTATCCACCTACTACAAAAATGCCCAGGAACAGAGCATCTGCTGCGTACAGGGCACAAATAAGATGCATTGCTCAGCGACTCTGAGTCTGAGGTTGTTGTGAATTAATATGCCCAGTAGCCCACTGTAGAGGGGACTTGGTGGTGTTCATTTATCCATTTTCTCACTGTTTATGGAGTTCCTGGGATCTATAAATGTTGATTCCCAGTTGTCAGTAAAGTGCTCCTTAAGACATTTTGCTTGCAAGAAACAGAAACCAACTTATATAAAGCTAAAAGGGAAATTTTATTATAGAAATACTGGATGGTTTTATAGGATTAAAAGAGAGAGATACATCTGAATCTTGGGCACAAAATGGCAACAGGGATGAGGGTTAGTGGTTTAGAGCAAATGGGCTGAAGTCAGGTAGTCTGGATTTGAATCTTTGCACTCACACTTAGTAGTCCTCTGACCTTGGATAATTTGCTTAACCACTCAGTATACTCAACGCTAAAACGACTGTAATAACAGTGCTTCCTCATAGGTGGTTCTGTTTTTTCATTTTTCTTTTCTTTTCTTTTTTTTTTTAGACAGGGTCTTGCTCTGTAGCACAGGCTGGAGTGCAGTGGTGCGATCATGGCTTACCTTGAACTCCTGGGCTCAAGTGATCCTCCCACCTCACCCTTCTGAGTAGCTGGGATTACAGGTGTGTGCCACCATGCCTAGCTGATTTTTTGATTTTTTTTTTTTTTAGAGATAGGGTCTCGCTATATTACCTAGGCTGGTCTTGAACTCCCGGCCTCAAGACATCCTCCCACCTTGGCCTCCCGATGCACATCATACCTGGCCACAAAGCCTCTTAATGTATTTTTTTTTTTTTTGGTGGCATTCAGTAGGAAAACGGATAACTGAAAAAAAGTTATTTATTTTATCTTGGATGTCCAGAGAGTGTCTCTGTGATTTCCCATCTGTCTCCTTAAAACAAACAAGCAAACAAACAAGGTTCTTGGATTAAACATTTCATGACGGAGACTGAAAATTGCCATGGAGATGATGGAGGAAATTATACACTTGTTCTTTTTTGCTTTTTCTTCACAGCCTATGCATAAGAATGAACTGAGGTATTAGCCTTAGCTCTCTTTTCATGGTAAACTGTTTTAAAATTTGCCACTATGCTAGCAATAATAGATTTTTCTACATGTTAGTGTTAAAAATCTTTTTATTGTAACAGATTCAACTTTACTAAACAGCCAGGCCACAGTTGCTTGTTGAGTAAGATACCTTACACTGTGTAAGCTGAGAATCTCTGAGAAATCTGGATACTTTTATTCAAGTCTGTTTTTTTAAAATGATGCCTATCTTTTTATGTGGTTCCAGCCCCATTATTAATTAACTAGTAGCAGAAAAATCAACTTAGACTAGCTTAAACAATAAGAGGAACTTACCTGCTTACTTAACTGAAAAGTTCAGTGGTAGCGCAGTCTTCAAGTATAGATTGATCTAGTGGCTCAACCACATCGCTAGAGGCCCAGTTTCTTTTTGTTGCTCCATATTGTTTTTCCCATTATCAATTTCATTTAAAGATTGGCATCCATCATGGCCACACAAAGCTGGTGGCAGGAACAGCAGCCCCACTTTTGTTTTAGCAGAGAGGAGAAAGTATTCTCTTTGTAGCTTTCATGTTCCAAAGAGAACACTCCTTTCCTAGAATTCCTCCAAAAAGCCATTCACTCTGGCTGGGAGAAAGATGTACTGGTTGACATTAGCCAGTCAGGGCCTACCCTTAAATTTTTGGGAGGGTTCAATTTCAGCCAAAACTCATGACTAAGAACTTTGATGTCCTGTTAAGAAGGCAGAAGGCTAAAAGGCTAGAAGTCAGACAACAAATGCTCTCTCCAAAATGCTTCTTTTTCTATTTCAAGAAACACTCTTTTTATGTTCTTCCCTAAATTTCAGTGAAGTATAATCTTTTTGCCAATTTCTGGTGAGTGTGGCTAGGTGTCTGATTTTAGTTAGAGAACAATCATCCTCCTGCTTTTTATAGACTGCCTTAGAAATAAATTAAGACAGTGGACTCTAGCTTTTCCTATTGAAGACATTAATCAGAAAAATGAGATTAGTTTTGGTTTATCAAATAAGAGCCTTTATGTTTAATGAAATACTATGCAGACCTGTTATAGTTTTAAGGGAATCATGCTGAGACATTTTGATTTTGGATTTATGATAGTTCCAGCCTGACTCTCAAGCCCCGTTCCCATGATACAGCCACTAATTGTTTAGGCTTTGGTGAGCATTGCCCTCATCTCCTCTGTCAATAGCTTCATTTATGGTGATGCATGAATTACTTGATATTATGTATAGGAGGAGTGTCCGCAGAAAAGGAATGTTGAAAGGCAGGCAAATAGTGGGATAGAGGAAAAAAATCAATTTGGATGAAATTTGGAGTCCAGCTATTTAAATGATGTGCTGTGTGGCTTTCACTGGTTCCCTTTGAACAAATAAAGCAAATTTGAACATCTGGAAGACTGAGGTTGATTGCCAGAGAGAAACATGGATATGTCAAGATAATTGTTCCATTTATACTATTTTTCCCTGGTGACCTAAATACTTACCAGGATCTAACTTCTTTTCCTCTTGCCTATTGGCTATTTATCTGTTTTTTTTTTTTTTTTTCTCTGAAACAGAGTCTCTGTCATCCAGGCTGGAGTGCAGTGGTGTGATCATGGCTCACTGCTGCAGCCTCGACCTCCCAGGCTCAAGTGATCCTTCCATCTCAGCCTCCTGAGTAGCTGGGACCACAGGTGCATGCACGTGGCTAATTTTTAATTATTATTATTATTATTGTAGAGACAGGGTCTCTCTGTATTGCCCAGGCTGGTCTCAAAGTCCTGGGCTGAAGCAATCCTCCCACCTTGGCTTCTCAAAGTGCTGGAATTACAAGTGTTAACCACTGCACCTGGACTTGCCTATTTATCTTGTAAAGGCTTTTGAGATTTTCCCAGTGTTAAATACTTGACTTAGGCCCATGGCATCCAGGGGAAGTCTAATATCATTCCTCATCAGTTTCAATATTAATATTATTATAGAAAGTCACTGATTGCCATTAACTTAGCAAACTAACAAGGAACATCATATCACCTTGTTCCAACATAGCCCTAAAAGCTTTATCTCATTTTTCTTACGTGGAAGCCAAACTAAAGTAAAAGAGTTAAGCAAATAGTTAAAACAAGCCATTCTTTATATTATCCTGCCTTTAACATTTTGCTATCATAGCTATCCTTGATTGGCTGTCCTTAAAACTGTGTGTGATTCCTTATTAATTCAGATGGATATGTAGAATTTGTTGATAATTGTCCATATGTCTTTTCTTTTATATATATATTTTAATATATGATAGCTAAGTGTACCTGTGTAATACAGAAATAAATGGTTTTTAAAAATTGTAGTACCATGTATGAAAAAACACAACTTTAAATTATCCTGATCTACTTTATATTAAATTTTATTCTGGAAGTATTTTGGGATCATACAGGTAGAATTCAGACTGCAAACCCAGGTAGGTGAAGTCTAGTTTGTGGTTACTAATTCTCCAGGGAGTTTTTTTTTTTTCCTGCCTTTGTCCAGAGCTGTTCTGTTTCCTATCAGCACATTAGATTTATTTCTCCTTGCTCCTTACATGGAGAGTATAGCCTGTTTGGGTTTCAATGTTATGTGGGAATATGAAATTAGCACCCCTCTGCAACCCCAACCCTCTGGCGTGCACTCTGAGCAGCAGTATGTGCCAAGGTTCAAGGTCTCTAGTCTCAGAAAAATGTTTCCCAGGAAACTTGATTTTCTATTCTCGGCCTCTGAAGAATCTTTCTTCCGACTGTAACCCAGCAAAACACTTAAAAAGACATTTTTATCTTTTTAATCCAGCTTTTTACTTGTTTCATTCAGCAGTGTTGTTTATCTAGTGTCTGCTCTGCTGACATGAAAGTTCTGAATTGCTTTCTAAAATGGTCTTTCAAAATTTTGTTTACAAATAATCTGACTCTTGGATTTGTGAGGTTATACACCCAGTAATAGTTTCTAAATCTGTCTTAAATCTCTTTCACTTTTTATTTTTTAAAAAGTTAGGTGACCCTCATAATTATCCTAAACCAGCATTGTTGAAGTTAGTCTGGTTCAGCAATTCACTCTTCAAATTAAAAAATTTGAGTGCATGTCCTGTGATGAGAGACTTGGTAAGAACTAAAATATAAGGCAAATCCCTTATTTCTGTATTAATTTTTGAGAAAATATAAACTTACCTTATATTCATGCATATATAGCATTCTTACACAATCACTCTTAGAATACTCTTTATTATTATTATTATATTTTTTAAAGACAGAGTCTCACTCCGTTGCTCAGGCTGGAGTGGAGTGGTGCGATCATGGTTCACTGCAGCCTTGATCTCCTGGGCTCAAGTGATCCTCTTGCCTCAGCCTCCCAAGCAGTTGGGACTACAGGTGTATGCCACCATGTCTGGCTGATTTTTGCACATTTTTCTTACAGATGAAGTCTTGCTATGTTGCCTGGGATCAAGCAATCCTCCCACCTTGGTCTCCCAAAGCATTGAGATTACAGGCATGAGCCACGACGCCCAGCCAGAATACTCTATGTTCTATATCGCTAGTCTGTACAGGTCTCAGTCTTTGCTCACAGACTTTTAGTTGTTGAGGTTAAGGACTGCTTTAATTATTTCTGTGTCTCTTACCCCCAGCATCATACCTGGGCTTTGCATCCAGCATGCTCAGGAAATGATTGAATAAAATAACTGGTTGCTTTAAAGTGTTTCTGTCTCTTCATTGTGTTTTGTATATTCTTGACTACTTCCACGTTACTGCTCATTGGTTTTGGCCATAGTTGGAGCCTGAATTTCCATCCACTCAGTGAACTATGCATTCCCATCATCATAAGCATTAGAGAAAACTGATAGAAATAGCAAAAGATGCACCTTCTGGGCTGACTGTAACTTTTCCCTTTCTGCCAATAAAATAATAAAATGCTCTGTCTCATCCTTTCCATTCCTTACCAGGACCCCTGTTTCAGGGATAAACAGCTACATATTGACAGTATCACCTGGTGGGCAGGGCAATAAATCTCACCCTCACTTTTGTGTTCAGTCGACAACAATTCAAATGCTCTTGCAAGGCTGGGTGTATTCTCATTCCTAGCATTTAGCTCAGAGCCTGGCTCATAGTAGTCGCTCACAATATAAAATGAATGAAAAAATCCACATTCACCCCTAGAGAAAACCAGAGAGAAGATTAGGTTTAAAAGTCCTGGAAACTCCATTGAAAAGTAATAATCTCAACACAATTGCAGAAAACCATATTGAAAACAGGCATGCAGTTTTGCTCTTGTCATCAGTAGGCCCATTAATAATAATAATAATAATAATAATAATGATAGTAATACTGACTAATTTTTTTTGAATGCTTAAGATCCATGTGCTGTTCTGAGCAGCTGGCATATGTTCCAGGTTGGGTTCTTCAGAAGCAGATGGTGAAATGGAGTTTGGGGTGCAAGATGTTTATTAGGGATTAACAAAGTGAAAGGAAGGAGGAGGAAGCAGGAATGGGCAGAGGAAGAAAAACTGTGATTCAGGCTCAAAAAATTCTCAGCCAACTTGCTGGGGAGTTGTGAGTTGAGTGTTGACTACCAGGAGGTCCTGTATGAAACTGGAATAGCCACACTCTTGTACTCTGCCTTGCTCAGCCGTGGGGTATAGGCTGCCCCAGGAAGGGCCTGACCTTAAGGGAGGCTCTCTACATCTGAGGCTAACTTGGAGAGAATTATCAGCTATAGCAGCTGCTGCGTGCCCTCCTGCAGCTGGTCAGCAAGTTCTTCCTTGAAGGGGATGTGGTATATTCATATTCACCATAGTGTAGACTTAATTGGCACCACAGATCTATGAGCTGGATATTGTTAATCTCTCTATTTTTCAGATGAAGAAATTGTGGCTTAGAAGGGTTAGGTAAATTGTCCAAGTAATGGAGCCAGAATACACACACACACACACACACACACACACACACAGAGCCATTGATTGTCATATATATATATGACATAATATATATATATATATAAGCACAGTGAGACATATTTGAGAAAATGGGATTTGCTAATAAATAAGAAGGTATGTGAAATTAATATATATATTAATATTTATATTATTCAGACTAATATATTAGTCTGACTTCTCAGACGTGGGGACTCATTACACTAGATTAAGCCAAAGGACTGATTATCTGTCAAATTCTTAAAACCTCATATTGGAAGGGTGCCATATTTGTCCTTATTGAAGTCAAATTCCAAGACAAACTTCTCCATGAAGACCTCTTCTTATCCAAACACCATCCATCTTTTATAGCCTTTGCCCATAGAGACACAAGATGGCACCTTCAAGGTGACAAAAAGATGTTAAAAATAAATATGTCAAATGAACTTTTAAGAGAGGGAATATGTGTCCAAAATTCCAACCAGAATGGCACAATTCCTAAAAGACTTATTTCTGCTTGTTCTCCATCATTCTCGAAACTCTGAGCACCAATCCTGTGCCATTTGCTATTCTGGGTGTTGACAATACCCTGGAGAACAAAAGGAAAAAAGCCCATGCAAAAACCACAATTACTGTTGCACCAACCTAATATTAATAATTAGGAGGTCAGATAAATAAATACTAGACATGTCATATGTACATGACCTTTTTCTTCAAGTAGAATATAAACCGAAGGAGCGGAAGCTTCCTTTACATTTCTCTGAATCCTCTTCCGCCAGCCCATAACACTTGTGTTTTCAGTACTGAAGGTGCTCACTAAACTAAAGCGACTCAGCATTCAGAATGTGAAACAGAGGCTCTGTAACTTTTGAGTCCTTCTATGGTTGAGCTTAGCTTAGTTTATCTCAATTTTTAGTTGCATATCTATGTCCTCCTTTTGTCAGTGAACTTTTCAGAATTTTATTCTGCTGTGTATCCCGGAGCCTAGCATAGTGAATGAAGAAATGAATGCTTTCTACTACATTTTCCCAGCTTCTTTGCCAAGGAAGTCAGTCTTCATTGGACCAACTACTACATAGTGTACAGCTCCTAGGAGATGCTTAATAAATAGTTATTGAAAGAATGAACTCTGAAGCCTGGTGCAGCCTGGGGAACAAGTATGATGCATCTACAATGCACGGCTCACACCACTGTGTTTTTGAGACAGGTGAGGAATCCTGGGTTCTGGTTTGGTTCTGTTCCCAAGTTGTTGGGTGACTGTGCATACCCTCTTAACTGTCTGCATCTCTGTTTCCTTATCTGTAAAACTATGTGCGTAAACTGAGGGCTGATATGTCATGGTATCAGGAATCTGACCTTATTCCACCATTACTGGCACCTGTAAACTGTGGGCAAATGCAACTATTCTGACCCTCTGTTTCTTTATCTCGAAAGGGAGAAAAATAATAGTCCCAGCACCCTGAGGCTGTTACTGGAAATAGGGCGCAAAATTGAGGGAGGTGCCGAAAAAAACAGGAATTTAGATAAATAATATTTTAATACCAGATTTTAAAAATACCCAAATTTATGCAAAAAAACCTCATGATGAAAAAACTATCAACATTTTCAATAAACACAGGATCAGTAACAGTGCTGTGCCAAGCCATATTGGAAGCTAAGGCAAAAAGAATAAAGGGTTAAATGAGATCATGCTTGTAAGATACTTAGCACAAAGACTTGCACATGCTAAATATATGAAAATTTTAACCATATTATTAAATGAGGTTTTCTTATAGTTATAAAATTGCTTAGCTGCCAATTGTCCCCATAATTGAGAGTCTTTTAAAAAAATGGCAACTACTGACTTTATTTTATGCAAAAATTCTTTAGGGTAGGTGCAATGCCCACCATCCTTCTGTAAAAAAGTAGAATCTGTACTAGTGAAAAATAAAATAAACCATACCCTAAACTTCTTTTATGGGCATTCAGGACACAATAAACAGAGGCATACCTCATTTTATTGCACTTCACAGATTTGTTTTTTACAAATTGAAGATTCGTGACAACCCTGAGTTGAGCAAGTCTGCCGACACAATTTTTTTCCCAACAGCATTTAACAACAATTCATTTCATTTCTCTATGTTACATTTTGGTAATTCTTGCAATATTTCAAACTTTTTCATTATTATACCTATGATGGTGATCTATAATCAGTGATCCTTGATATTACTATTGTAATTGTTTTGGGGTGCCACAAATCATGCCCATATAAGGTAGCAAACTTAATCAGTAAATGGTGTATGCGTTTTGAAGTCTCCACTGACTGGCCATTCTCATCTTTCTCCTTCTCCTCAGCCCTATCTATTCCTTGAGACACAATATTGAAATCAGTCCGGTTAATAACCCTACAATGGCCTCTAACTGTTTATGTAAAAGGAAAAGTGGCATTTCTTTCACTTTAAATCAAAAGCTAGAAATGTTTAATTTAGTGAGGAAGGCATATTAGAAGCGAAGATAGGCCAAAAGCTAGGGCTCTTGTGCAAAACAGTTTCCCAAGTTGGGAATGCAAAGGAAAAGTTCTTGAAGGAAATTAAAAGTGCTACTGCAGTGAACACACAAAGGATAAGAAAGCAAAGCAGGCTTATCGCTGATAAGAAGATTTGAGTGGCCTGGATAAAAGATAAAACCAGTCACAACACTCCCCTAAGCCAAAGCCTAATTCAGAGCAAGTCCTTAACTCTCTTTAATGCTATGAAGGCTGAGAGAGGTAAGGAAGCTGCAGAACAAAAGTTTGAAGCTAGCAGAGGTTGGTTCATGAGGTTTAAGGACAAAAGCTGTTTCCATAGCATAAAAATGCAAGGTGAAGTAGCAAGTGCTGATAGAGAAGCT
Source organism: Homo sapiens (assembly GCF_000001405.40). NCBI lineage: Eukaryota > Metazoa > Chordata > Mammalia > Primates > Hominidae > Homo > Homo sapiens. The sequence continues at coordinate 61,472,103 of NC_000003.12, read as the reverse complement.
GCAACAAGTTATCCAGAAGATTTGGCTAAGATTGTTGATGAAGGTAGGTACACTAAACCCCAGATTTTCAATGTAGATGAAACAGCCTTCTCTTGGAAGAAGATATCATCTAGGACTTTTCAAACTAGGGAGAAGTCAAGGCCTGTTTCAAAACTTGAAAGGACAGGCTAACTTTTACGTTGACACCAATGCTCATTGACCATTCCAATAACCCTAGCCCCTTAAAAATTAGGCTTAATTGACTGTGCCTTTGCTCCAGAAATGGAACAACAAAACCTTCATGACAGCACATCTGTTATGTTGCCTGTAAAGCATGTTTTACTGAATATTTTAAGCCCACTGTTGAGACCTACTGCTCATAAAAAAAGATTTATTTCAAAATGTTATTGCTCATTAACCATGCACCTGGTTGCCCAAGAGCTCTGACAAAGATGTACATGGAGATGAATGTTATTTTCATACCTGCTAACACAACATCCATTCTGCAGCCCACAGATCTAGGAGTAATTTCAACTTTCTCTTTTTGGAGTGGGGGACAGGTTCTCACTCTATCACCCAGGCTAGAGTGCAGTGGCACAATCTCAGCTCATTGTAACCTCCACCTCCCAGGTTCAGGCAATTCTCCCACTTCAGCCTCCTGAGTAGCTGGGACTACAGGCACCCACCACCACGCCAAGCTAATTTTTGTATTTTTAGTATAGACTGGGTTTCACTATGTTGGCCAGGCTGGTATTGAACTCCTGACCTCAGGTGATCCACCTGCCTTGGCCTCCCAAAGTGTTGGGATTACAGGCATGAACCACTGCATCCGGCCATAATTTCAGCTTTCAAGCCTTATTATTTAAGAAATACATTTCAGGCTGGAAATTTATTCTTTAGTAGGCCTGTCCTACTAAAAATAAAAAATTAGCCAGGCGTGGTGATGTGCACCTGTAATCCCAGCTACTCAGGAGGATGAAGTCGGAGAATTGCTTGAACCTGGGGGGTGGAGGTTGCAGTGAGCTGGGATCACGCCACTGCACTCCAGTCTGGGTGACAGAGTGAGACATCATCTCAAAAAAAAAAAAAAAAAAAAAAAGAAGTACATTTCATAAAACTATAGCCACCTTTGATAGTGATGGATATGGGCAAAGTAAATTGAACATCTTCTGGAAACGATTAACCATACTAGAGGCTATTAAGAACATTTGTGATTCATAGGAGAGGGTCAAAATATCAACATGAAGAGTAGCTTGAAAGAAGTCGATTCCAAATCTCATGGATTACTTTAAGGGGTTCAGTACTTCAGTGGAGCAGGTAACTGTAGATGTGATAAAAATAACAACAGAATTTGAAGTGGAGCCTAAAGATGTGATAAAACTTTACATTTGAGGAGTTGCTTCTTATGAATGAGCAAAGAAAGTAGTTCCCCTTTCTAAAAATCTTTTTATAGCAGAGATAGTGTCTCACTAAGTTGCCCAGACTGGTCTCAAACTTCTGGGCTCAAGCAATCCTCCTGCCTCGGCCTCCAGAGTTGCTGGGATTCCAGGTGTGAGCCATTACACCCACCTAGATATAACTTTTATATGCACTGGGAAACAAAAAATTTTGTGTGACTCACTTTATTGCAGTAGTCCAGAACCTAACCCACAATGTCTCCAAAGTATTGTCTTTACACTGAAATGTTAACATAATTTCATAAGAAAGACAAATCTAAATATGGCGAGAATCACAGTCAAACAAAGCACAAATAACTGTCAGTTACCTGTGAGATCTACTCAATAAATGCATTTTAAAGTCCTGTTATGTTCCATTGCACTGAGCTAGATGCTGGACTTGCAGACATTAAGAGGCACAGACCTATGTTTGGAGTCTCCAGGAGGGAGATAGGATATGCTTGTACATGTATCTTGTACAGGATCCATATCGCATGTCAAGGCTGTATCTCAGGAAAAATGCAACTTACAGTGCAAAGACTTATAATGGGAAATTCTTTCCATAAGAATTATTTTTAAAAATGTAGCTACGTACTCAGAGCCATACCATTCAACACTTTTGATCCATTAACGCTGACCCAAAACACATTTCAAAAAACTTAAATGCATTATGTAAATACCGAAGAAATAATAAAAGGCCATGTGCAATCATTTGTACCTTCAAATGTTGACCCTTGGCTTGGTAGAGGAATTATGGGGACACAGTAAGATGTTGCACAAAATACCATGGCCATAAAAAGTCTATTCTTCAGTGAGAGGAGTGATAATGAGGAGGAGGTGGGGAGAGTAAGGATTGTCCAGAGCCACCTCTTTCAACTCTGCATCTATATCAACTCCATGTGGGTACTGAGGGGGTGAGAGGCAGATTGGGTGTGAGAAGGAGAAATTTAATGAGGCTCTATGAGAAGGCTTTTCTTTCTTTATATCCATCTTAAGACAAAAGAAGAAACACAATATGCTAGCCTGAAAAGGCAATATACTATATGATTCTAACTACATGACATCCTTGAAAAGGTGACTATGGAAACAGTAACAAGGTCAGTGGTTGCTAGGGGATGGGGAAGGGAGAGATAAACAGGCAGAACACAGAGGATTTCTAGGGCAGTGAAACTACACTGTGTGATACTATAATGATGGACACATGTCACTATAAATTTGTCTAAACCCATAGAACGTACAACACCAAGAATAAACCCTAATGTAAACTATGGGCTTTGGAGGACAACGATGTGTCCTTGTAGGTTCATCAGTTGCAATAGATGTACCACTCTGGTGCAGGATGTTGATAATAGGGGAGGTGTACAACACCAAGAGTAAACCCTAATGTAAACTATGGGCTTTGGAGGATAATGATATGCCTATGTACGTTCATCAATTGCAACAAATGTACCACTCTAGTGCAGGATGTGGATAATTGGGGAGGCTGTGCCTGTGTGAGGGCAGGGGATATTGGGACATCTTGGTACATTCTACTCAATTTTGCTGTGAACCTAAAACTGCTCTAAAAAATAAAGTCTTAAAAAAAAAGGAATAAAGCATCTACTACTTCTTATTTCCAATCTTAGAATTGTGTGTTAGATGTCTTTCAAAGCTTGTGCTGAGGTGTTGGGTAGGGGTGGCGGGTGAGGCGTGTGGGGTAGTCTCCCTGACAAATTTGGAGAGTGAGGGTCACCTGGCAACTGCTCCCACTGTACACAGGCAGTTTACCAGAAGAAATGTCCCTTTGGTGAATCAAATTCTCCTTTTTATTCCACTGTCACAAAAGTTAATGTGACTGGAGATATACAGAGAGGTGCCTGCTGCGCCTATTGTTCACCGCCACCCCAGATTTCCAGAGCTGTGTTAAACTCTCTAATTTTTGTTCTTTAGAATCTGACATGAGTGACCCCTTGTGTTTTGATGTCTGTAATTGATTTTAAATTATGCCAGCAGAGAGAGTGTGATCTAAATAAGTGGTTGATTAGTTTTAAGCTACACCCTAGGAACCGACAGTCTCTCTGATTGGAAATATCCTCCGGAGATGGCCAGTTTGCATTTATTAATAAGGCCATACTCTAGATAAATTTAACCACGAGTGTTTCAACTACTTTGTATTTATCCTTGACTAGTACCAAAAGTTTTGTTAGTTAGCATGATAAATATTAGAAGTGAGGTTTCATGCTAAAATGACTAGTGTTCAAGATATGCAGATTGGCTAAAATATTTTACAGATACTTCCCAATATTGCACAAATAGCACATAAAACTCTAGTGAGCTTTTTGCCCTTCGACTTTCAAAGTGGTGCCTAAGGCTTGATTCTAATATAGTCCTGCCTCCATCTACTAACTTAGATGATTCTGGTTGCCTGATTCTGGCTAAGAGGTTAACTGAATTCTGCTTCAAGAATGTCGTTGTGTCTGTATCAAGAGAATGTTTAATGCAAAGAATGGTTGGAGTATATAGAAGGATAGAGTGCTGGGATTTCATTGAGCTTGGAGGTTATATGACTGTTTTTGTGATTGCTTGCTAATAAATGCTTATTTAATAAATGTTTGTGTGACAGAATTTGGTACTAGACTCACTTTTATTGCAGCAAGTTTAGGGGAGGTAGTTTACAGTGACCTACCTCTAACTATGTATTAAACAATTATTTAGCAACTACTTTGTGCCTTCTTGCAATTTATATTCTACAAGAGAAGCAACCTAGTAGTTGTACTTAACCAAACTGGCCTGAGTCAGTCAGTTCACATTGTCCCACTACAACTTTCCAAGCTGGAGACAAGCAAATACATCCCAGTGGAGAGTTTGTACATATACCAGTGGTTATCATCAAATACATCCTGCTTCCCTTCTTCCTGGATTTCATCAGTAGAAGAATCATTAGGCTTGTAGGAAAAAAATACAGGAATGCACTTGGGGTTTGAGGAGTTTGAACATTCATATTTTAAGGGTTTTGGGTTTTTCCCAAATCTTCATGAGAAGGTCTTGTTTTCACACTGGTGCTCTGATCACATGCCTTCCTGAGCTCTCAGTGAGAGTTGCTACCTCATGATATAACTTCATAGTGCGGTGATAGCAAAATATGCTCCATATAAATGAATAATGTTTACTGCAAAGGGAACACAGGAAGCATGAGTTCACAAATTAGGCCCCTCTAACTGCAATTCAACAAAGCAAGTGTTGTGAAAAAGATATAGAAAAGCACATGGGAATTTAGAAAAGACAACGATTACCTTAAGCGGAGGGTGATGAGGTGGCATTTGAGCTGCTCCTTAAAAAGTGGCCAGAGTTTGGATGAACATCTACACTTATTTCCCCTTGTACTTACAAATAAAGGTAAGAGCTATGCAGAAGTATTAATGTGAGTTTTTTAAAAGGACAATTCAATATAGTGACATATAAAATACAATGACTGCTCATTTCTCTATGATGGGGAAGGTCTTTTGTGAATATCAAGATGGTGAGGAGAGACATGGATGGGATTACAGTATACTTGTTAAGGCTCTTGGACATAAAATGAGGTAGCAAAAAGGGAATTAGGTAATGCTAAGGAAAAAACAATTAAAGAGCATGAGAAGGCCTTTTACTTGCATATTAGCACAGTGAGACATATTTGAGAAAATAGGATTTGCTAATAAATAAGAAGGTGTGTGAAATTAATAAAGCCTTGGTAAGTGGCTGAAGCATTACACACCTTTTTTTCTGATCATCTCTAATAAGACTAATGGAAAGGAGAAATCTATAAAATGAGGAAACACGGCAAAAGGGCTGTAATAAAACAGCTCTTTCACTTACTATTGGTAGGATTGTGAATTGATAGAAACTTTTTTGGAGAGCAGTTTTGCAGTGTATCAATCAGGTTATGCTATAGTAACCAGCAACCCCCAAATGACAGTGGCTTAAAACAACATATGTTTATTGCTCATTCATGCTATGTGGTTGTGGCAGGTCAGCTGAAGCTCTCTTTCACATGGAACTCACTACAGAACTCAGGCTGGTGGAGCAGCCACTGTCTGTCTGAAATACAGCTGATTACAATGGCAGAAGATAAAGAAACCCCTGGAAGGTTTCAAACTGGCAGTAAAATGGTGATGACATATGTCCCTTGCACTCAACAACTTATTGGCCAGGTCTCATGGCCTTTCCATTGGCAAGAGGACTAGAGGGTTGCAGCCCCGTGAGGTTCTGGACGGCAAGGAGCTGGAAGTATTCTGGGAGCTATTAAAATTAAAAAAAAAAAAAGTCTATACCCATTGACACAGCAATTCCATTTTGGAGAATTCGTTCTAAGAAAATACTGGCATAAATACTCAAATATGTATGTTCAAGGCTCTTCCCTCCAGCATTGAAAATCTGAATTGAGGCTGGGCATTCTGGCTCATGTCTGTATTCCCAGCACTTTGGGAGGCTGAGGTGGGAGGATGTTGTGAGGCCAGATGTTTGAGATCAGCCTGGGAAACATAGCAAGACCCCATCTCTACAAAAAACTTTAAAAAAAGTAGCTGGGTGTGGTGGTGCATGCCTGTAGTCCTAGCTACTTTGGAGGCTGAGGTGGGAGGATTGCTTGAGCCCAGAAGGTTGAGTCTGCAGTGAGCTATGAATGAACCACTGCACTCCAGCATGGGCAGCAGAGCGAGATCCTGTTTCAAAAGAAAGAAAGAAAGAAAGAAAAAAAGAAAGAAAGAGAGACAGAGAGAGAGAAAGAAAGGAAGAAAGAAAGAAAGGAAGAAAGAAAGAAAGAGAGACAGAAGAAAGAAAGAAAGAAAATCTGAATTGAAAACCTAAATAACCATCAACAGTGGAATGATTAAACAAATAACGGGACACCAATGCATTGAGATTCTATAAAGTCATTAAAAGGAAGAAGACAGTTATTCCAGAAAAAATGACTGAAAAAAATTACCAAAGGTTAGGCATAAAATGAAGCCATTTATGTTAAAAATTATACATTATGTTAAAAATTATGACTACGCTTGCACAGAGGAAGGATAATACTAATTTCTTAATAATATTTCTAACACAGCTATTGTTTATTGAGCAGTTAGTATGGTCAGGCACTGTAGTAATAATATTTCTAACACAGCTATTGTTTATTGAGCAGTTAGTATGATCAGGCACTGTAGTAAGTGTTAAATGCTTCATAAGCATAATTTCCATCTGAAAGTAATAAGAATGATCATTCTCCTTTTACAGATGAAGAACCTAAGGCTTCAGTTAAGTGACTTGTCCAATGTCACAGAGATCTGCAGTTCTGCATCTGAAGTCCCAGTCTGACTGAGTATAGTGACTACCTCTAGGGGTGGGGTAGGGTTACTGGTGGGGCAGAGAAGGGAGGACCTTCACGGTCTATTTTATGGTGTTTAGTGAGCTTCTACTTGTTTTTTTTGCAATAAGTATTGCTTTTGCAAAAATAATTTTAAAATAAACCTATTCTTTCAAATTTCGAAGTGATGCAAACAAAGGGAAAAAATAGAAATTGTGTAGACAGGATGGAGATAGCTGTGTATAAATAGAAGTTGAAGATCCTTGGGAAAAATTCTAAAAATGTACGAAACACCCATCCAAGTATGTGAGTTACAGCGGCGGTAGGAAGGAAATCTTATATCAAACTGACTGAATATCTAAAACAAAGATAGGGCAGGGAGCCTGGTGAGAAACGCTGGGAGAGGGCGGCCTGGCAAATGGCTGTAGAGTGTTTCTAACAGCCTCCTGGTGAAAACCGTGAAGGCCATCTTGAGAACCTTTCAGTAAACATTGAGAACAATGAATCACTGAAAACAAGCAGCAGGGTTCACAAGGAATAACTCATGTCAGCCAATTTGACAGCCTTTTAAAAATAGAATTATTAGGTTGGTGAATAAAAGAGCCATTATGATCCTCTGCATTTGCAGTTCAGTGGGACTGTCTCAAGAACCCCTCTCATATCATTTTTTCAAACGAGCTGGTGCTGGTGACATCCGTGTGGATTCAGAGACAGGTGGAAGGTACTCATTTACATACTCTGGATGCAAAGATGCACACAAGGATGCTCATCACAGCATTGTGTGGAATAGGAAGAAGCTGGAAACAATCTAAATATCACCAATGGGGGATTATTTAAAAGTACTTTGGAATATCCACGAAATGGGCTATTACCTAGCTGTTTAAATCAGGGGTTGGCAATCTATGACCCATGGGCCAAACCCACCCCAAGAGTTAAGAATGATTTTTATAGTTTTAAATGGTTTAAAAAATTCAAGAGGAATATTTTACAACATGTGAAAATTATAGGAAATTCAAAATCCTGCCTTCATAAATACAGGGTTTTTTTGGTAACACAGCCTGGCTATTCATCAGCATCTTATCTCAGGCTGCTTTCATGCTGCAATGGCAGAGTTGAATAGCTGTAGTGAAGACCCAATGGCTTGCAAAGCCTAATATATTTACTACTGGACCCCTTTCAGAAAAAGTTTGCTGACCCCTGTTCTAGAATAGATAATTAAATGAGATTTTTTTTGAAGCAGAAGTCTCACTGTATTGCCCAGGCTGGAGTGAAGTGGCACCATCACAGCTTACTTCAGCCTCAACCTCCCTGGGCTCAGGTGATCCTCCCACCTCAGCCTCCCAAGTAGCTGGGACCACAGGTACATGCCACTACACCTGGCTAATTTTTTTGTATTTTTTGCACAGACAGAGTTTTGCCATGTTGCCCAGGCTGGTCTTGAACTCCTGCGCTCAAGATATCTGGCTGCCTTGGCCTCTGTCTTATAGCTGCTGCAGATCATTCATTATTCTAAAAACAAAAATTATTTTTTCTTAGACCGGTAATACCAAATCATTATAAAAAAATTAAACAAGATGGCAGTATAGAAGATATGTTAGTTTTTGCCACTAGAATGGAAACTTGCTGAGGGCAGGAACCATATTTTTATTATATCTCCTGGCATTTAGCATAGGACCTGGCATATAGTAGGCCCTCAATAAATACTTTTATATTAATTATTGTATGAGTGTATGAACTATAGTTTATATGTATAAGTGTATAAATACATATATAACATATATATTACATATATACAGTATTTTTGCAACATACTGTTCTGCATTGTGCCTTTTTCTATGGGTGATACATAGAGTATATCAATGCATGTAGATTATATTGGGTGTGTAATGAGAGAGTGTTTTCCTTCTGTCTTGGCAACTGGAAACACACCCCTCTGCATGGTAGCCAAGGCCCTTCTAGTAACTTGCCTTCTGTACAGCTCATATGTGGCCTTAGGCCAGCAGAGTGGATCACAGCAAGGAAACATTTTGTTAATCCGTTTTGGGGGCAACACATAGGCAGGGACACTGAAAACTGGCATGGAGCATTTCCTGGCATGGAGCATTTCCTTCTTACTTAAGAGGGTAATTGTGTTTTTGTGCCAAGAGCACAAACCTCTCTCTCCTCCCTGCCACCCTCCCTTCCTGTCTCTATTTTTTTTTTTTTTTTTTTTGATATGGAGTCTCGCTCTGTCACCCAGGCTGGAGTGCAGGGGTGCGATCTTGGCTCACTGCAAGCTCTGCCTCCAGGGTTCAAGGGATTCTCCTGCCTCAGCCTCCTGAGCAGCTGGGACTACAGGTATCCACCACCACGCCCGGCTATTTTTTTTTTTTTTGTATTTTTAGTAGAGACGGGGTTTCACTGTGTTAGCCAGGATGGTCTCTATCTCCTGACCTTGTGATCCGCTCGCCTCGGCCTCCCAAAGTGCTGGGATTACAGGCGTGAGCCACCGCACCCGGCCTCTTGTCCCTATTTTTTGTTTTGCTGCTCTGCCCTCCCTTTCTATCCCAAGCCTTTTCCAAAGATGCTGTGCATACAGGTGTGTCAATAACACTATGCTCCAAGTGAATAAGTGAATGGCATTGTGCATTGTGTCTTTAATTTTCTTTTTGTCTGTAGAGATGGGGTTTCACTATGTTGCCCACAGTTATCTTGAATTCCTGGCCTTCAGCGATCCTGCTGCCTTGGACTCCCAAAATGCTGGGATTATATGTGTTAGTTATGGTGCCTGGCCCATGGTATCTTTTGAACTACTGATTTATGGATTATGCTGATTAAATTTGATGACCCCTATTTTACAAGCAAGGAAACTGGGGCACACAGAAGTTAAATAATTTGCCCAAGATGGAGGTCTGGCTCTGGAAGCATTGCTCTAAAGCACTTTACGAGGTTGCCCAGTAGCATGCACACCTCCTGCCCCCTACTCCAGTGTTATTCTTCTCTTCTAGATCAACAGGGCCTTAGTGGCCTCTGTATCCTCAGTACCAAGCACAGAGCCTACACCTAGGAGGGAACAGACACTCTGCTTGGCTGTTGAAAAGGTGTATTAGAAATATAATTTATGATGCTTCCCCAGTGTTTCACGTGTAGCTATTTTCTAAGTCCTTTCATACAATGGTTGGGGGTGGGATAAGGTGTTCTTGGTTAGAATTTTCCTGGAGGGCAATTTGGCAACGTGCAGCACAATATCTTTAGCATTGGGGAATAGCAATTTTACTTCTAGGAATTTGTCTCTAGGAAATAATCACAGATATGTGTGCAAAAATACATAATGATGCTCATCAAACTGTTATTTATAATAATGAAACATTTGAAACAGTCCAAATGCCCAAAAATAAGGAATTGGTTAAATAGATTATGCTACATTTCTATAATGGAACATTATGCAACCAGGAAAAATCATTTTTAGAGGGCAAATGGTTACTGCTGGGGAAAAGAGGAATGCTACTACAGAGGGCTATACATACAGCTTCAACTGTGTTTGTAATGATTTCTTTTTCAAACTGGGTGTTCATTATATTATTCTTTATACCTCTAGATATGCCTGAAATATTGAACAATTAACTGAAAAAATAAATTTGAAAAAGTCATTTAGAATTTTTAGTAATGTGGAAGAATGATCACAGAATATTCCATTTAAACAAATAGGTTAAACTTAATTGTGTTTATACTTGGGCAGTGTGATTTTGATAATTTCTATTTTTAAAGTGAATCAGTATTATTTCTGGTTTTTAAAAAAGCGATACTTTTAAATTTATCAGCTCTTATCCATGGCTATTGTATTTTCTACTTTATGTCTAACTTCCTAAGCCAGAAACTCCAGCATAATTTCCAACTTGTCTTTTCCTTTGTAGTCACAAGACCAGTGGTTTTACTATTTTTTCCTCTACATTTTCTCAATCTTCTTTGTCTACAGCCATTCTCCTCAAGATTTTGGACTTTATTTTTCTATTATATATCTAAAGCGGGTGATCTTGGTGTTATCCACACCCGGGGCCAATGGTGTTGAAAGCCTCTGTGTGTTTTCTTTTAACCAATCTGAATTTCATTTTTAAGCTCCTTGAGACAGAGATCACAGGGTTTGGCAATACACTGCTCACGAGGAATCAAGGATAGTGATAAGCTGCAAATTGACTTTATAACATGATACTAGTGAGGTTCGTTGAGATGCTCAGTAGCTCTATCCCATTACCTGGGAAAGGCTATTCAATATTAACAGACTAGAGTCCCTAACAGACTAGAGAGTGAATGCATTAAGGAGCTGAGCGGGAACACCAGGATGAGTTTGAGGAGGCAAACCTGACCTGCCTTCCCTGTAACGGTGGTGCTAAAGCTAATGACCTTGGCATGGCAGGATTTCTTAAAGTAATCACAACTGGAGAAAGGCGTCAAGATGAGAGGGGAGGCCAGCTAGTCCACAAAAAATGAGGTGGTTTCCCAAAGAAAGAGAAGCAGCAGAAGTCAAGTTCATTTGGAGTGTTTCAGCATATGTTCTGAATTTGAAAACATTGTGCAGAAGGAAGGCAAGAAAACAAGATTTTTCCACATAGCTTGGGAAATGTGTGGGAAAGTGTTTGTAGCAGGAGGAATCAATTATAAACTCTTCCTGTCCTTTTCTTATGCCTGTTTCACTTTTCCCTCATAGACCAGAAAGAGTAGTTCAGGAAGTTCCAGATTAATGGATTAAAGATCTCATCAAATAACCTTTGTGGAAGTCAATCTATTGCTTCCCATGTGTATTAGTCAAAGTTTTGTGGTTGCAAGTGACAGAAACCCAATTCAAAAACAATGAAAGCAAAACCAAAAAGGACTCCATTGGCTGATGTAATTGAAAAGCCCAGTAGGTAGTGCAACCTCAGTCATGGCTGCATTCAGGGGCTTGCATAGGGACATCAGGAATCTGTCTTCCTCAGTCCCTTGGCTTGACTTTACTCTGAGTTGACTTGATTATTAAATGGACTCTCACTTAATGGTGGTAAACATGGCCTGGCTTGAACTAACTCAACAAACTCAGCAGAAAGAAGCTTTTTCTCAATGTAGCAAAAGACCAGCTGAGTCTCATGGATCTGGCTTGTGTCATATGTTCATCTTAACTCCATCAGTGTGGCCAGGGAAATAGAATGCCGTAACTAGGCCTAAATTCTGTGCCCAACGCTCGAGCTAAGGAGGTGGTGTCAACCCCACCTAAATTACATAGAATACAATGGGGGAATGGAGGTCTCCCAGGGGAATATTGAGATGCCATCCTCTGAGAAAGAAATAATGAATGCTGGCCTCCGAAGTCCACTGACCACTGGAAGTCCATTCACCCCAAGATCAGCAAAACTGCTGCATCTAGAACTAGTTAACAACACTATGTAATACCAAAGTACATAAGATTGCCTTATCTGGGAAAAGAGGGTTACAGCCCTTATTCTGTTCTACTATAATTTGTTCTGCAATGACTAACTCTTTAGCTAGAAATCTGTGACCAAGGATTTATTACCATAGAAACTTCCTTTGAGGGGACAATTAGTATCTATTATTATCATTGGAATGTCATCATTTCATCAGGAGTTGCTAAAAATGGCGGTCTTTTGGTTTTCAATGCTTTCCTAGGGATCTTCACATTGCAGTCAGTTCCCTGAGGTCATGGCCCACATCAACACACTACCAGGCAGCTAATTAGTGGTTTGTCAGATGTCTACTTGGTTCTACCAATTCTTACTCTACTTTTAGACTAACAGAGGCTCCCGAGGTGCACAATAAAGAAAAGCTAGTGAGGGTAATTCTGGGTTTGCCAGCCCAAGAAAAGCATTTTGGAGCTCTAACTTAATAGTGAACGAGGCAAAAAAAAAAAAAAAAAATCCATATTATATGCAGAAACTGTAAGCATGATATGCAAAGTAGGAAGAATTAAATATTATACAAATGGGATCTCCCTATGCTTTTGAAAATACTTAACAAGTTTACTTATGTGAAAATGATGGCTGGAGATAGCTAGTCAAGAGGAATAACATGCTTTTTCTCCAAATGATCAAGTAGGGGAGCACTGAAAATTAAGGGCAATGTTTCTCAAAAGCTGCCTTTGCATCACTCACAACTGAATCATCTGAGGTATCCTGGAGTATTGTTTTGGTTGCAAGCATCAAAAAGCAACTAGGGTAACTTGAGCAAAAAGTCACTTATTGAAAAGATATTTGGACAGGTAGGATAGAGGTTCATAGAACTGAGGGGAGTCTGAGATACCAAGGAGGTGCTAAGGAAACTCAAGAAACAGAAAGCACCAAATTGTCTCATGATTGTAACGGACACCACTGCTGAGCTGCTGCATCATCTCTGCTTGTTCTTCTATTCAAAATTCAAAGTCCTGAGAGAGGGAATATGATTGGCTAGTGAAAGTCACATGCCAAATCCTTAGTTTAAACAATGCATGGAAAAGGGGATTTGGCTTCTATGGAGGTGAGTGCCTGGAATAGCCCTCCCACCAGGACCAAGCCAAGCCAGGAAGAAGCAATTCCTCCAAATAAAATTGGGTAGATTTTAGGTCAGGGAATGAATGATGGGCAACTATATAACAATTGTATGCTTTATCTACCATGCATGTTGAAAATACAGGTGCTGGGGTGAAAACCAATGTTATTGAATCAGAATCTCAGAGTGCGGGGCCTTGGCATTTTTGCATCTATCTATCTATCTATCTATCTTTCTATCTATCTATCTATCTATCATCTATCTATTGAGATGGAATCTTGCTCTGTCGCCCAGGCTAGAATGCAGTGGCACAATCTTGGCTCACTGCAACCTCCGCCTTCGGGTACAAGCAATTCTCATGCCTCAGCCTCCTGAGTAGCTGGGATTACAGGCACCTGCCACCACCCCCAGCTAATTTTTGTGTTTTTAGAAGAGACGGGGTTTCACCACGTTGGCCAGGCTGGTTTTGAACTCCTGACCTCAGGTGATTCACCCGCCTCAGCCTCCCAAAGTGCTGGGATTACAGGCATGAGCCACTGCACCCAGCAACATTTCTGCTTTTAATAAGCTCTCCAAGTAAGACTTATGCACACCAAAGTTGGGGAATCACTGGACATTGTGGGAGGAGTAAATGTACATACATACATCTGAACAATTGTAATACAGTCAGCCCTTTTGTGTCTGTGGGTTCTGCATCTGTGGATTCAACCAACTGTGAATCAAAAATATTTGGGAAAAAAATATGGATGGTTGCGTCTGTATTGAGCATGTATAGACTTTTTTCTTGTTATTTTCTAACAATATGGTATAACAACGACTTACATTGAATATATTATAAGTATCTAGAGATGATTTAAAGTATACAGGAGAATGTGTTGTAGGTTATGTGAAAAACACAGCCCCATTTTATATAAGGGACTTGAGCATCCATGGATTTTGGTATTTGTGGGAGGTCCTGCAATCAATACCCAGCAAATACAGAGGGACAATTTTAATTGCTGAAACATGAGCTTGAACAGGTTGGCAAAAAATAAAAGACTGGTGCAATTGGTAACCAAAGTTCTAAATATGGATTCTCTCTTCCCTCCAGAATTTGCTGGGGAGCATGGAGGATCTACACTTGGCAAACATTTAAAGACTGCAGGAATTCCTTGAATAATTGGCATGTAATGCCTGTAATCAATCCATGATATTACAAAATAGACTCAATGAGGGGTTAGATTTGGAAGGGGTTTCATGCTAATTTACTATTCACTCACATTCACAGCATTCATATTCAGTCATATAAAAGGTAGTGGAGTTCAGTGGCTAATTACTTGGGTTTTAAAATCAGACTGAACTGGGTTCAAATTGGGCTCTGCCAATTAGTTTGGTGACCATGAACAAGTTACTTAACATCTCTATGTCTCACTTTCCTCATCTGTAAAATGGGACTAGTCATTCCAACTTCACATGGTTGTCCTGAGAATTAAAATAAAATAATAGATATAAAATTCTTAGCACAATTCCTGACATGTGGTCTGTGCTAATTAAATAGTTATCTATTATGACAATATACCTAACAGTAGATATATATGGACTGCCCTACAGGCAGTCTAAGACCAAGAGAAGGTGTCCAGTCTCAGACTCTGGGAAAGAAAGGGAAAGTCACCTTGTGGCCCCTGAAAAGCCCCCAGAATAGATGACTGGAGAGCTTTCTCATTGATCTCTTTCCTTTTTCCCTTCCTTCATTGGTGCCCCCAGGGTCGTGGTATCAAGGCCTTCAGCTTCTGTGTGCTGTTTCCAACCCCGGCTTGGTGGTAATAGCACATTCTTCCTGTGCTTTGAGTGAGGGAGCTTCCTGTTCCTTCCTATTCACCAAAGGGGAGCACCTCCAAGAAAGGCAGCCCTTTCTGTCATTCACGGTGACTTCTCCTCTAAAAATGCCTATTCTCTTTACTCTGTTTTCCCAAAGGTGATATTCCATCAAAGCTATTGAGTGGAGCAAATAAAAGCATGAAGAGTAAGAAAGTCATGTTAGGCGGCTGGGTGCGGTGGCTCACACCTGTAATCCCAGCATTTGGGAGGCTGAGGTGGGCAGATCACGAAGTCAGGAGATCGAGACCATCCTGGCTAACACGGTGAAACCCCGTCTCTACTAAAAATACAAAAAAAAAAAAAAAAATTAGCCAGGCGTGGTGGCGGGTGCCTGTAGTCCCAGCTACTTGGGAGGCTGAGGCAGAAGAATGGTGTGAACCCGGGAGGCGGAGCTTGCAGTGAGCCTAGATAGCGCCACTGCACTCCAGCCTGGGCAACACAGCGAGACTCTGTCTCAAAAAAAGAAAAAAAAAGAAAGTCATGTTAGGCCTCAGACAGTTGATGGACATTCCTCTACCAGTGCAGCATTAAAGAATTTACTAGTTGCAGTGGGAATTGTTACTAGCTAATAAAAAATAATAGTGAAATAAAAGTTGGTATTAAATGTTGAAGAGGATGTGGAGCAACTAGAACCCACATACACAGCTGATGGGAATATAAAATGGTACAACTCTGGAAAACAGTTTGGCAGTTTCCTCTAAAGATAAGCATACACCTACCACATTTCCAGCTAGTCTACTCCTAAATATTTACTCAAGAGAAATGGAAGCATACACCCACACAAACACTGGAACAGGAATGTTTATCATGGGCTTGTTTATAATAGCTCAAACCTGGAAACAACTCAAGTGTCCATTAACGGATGAATGGCAAAACAAATTGTGTTATATCCATACAATGGACTACTATTCAGCAATAAAAAGGGATGAACTATGGATACACACACCACAAACGGATCTCAAGATAATTTATGTGAGTGAAAGAAGCTAGCCAAAAAGAATACATACTGTATTATTCCATTTATATAAAATTGTCAAAAATGCAAATTTAGAGTGATCAAAGCAGATCACTGGTTGCCCAGGAATGGAGACACAAGGAGGAATAAAAAGGCATAAGGAAACTTTTGGAGGCTATGGAAATATCTTTCTTTATTGTGATAGTTTCACGGGTGAATACATATGTCAAAACGGAGTCAACTGTACACTTCAAACATATGCGATTTAGTGTATTTTAATTGCCTCGATAAAGGTGTTTTCTTTTACTTTTCTTTTTTTTTTTTTTTTTTTTGAGACAGGGTTTCATTCTGTCACTCAGGCTGGAGTGCAGTGGCATGATCGTAGCTCACTGCACCCTCAAACTCCTGGGCTCAAGAGATCCTCCTGCCTCAGCTTCCTGAGCAGCTGGGAATACAGGTATGAGATACCACACCTGGCTAATGTTTTTACTATTTGTAGAGACAGGGTCTCGCTGTGTTACTCAGGTTGGTCTCAAACTCCTGGGGTCAAGACATCCTCCAACCTCAGACTCCTAAAGTGCTGGAATTACAGGCAAGTTGTTTTCTTAAATATTAATAAAAAGAACGTTGGATTAGGAATTGGAAGATAAGGGTGCCAAGATAAGGGTGTACCCTTGGACAAGTCTTTTTACCTCTATGTACCTTCATTCTTTCATTTGTAAGTTGAAAGTGATAGATCAGTTTATGTCAAGGTCTCACTCATTTGAAAAATTCTGATTGTATAAGGGCCTTTGGGCAAAAAGGTAAATTCGTCAAGGTATCCATTTCTTCAATTGATCTTTTAACTCTGTGTCAATTCTCTCCCTGGGTTTAATTGATTTACTGAATTTTCAGATCTCAAACACAACAGACCAATAGAATAAACTTTATCAAGCTTTGAAGACAGATCAATATAAGCCTAAGGTCTTCATGTTAAGTCTGTTATCAGTGCCTGCAGATGCATAAGCAACTCTTCAGATGAGTGATGTAGGTTAACAATGATTCGTGAGGGTGAGATTCACAAAAGAAGTATGCTCACATTTCCGTAACACCAGCTGAGTAGACTGTACACTAACTGGATGAGCTCACACACTGTCTCTACTCCAAAACCTTCCTGGCATCCCTCTGTGGGACTAACATCTCTCTCCTAGAATCCAGAAGCACTTTGTCTCCATTCTTACTGTACTACTATGATCTTGGGAATATATAACTTCTTCATGGTCCTTATCTGTAAAATGGGTATAATAACAGAGCTCCAGCAAGGATTAGATAGAAGAGATATTCCATAAAAAGTATTGAGAATAGTCCCCGGCACGATATGAGTCCTCAAATACATGTTAATTGCAATTGTTCTAATTAATAATATCACTGGGTAATATAGTTATTTAGATACATGTATTGTCCTTTGAGGGAGCAGGGACTGCTTTGGATTCATCTTTGTGTCTGCTGGGGCTGAACATAGAGTAGGTATTCGGTGAATATTTTTTGTATAAAGGCATAAATGATGACTAATAGCAAATACAGGGACTTAGGATGTTAATTTCTTCATTGGACACACAGCCCCTTTATGAATCTTGCTGACTGCAAAGGAAATGTCACCAACTGTCAGAGATATAGCAACACATTGCTCAAACATATGTGCCAGGAAAGCCAGAAACTTGTTATTGTATGTGTGAGAAATCCGTAACTAACACAGTCAAAGAAACTCTCTTGGGTTCTTCGCTGGACTCCAGCAACGTATTTATACCCATTTCATTCTCTTTTGGGTTTACAAGGAAACTTTATCGCTGTGCTCTTTGTGGGAAGGTCATAGGGCACAATGAGAACTCCAGCTGAATGGTGTCCCTCCCCCTGTGCTTTGGTACTTGTTCTCTTGAGGCCTTTTTCTTCCCCCAGGATTGAGTCATTCACTTTGGAAGTGACAACAGAGACTTTAAACTCAGGGAAAGAGGCTTCTGGCCCAAAGATTTTAGACGTATGCTTGCAGGGTGAGTGATTCTACTCTCCAGAACTAGATAAGCCTCTGGGTAGGGAAGAGGGGAGAGGAGATGGGGGCATTATTCAAACTGGAAGCTGACTGAGTTCCAAGGTCATTTAGGGGCACTACCCCAGGAAAACCATTAATTTCCAGTGGCCAGCTCATCTGCCACTGTGTGTCCAGCTTGAACTGACACTTGTAGGTGCCCCAGAGACTGGCTGGTTCTGTGCACAAACCTCTACCAACCCTTGTAGCCAACTGTCATGTTTCTGCTTGGGGAAATCCTTTAAATAATGACCGGGAAGCATGGACATATTTTGGTTTGAGGGTGACACATTAGTAAAGCCTTGATCAAAGTCAGACAGCACAGCAACTGCTGGAATTCACCCTATGAGCCATGGTACTCACGGGCATGTCACAACCTTTTTCAGCAGTGAGGAGAGCTCTAGAGTCAGACTGCATGGGTTCTAATCCTACTACCATTTTCTAGCTGTTCACGACCCTGTTTCTCAACCTGTCTTGTGATCTTTTCAGTGACTATTAGTTTTGAGTTGTAAGCAACAGAAATTACCTTAGTAGCAAAAACAGCTTATTGGAAGGATATCCAGGACTCATAGATTTGAAGGCAGCATGGGATATTAAGAAGAAGGAAGCCTCAAATGGTCGCCTAGCCAGAGGAGTGTGGTCTGAATGCAGTCCCAAAGATGGAATGGAGCATCAACAATTTTCAGTCTCATTGGTTCTCTGCCCAATAATATTTAATTGCTGAACCTATACTCTTAAGGGAAATTATTTGCATCATTCATACATTCATTCTTTCATTTATCCAAAAAATATTTCTTGAGTGTCCACTTTGTGCCAGGGACAGTGCTAGGGGACAGGGAGTCACATGGTGAATAAAAGTAAACATGGCTCAGGTCCACATGAAACTAAGCATTCAGAGGTACAGATAGATGTGTGTCAAATACTCACAAATATATGTAAAACCATCCGTGATGAGTGTTAGGAAGAGGCACATGTTGTTTATAAAAGGAGGATCTGGCCTTGTCCAGATTTCAGGAATGTCTTCCCCCATCAAGTGATGCCTGAGCTGAGAGCTGAAGGATGAGCTGGCATGAACTATGCAAAGAGCAAAAAAAAGAGTAAGAGTTCCAGGGAGCATGAGCTGAAAGTGCACGTGCTCTGAGGCCAGAAGGAATTTGGTAGATACCATGAGGACCGGAGGAAAGGCCAGTGTGGCTGGAGCAGGGAGTGTAGTCTGAGATGGGATTGGAGAGTTGGGTTGGATGTCAGATCATTCAGGGTCCTGTAGGCTATGTTATGGAGTTTGGTCAGCAACGGATTTCAGTCAAGGACATGACCCAACATCATTGGCATTTGAAAAGAGAATGAAGCAGTAATTTGGAAAGTTGTTGGAGGAAGCTATAGTGACAGCAACACCCAGTGTAATAATTGTGACTCAGGAGTCTGCAGAAACACGTCCTGGGTTGGTGCATGTAGCCGATGACACAGAGAACTGTTCTCCCAGGCATGTTGTCTCCCATCTATTACCAACATTTGCTAACTGACAACTCAAATACTGTCTTTAATGCTGCCCTCTACGGAGGTGTCATTAGCAATTACAATTCTGTAGCATCTCTCAAATAGATCACAGAGATTTCCATAAAAAGAAATGTGAAAGAAAAAGACTATACATTTATCCACACCCTAGCTAGATTTTACCCTTCCTATGCTAATTTTATAAAAATAGTTGTATCCTTTCTAGCAGTCCTCCACTGTTATTTTTAATTCACTTATTTATCCAACAATTGGATAACTGTTACGTCCACTTTTGCTCTAGGTGTTGGGAATCAAAGATAAATGAAAGAGTCCCTTCTCTCCTTCTGAGAGAGCACATTCTAACAGGGGGGGAGATCAACATGTAAATAATGAACTAATATGTTGCGATGGATTCTATGAGTGATAAAGAAAATATGAGTCTTAGAAAAGAAATGATTCATCAGGCACTGTGGCTCAGCCTGTAATCCCAGCACTTTGGGAGGCTGAGGTGGGCCAGTCACTTGAGGTCAGGAGTTCAAGACCAGCCTGGGTGACATGGTGAAACCCTGTCACTACTAAAATTACCCGGGTGTAAAAAATTACCCGGGTGTGGTGGCGAGTGTCTATAATCCCAGCTACTTGAGAGGCTGAGGCAGAAGAATCACTTGAACCCAGGAAGCAGAGGTTGCAGTGAGAGGAGATTGCACCACTGCATTCCAGCCTAGGTGAGAGAGTGAGACTCTGTCACACACACACACACACACACACACACACACACACACACACACACAAAAGAAATGATGATTGCTTCTATACTGATGACAGGGAAAGCTTTGCTGGGGGAGTAATTTTTGTCTTGGTTATAATAGCTGAGGCTATAGTTTAACAAGAGGGAAATCTGCACTGGAGGAAGGAAAATATTTTAGTTTAAATATTAAGTATATACGATGAATTTGGTTAGTGGGTATACAAATATATCACGTAGGCTTGGAAAGTATGTTTGGAAATAATCTGTGTGTTACACTGATTTAAATAGAATGTTCTAATACTGTCATTATTTAGCATATAGCCACCAGCCCCATTAGGCAATATACGTTTACATTTAAATTAAATAAAATTTCACTTCCTCAGTAGCCACATGTGGATAATAGGTACCATATTGGACAGTGCAGATATACAATATTTCATTACTGCAGAAAGTTCTACTTGAAAGTGCTGTGCTAACCTAACTGGCTTTAGGAGAAAATAAATTGATCTGTAGACATAGAAAGACCTTGCTAAGGGTCAGTAAGGGAAGAGACTGTAGGGTGTTTAGATTCTTGGGAACACAAGAGGGAGATGAGCCAGTTGGAAACCAAGTGAACCAGAGGACTGGCTGAGGCACTTCTGATTGTCTTGGTTAGAGGGATTTTTCAACTCATACTAATGACATGATGATGAGAAAAGCCACGTGCAAGTAAGATAAACAAGAATTGTGAGTGACTTGGCTAGTTTCATTGTGCAGGGAAGTTGGGGAGAAATTAAGGAAGTTTGTGTGCCAGAGGAAAAATAATGGAATGTTAAGTGGCTGGTGGGCTGTCAAAAGAATGGTTGAACCAAGTCTCTGAGCTTGAGAACTTATGGGTGTGACTATGCCAGTGAAAATCAAGTACACGATTGTAAAACCATGCTGTCAGGCATGTTGAACCAGGCAGCCTCTTTGTCTAGAGGAAAACCAGACTGGGAGAGACAATAGTGCTCTTTCTCTGGCAATTAGCTTGGGTAACTAAATTTTGTCACCTTGCTCCTCAATATTTCCCACCTTTTGCTACCAAAAAAGAGTGTTCCAGTCTACTCAAAGGTGTTAAGTTGGGTGGAATATAAAGTCAACTTCGGGAGAGAGAAGGTGGCTCGGAAGTGCACTGGAGCAGCAGGAGAAATGTGTTCAAAACCATGAAGGAAGAAAAAGCATGGCATGTTTGAGAACTAATCTTGTGATTGAAAGAAAAAGAGTATGAGGTAATAGTAAATGAGGCTGGTAATTTAGAGTGGGGCCAGACCATCAAGAGTGGGCTGGAATGTTGCTATAAGGAGAAGTAGAGTGGAAAGATCATGGTCTTTGACGCCAGGGCTCCCCCAGTTATTGTCTCTGTGACCTTGGGTGAGATAAGTTACTTTTCTGTGCTTCAGTTATTTCATAATTACACTCAGTAAGTAGGGGTTTCCTACTGAAATGAACACCAACACTTTAAACACTCTGATTTAGATGTGCAAAAAAGTATAGCTTCTTTGTTTCCCATAACTTACCTCAACTTCACGAGTGTCCGTTCCCTTAACTTTGCTCACACATTTGAATAGACCTTCAGTTCTGCTTCTCTCAGAGGGTTGCCCTTCCTCCTCTTCCTCATAAGCTGGTGCCTGTGTACATGTATTATTAATACATGTATTGTCACGGACTGGGGCCTGGCCCACTGGGCCACAAGGCTCATCTCTCCAATCTTTGCTGACCTCATGAAGATGTGCTTAGTCCCACTTGGCAACTGCTGCTGAATTTCAGAGACAGTAAAACTTTTATTTTCTTGGGTGTGTTTTCCTCTCTTCCTGTGTTGATGTGGGCCCTGTGGCTGCAGATCCCCTGAATCTCAGCTACATCTTCCCTCTGAACTCAAGGTGTGGTTGCCAACCCAGCCTCACTATAAAGTCAACTCTCACTGGACTCCTGACCCTCATCCTAATCTTTTGTATTCCTCGCTGTGTACATGTAGAAATATCTGGACTCCTGACCCTCATCCTAATCTTTTGTATTCCTCGCTGTGTACATGTAGAAACATCTGGACTCCTCCAGGCCATCTCCTTTCCAAAAATATTCCATGTTTCCTTTTCCTTCACTAATACACATTTGTTGAAGGCAGTGTGAAAAGTGTCCTCCTTCCAGGAGTACAAATGGAAAGTTGGTCTGAAATTCCTGAGGCTTCCAGCTGCCCTGTCAAGCTCTCTGGCATTTTTACTGCCTCTCATATAGCCCCACCCAGGCTCCTGTGCCTATAGAAGTCAGTATCTTTGGGCCTGACCTCCTTTCCTCTTCCTCCACATTGCCCCCAGACTCCCCACCATGCAAATACACCCCATTTCCTGTCTGTGCAGTTGGGAAATTTCCTTATGTCATATCCTGCTTTCCAGATTAAGAAAATCCAGGTTATCCTCTGGCTTGCGGTTAAAAAAAAAAATACATTCAGATCTTAAAGTTTTACTTTCAATGTGTTAAAGACAGATTTTAGAATTCGTTTTTCTTGCTCAACTCACTCTGGCTCCCAAGATCATTGTTTCACTGGTGTGTCTTTGTCCTAAAGTGATGATGATTAAGGGAAACCCCAATGGATGAAGTTGGAGGATACAGGAATCTTATACGGCTAAGGATATAGAAGTAGACTGTTAGCTCAAGCAGAATTTGTCACTGGCTGCTCTCAGAAGGATGGCTTATCAGGTCCCCCAAGTTTTTCACAGGGACTTACAGCAATGAATGATATTACCTGGGCTGACTGAGGAGTCTGTTAGGCATGACAAGCTCCTCTACCATTCTAATTTTTATTAACACCTCCTGACCCCTTTCTCTGCCTGACGCATCTGAAGACTGGCCTACCAGGTGTGCCATATACACGACATAGTTCCATCTCCTTTTTTAGTGTTCACTGTAATGCTAAACAAAGTGAAGGTCAGTTCTCACAACCACCCATCTATTACCCCCTGAGGGCCACTCTTGTAGTGTAAGATTCTGCACCCCAGTTTCACGGTTATAGCTGAGCAATATTTTTTATTGTTTTATTGCTGGGTTTCCCAACCTTGCACTATCCACATTTTGGGCTTTGTTGTGATATTTCCTTGTTGTGAGGGGCTGTCCTGTGCCACTGCAGGATGTTTAGCACCTCCCTGGCCTCCACCCACTAGATGCCAGTCATCTCTTCCCAGTGTGATCATCAGAAATATCTCCAGACATTGCCAAATATCTCCTAGAGGACAAATTGTCCCTGGTTGAAAACCACTGCTCTAATGTGTATCTGCTCTACTCGGGAAAAATAGAAACTGTTTACTCAATAGAAGAAAAGCCACAAGGTACATGATTTAAGGGAAATTTTAAAAACAACCTTGTTTAATAATTTAAAAATATTATAATTGTTATATTACTAAATGGAAGATTTATATAATGCCAAGCACATATTTTTTTTTAAAATATGGTTATTATAAGGATTTTGGACTTAAACCAGGAGGAAAGAGGTTTGCCACTGTTGATTTTTAAAACAGTATACTGGGCCGGGCGCAGTGGCTCATGCCTGTAATCCCAGCCTTTGGGAGGCCAAGGCGGGCGGATCATGAGGTCAAGAGATAGAGACCATCCTGGCCAACATGGTGAAACCCCGTTTCTACTAAAAATACAAAAATTAGCTGGGCCTGGTGGTGCACACCTGTAGTCCCAGCTGAGACAGGAGAATTGCTTGAACCCAGGAGGTGGAGGTTACAGTGAGCCGAGATCGCGCCATTGCACTCCAGCCTGGTGACAGAGCGAGACTCCATCTCAAAAAAAAAAAAAAAAAAAGAAAGAAAAACACACACACACACACACACAAACACACAACAGTATACTGAGAATATCAGATTTATGTTTTAGAAAGGTATCTCTGATGGCACTGTGAAGGATTGATTGAAGGAGGTGAGGTTGATGACAGCAAGATCAGTCTGTGTTTAGCAAGAGAATTCCAGCACTGATGAAAGAGTCTGGGCTAGATACGTGTAAATATACTGGGGGAACGGAGATAATTACCTGCAATCAAGACATCTTTCAGACATTCTCTCTAGAATGACTGGAAGGCCAATGGTGGGATCTCCTGGCAAACAGGTTGTTTGTAGGACACTGTAGCATAAAAGATTGTAATGTACAGAAGCTGTCTATTTTAACCCTGCAGGTGGACTAGACTCCAATCATACACATTTAATGTGTGTTAATATTATAACAACCCATTTCTTGAAGATGGCTTTCTGCAGATATAACAACATCATTTACAATGCCCAGTGGTCTCCTCTTTGTTAGCTTGGAGTAACTAATTGGCAAAATCATTTTGAAAGTTTCCAGAGAGAAATGATGGCTTGTTTGTGTTCAGTTTTAGCACTGGTATTCTCTTCTATTTCATAATTTACCTGCTTTAACAGAAGCTTGGCTCCTAAACATCCTATAACATAACTTCATTTTGCACTTTGTACATTTTGTGTCGTTTGCATTCTAGAGGATGAGAAATGGCCATTGTTGTTGCTAAAATGAACATAGGACTTGGACAGCATGAGGATTAGTAATCTAAGAGACAGAGCAGCAAGCAGCTGAGTTCTGGAAGCAGTATGCAGTCTTTCTGACCAATTACAGATGAAAACTTGTGCATGCTTTTGTTTCCATTTTGAACTGGTAACGTTTATAAGACTAGCTGCTTATCAACCATCGGTGGTTGACAGACACAGCAAGGCCATGCTCTCATTAGCTTTTGCAGATGTGGTTTTCAACAAAGGACAGTTTTTGCATTCCCCCTTTCCTTTTGTGTTAGGAAATTGGAGATAATTTTTTTTTTCTGGGCTCTGCCATGTCTGTTTCCAACTTGCAATTTTCAATTCTCCCCTCAATAATTAGAAAAATGAGCGTTTATGATGAATTCGTTCTTAAATTATCTCAGAGAATATTCCCATCCAGATTGCAATGTTAAATATCTTCCTAAAAATCAATTAAGTCCATGAAAAGCTTCAGTGCACTGAGAGAAATGGTAGAAAACCCCCTAGCATTTTCCTCCAGAGTTTGATGTTTACAGAACCCACTCTTCCTTTACACTGTACAAAACAAATCTCTTAGGTTTTGTTTATTCTGTACTGATTTGCCATTTTGATTTTTTATTTAAGCTCAAACTAGCTACTGATGTCCTGCTGCTCAAACCATATAGTTCCTCTGATTCAATGCCAGACAGTCCCTCTCACTATAAAAGTCATGTCTATAATCCACTGGCAGGCCACCCAAAGTGATCTTTTGATATTTCAAAGTTGTTTTATTGTACAGTTCCAGCCTCTGGCTTCATAAAACCCAAGTTTCATAACAACTGTAATTGCTAAGCCCATTTTTCTCATACACTAGGCCAAGGTTTTCTGGAACATCTTGCTTTTTCCAAATTAACAGGTTCCCTCTCTCTCTCAGCTCTTCCTTCCTGACCCCCTTCTACACGGTACCCTCGGGTGGGGAATGTATTGGGAACTCAACTATAGTAAAATAATTTTCTCCTCAAGGAGAAAATAAGGCTCATGCCTGCTTAAAAAGAGAACAAGCCAGATGGTATTTGCATTCAAGGATGATGATGATGATAATGATGATGATAATGCTGATGGTAATGCTGACGATGATGATGACGACGATGATGATGAGGATGGTGATGATTATGCTATTGTTAATGGTAATAGCTTATATTTGTTGAGGGGTTATCAAATGCCATGCTTGGTGTTAGGTGCTTTCCATAGGCTACATTACTGAATCCTCACAATGATTCAGTAATGCGGCACTGAATCAATCATGAGGCACGATTACTACTCCCATTTTACAGATAAGGGAACCAAGAGAAGTTATGAATCAATGGAGATTATAAAGAGAAGTAAAAGTTGTCCCGGATGTTAACAGTAAAGGCAATAACCGGTGGCATGATTCATTCATTTATTTATTAATAAAATTTTTATTATAACCTACATTCTAGGCCTTTAGTTGAGTGTAAGCTGTAACACTCTCCAAGATAATATTTAATATGCTTAAAATGATGATTATTTTAGGTATTCATAGAAAATATCTACATGGAAAAAGTGATGATTATTTTAGGCATTCATAGAAAATATCTCTGCTGACGCCTACATGAAAATTTGCCATGTTGGAAACTTGTTTACTGAAAAGTCTGAAAGATACAAGTCCCTTGTAGATATTGCAGAACCAAGTAGGGGAGAAATTTAGCCCTCTTATTATTAGTAGTATTTAATCTTTTTTTAAAATTAAAATTACCTGCCAGTTATAATAAAATATTTTGCATGTATTTAACATAAAAATGAAAAAGCCTTAGTCCCATTTATTAATTTTTATTGAGTTTGGATTGGATCTTTGTTTCTAAAGGTATTAAAATTTTTTAAAAAGAACAGTAGCAAACTCTGTTTTGCATACAAATATATTCCTATTCGTTTGTAAGTATTATGTCTACTTGGAGTTGTTTAAGATGGATTTATCCTGAAATATTAAGATGAGGAGGACAGTTAGATATAAGTGGGATAAAGAGATAATTCTATTTTTTTCACATTGGTACTAGACTAATGGAATATTGTACCATCCCATATTCTAAAAGATGGTACAACACAAATAAATATTTACATTTCTTTAAAAAGGCTATGTTTAGGTTTATAAATGACAACCAAGGAAAATTGCCATTTGAATCTGATGTCAGGGAGGCTACGCTTTCTTGGAGCTGTTAATAGCCATCATTTGTTGAGAGTATTCTATGTCAGCACTATGTTATGCAACTGTTTGAAGTTATATATATACTTTTATCTGAGCTCCTTCAGCAATAGTGTTATGGAAATAAGAAGTTGTGTAATCACAGAGATTAAAGATTGTTTCTCTTAGCCTTTAATGTAAAATGAAAGAAAGAAATACAGATAGACATATCAATATAGCTATAAGGATATTCATTTTAGTGTTGCTTTGAATGACAGGAAATGAGAAACAACTCAAATGTCCACCAATAGGGAATTTTAAAAATAAATTATATATCATGTAGTCATTAAAATGACAATGCAAAAAGCTGATGAAGATATGGGGAAATGCTCACAAAAAAATTCCTCACAGTATTCAACAAGATTCCATATTTTTAAGTTTTAGATGTGCACAGAAAATTGATTAGAAAAGATATATTCTAAATGTTAGCAATGACAAAAATTAATGTTAACCATGCTTATCACTGGGTGGTGAAACGATGGGTAATTTTATGTTCTTATTTTTCCCTATGTTTACTTAAAAAATATCCTACACTAAAGATGGGTTACTTTGGTAATTTATAAAAATAGCAAAAGTCACAAAAAAAAGAGAGGGAAAGAAAGCAGGGAAGGAAGGAAAGAAAGCAGGGTGGAGGGAGGGAGGGAGGGAGGGAAGAACAGAAGGGAGAAGAAAAAGCCAGTTAAAGGGCTTTAAGACAAATGAAGATCCCAGGAAACATAAAAACCTAATATAACTTGAATAGGTTAATGTTTCAAAAAATGGAGAACAATATTATCCCCTGTGATTTAGCTTTTCCTTTTTCTTGTATTTCTTATGTTCATTTTTTGCAGTCTGAATTGTTTTGGACAGAGAGATTGAGATTTGACTAGGCAACTAGACCTTGTGGTTTGCCCTGTGTTATAAATTACTTGACCCAAAGATTCCTGTGCTATGGGGACATCTAATGAGCACTTCATAAATGTTTTCATTTCAATTATCACCATAGCCAGAAGCTTCAATAACAGGAACCATTTTTGAAATCCTGTTCACAATTTATGAATGTGTAGAATTACTGCATCCATTCCCTGTGCCACACCAGTCCCAGAGTATAAGTGAAATACAAAATAAATACAGAACAATTATGGTGATGAGGATTATTAAACACACAAAAAATAAAATCATAGCTATTTTACTTGAAACTTGGAGAAATGTAGTCCTGTTATAAAGTGGGGAAAGTGTGTACTTTTGACTATAAATTATGTTGGAATTAAAACATAGAAGTTGCTATAA
Organism: Homo sapiens; assembly: GCF_000001405.40. NCBI lineage: Eukaryota > Metazoa > Chordata > Mammalia > Primates > Hominidae > Homo > Homo sapiens. Next base: position 61,443,732 of record NC_000003.12, on the reverse strand, counting down.
TATCAATTTCTCTAATATTAATGTGCTAGGGTGATTGGAAATTATAATGCTGAAGTGGAATGTGATTAGAAAAGGGTAAAGTTTGTAGAATTGGGGAGGCTGAGTGGGTGGTACCAAGACCAGCTACCTAAATGCAGAGTCCAGTGCAGAATGAAAATTCAGGCCCCCTTGTGCAAAACTTATTAAGAATCTCAAGATTGTGATAACCGAGCAGTAAACCAAGTGCAGAGCCCTTCTAAGCATGGGGCCTTGTGTGGCTGCTCAGATTGCACAGCCATGAAGCCAGGCTGTCTGGTGATGCCAGGGTTCTGGTCCCATGGTGTCATCAACTATGTGAGCAAGCCAGTTGTGTATTTCCCCTTTATGTTCCACATCCTTAAAGCCAAGAGGATATTTTTCAGGAAACACTGTTGTGACAGAGACCCAACTCCCACTAGTGCAAGCCATCAAAGGGAGATTTCTGGGCTCATGTAACAGTTCAGGCATGGTATTGGCTTTACTTTAGAGTACAGATTGGTGAACTTTCTTTGTCCATAGCAAGATAACAAGTATATTCAACTTTGTGGGCCTTATGGTCTCTGTTGCAACTATTCAGCTCTGCTACTATAGCACAAAAACAGCCACAAATAAGATGTAAATGAATGAGCATGATTATGTTCTAGTAAAACTTTCTTTATGGAGACTATAGAGGAGTTTCATATTATTTTTACATGTCATGAAATGTTATTTTTCTTTTGATTTTTTCCCCAACCATATAAAAATGTAAAAACCTATGTAGCTGTCTGGTCATACAAAAACAGGCAAAGGGCTGGATTGGACCAGTAGATGTTGGTTTGATGACTCATATTCTAGAGACAGAAGCCATCTGTATTTGTCTGTTTTCACACTGCTGATAAAGACATACTTGCAACTGGGAAGAAAAAGAGGTCTACTTGGACTTACAGTTCCACATGGCTAGGGAGGTCTCAGAGTCATGGCGGGAGGCGAAAGACACTTCTTACTTGGTGGTGGCAAGAGAAAATGAGGAAGAAGCGAAAGCAGAACCCCCGATAAGCCCATCAGATCTCATGAGACTTATTCACTATCATGAGACTTATTCACTATCATGAGAATAGCACGGGAAAGACCAGTCCCCCATGATTCAATTACCTCCTCCTGGGTCCCTCCCAAAACACGTGGGAATTCTGGGAGATACAATTCAAGTTGAGATTTGGGTAGGAACAGGGCCAAAGCATATCAGCATCATTAGGTATTGTTGTCTCTGTATGTGTTTCTTTCTCACATGGCTCTGTCCTCTTTTGTTGTTGATCTGATTCTTTTCCACTACAGATAAACTTCCTCCACGTGACCAGATGAGTGGAGGTGAGATGGAGAGTGAGATTGCCAGGAAGAACTCCTGCCTTGCCATTCCAGCCCAGTTACTTGGAGGAAAGAGTGCCTCTCCTGTCTTCCAGTGGCTGCAAATAAAATCCTCTATGACTGGACTGATTTGGCTTATGTGCCTATGTGATGTCAACCACTGTGGGTAAAGGAATGGGACATTCTGATTGACCAGCCCAAACTCTTGTGGCCCCCCACACCTGTGGCATTGTTGGAGAACAGATGCTATAGATTTTCCAGCCCCGTCAGAACCATATGACTTAGAGAGGGGATCACTCTTCAAAGGTATGAGGCAAGGGACATAGAGAAAAACAGTATAAGGTTGCCACAAGGAGGATGGAAAAAATATTCTTTAAGTCTCTTTCAGGAGCATACTCAGAAAAGATAATTTTTATGGTATGTGAATTATATCTCAATAAAGGTGTTCTTTAAAAAGAGAGTCTTATGGGGATAACTTTATATCACTCAAAGTATGGAGTGATTTGCAATGATCCATCCATTACTGGGGGGAAAATCAACTTTCCCATAACCATATTTCTCTCCCAAATTACCACATACAAATACTTTGAAAATATTCTCTAGTTTTGTAGACTTCTCGACTCCTTCCTCTCACAGTCACTCTTCAACCGATGGCAATCTGGTCCCCATTCTTCCCCCGCCACTAAAGAGGTTTGCTGGGGTACCAAGGACCTTCAGATCATCACAGATCTGTCTTAACTTACATACTGTGCCAAATTTTAAAAAGCTGAACATGCTCTTCCAATTGATGTCTCTTTTATTGGCTTTCGTAATTCTGTAAGGATGGTGCCTTGCAGTTTATGACAATTACACGATCTCACCTAATTTTTACAGCAAATGTGAATGTAGAAAGGACAGGTCCTGCTGCCTCTACTTTAGAGATGAGAAGACTGACATTCAGAAACATTAAATGACTTGTTCCAGACCCCACTCTTGGCACCTAGCAGAGCTGGGACTTGAATGCTAGTCTTTTGACACCAAGTCAAGACTTTATTTTTTCCTAATGTACTTGCTGACATCTTACAGCAATCAATGGATTTTCCTTCCTTCCCTCTAACCCTGCTGCATCCTGTTATTTCTCTCATAGGGAATTTACAAGTGGTCATCAAGGGTCTCTACCTTCTCCAGACTCTCTTATTTGGCAATAATTCCATGTGAGATGACTCTTGGAAGGTTTTTCAGGTCTCTATTATTGATATGAACCATCACTTCCTCTGTCTCTTGCCCCTAGCACTTTTTTATGTCCCCCAATGGCTTTAATCATATGATGCCTCCTCTGTGCTTTACTCTCTAATGATGAGGATCTTTGTTATCTCTTAACATCTCCTTGTGACCAAAGTGCTGTGTACACAGATGATAAACATTTTTCAATAAAATGCAATTGAACTTAAAAACTTTTATGCATGAAAACATAACAATGGATTGAAAGGCAACCCACACAATGGCAGAAAATATGGGCAAATCATATTTCTAATAAGGGATTAATACTTAGGATATATAAAGTACTCCTACAACTCAAGAACAAAAAACAAACATCCCAGTTCAAAAGTGGGCAAACAACTCAAAATGACATTCCTCCAAAGAAGATATGTAGATGGCAAATAAGCACATGAGAAGATGCTCAACATCATGAATAATTATGGAAGTGCAAATCAAAACCACGATGAGATACTGCTTCACTCTCATTAGGATGAGTATTATTGAAAAACAAAAAATAAACAAGCAATAAAAACCCAAGACAGAAGATAGTAAGTGTTGGTGAGGATGTGGAAAAAATGGAGTCCTTGTGCGTTATGGATGGGAATGTAATATGCTGCAGCCACAGTGGAGAATAGTATGGTGGTCCTCAAAAAATTAAACATAGCATTACCAGATGATCTAGCTAGATCTGGGAGTGTGCCCAAAAGAATTGAAAGCATTTATCCAACAGATGAATGGATAAGCAAAATGTAGTATATGTATATAATGGAATATTATTCTGCCTTAAAAAGGAATTCTGATACATGCTACAACACGGACAAACTTTGAAGATATTATGTTAGGTGAAATAAGCCAGACATAAAAGGACAAATATTTTATGTTTCTATTTATATGATGAACCTACAGTATTCAAATTCATAGAGACAGAAATTAGAATAGTGATTACCAGCAGCTGCGGGAAGGAAGGAATGTGGAGTTATTTTAAAATTTAATTTAATTTTTATTTTTTGTTGAGATGAGGCCTTGCTATGTTGTCCAGGCTGGTCTCAAACTCCTGGGGTCAAGCAATCTGCCCACCTCAGCCTCCCAAAGTGTTGGGATTATAGGCATGAGCCACCTTCCCCAGCAGAATGGGAGAGTCATTGTTAAGGGTGTGTAGAGTTTCAGTTTAGAGGGATGGAAGAGTTCTTGAATTGAGGGTGGTAACTGCTGCACAACAATGTGACGTACCTAACGCCATAGAGTTATACACTTGAAAATTATATAATCGTAAATTTTAAGTTATGCATATTTTACCACAACACAAAAATGAAAAGAAATGCAATTGAACCTAACTGCAATCTAGAAGACATCTTTAGTGCTCTGGGTAGTCTCTGGAGTGGTGGTGTAACATAATGGGTTAAGTACCCTCATTCCCAAGACAATCAGCCATAAAATTGAATCCAGCCTTGTCACTTTTGAGTTGTGTAACCTTGGGCAGGTAACTGACTTCACTGAGCCTCACTCTCCCTAGCTCTGGAATTGGCACAATAACAATTGTAAAAACCCCATGGGGCTGGTTATGAGGATAAGGATTGCAAAAACCTTAACAAAGTGTCTGGACTATAGCAAGCCTTTGGTGACTTAAAGCTATCATGATTTCACGTATTTTACATATGCTAAATAGTAAGGACAATTTATGGAGTTTCTCAATGAGTTCTTTGCCTCCTGGGCTATCATCTGGGATGGAATCTCTGTGCAATTATCCATTTTCATGGACGTATGGAGTCTGAATATCTTCAGTTTGCTTTAGCCTCACTCCCCCATCATCTGCCTAATGGACTCAGACCTGCAAAAGATGAGTGAACGAGACAGGTGAGGCTTGTCAGCCATCCTTGGCAGAGATCCATGACATGGATATAATTTAGCAGCCAATTTTATATTGTACGTTCTTGCCAGCATGAGCATACTGCAGACTTGGCCCTCATGTGTCTTTGTGTACACTGGGGTTCATGATATTTGGGGGGTGTTTTGTAATATGATTAAGCCAGAGGCTACACGGGGTATTATTTAATTAGGACAGATGTGTCTGCATTCCATTTAAGAGGCTGTTTCTGATCTTGCTACACAATTCCACAGAGCATATCTGAGGGTAGAGTTCCTTTTGAACTCTGCAGGAGGTTTGTTCTTAGATAAGCATCCCAGCTCTTGGAACATGAACAGAAACTGAGCCCTTTTGGGATCATTAACTAGTGTGGGTTAAAAAAAAATCTAGCGTCATGATATAGTAGCAAAGTGGAAAAGCTTGTCTTAAATATGGAAAAGAATGTATTGATCAGCCTTTACTTATTAGGAATTTGGGCAAATTTAATCATTCTGAAGTTTACCTCTGTGATATCTATGAAGTATGGGTTACTTTTATAAGTAAATGAATCAGATAAATAAGGTAGTCTAGGTAAATGTTTAACCCATGTTTGAGAATTAGCTATATTTTAAAAAGATTTGACTGGGCCAGTTTCCAGGAATTCCCCAAAATCCTTTATTCTAGCCAAATTTGTCTTAATCTTCTTCCCTACCCTCTATAATCCCCCACTCCCCAATTTGTTTTCTTCCATGCTATTTTATTATATGCCTTTGTTCTTTAGACAGGAAAGCCATTTCCTCTCTCTTCTAATGCCAACTAAGTTATATAACATTGACAGAGTATCTAGTATGTGTCAGAGGCTGTTTAAAACACTTAGGCCACAGGGAGAATGAGGCACAGGAAAAGATCATAGCAGGGGTTAAGAAGATGCACTTTGGTGTTAGATGAACGTGGGTTTGAATCCTGAATCTAACACATAATGGCTGTGTTGGGAAACATTCTTAATCTCTTTGAGCCTCAGATTTCCAATGCATAAAAGGTAAAGGATTCCCATATCTTGTCCAGAGGATTGCTATAGAAATCAAAATATATTTATTAAGCAGGTATTTCTAGTTGCAGGGGTCAGATGCCGAACTCAAAACAGCATAATACAAAAAAAGGCTATAATGGCTAATATAACTTACAGGTCTAGTAATAGACTTCAGGTATAGCTGAGTCCAGGGAACTTAACGTTACCAAGATTCTGTCTCTTTTTCCATCTCCAGGTTTGGTTTTTTTATTGGCTTCAGTCTCAAGCGGCTTCTCCAGGTTTACATGATTATCCTTATAGCTAGTAACCACAGCAGAAAGTGATCTTCTCCTTCCCAATAATTCCAGAAAAACTGGATAAGTATGTATTTTTTTGGATAAGTATGTGTCATCCCTGGCCAATGACTATAGTCAGGGAGATAGAATATATCAAGAAGTCCAGCCTGGGTCACATGACAAGTGACCTAATCCATATAGACTATAAGTGTGTGTGTTTTGAGGTAGGGGCTTGTGGTAGTGAGAGTACGAGAAGTTCCTCAAAATAAAATTTGGATTGTATTTCCAAAAGAAGGGGAAATGGATGCCAGCAGATAAAAATCTGGTGTCCACCAGAGCAGGTTATCATAAAAGCTGTCATATAAGAATGTATGTTCAACCCCATTAAAAAGCGGGCAAAGGACATGAACAGACATTTTTCAAAAGAAGACATACATGCGGCCAACAAGCATATGAAAAAAAGATCACTATCATTGATCATTAGAGAAATGCAAATCAAAACCACAATGAGCTGCCATCTCACACCAGTCAGAATGGCTGTTATTAAAAAGTAAAAAAATAACAGATGCTGGAGGGAATGCTGGTGGAGGTGTAAATTAGTTTAACCATTGTGGAAAGCAGTGTGGTAATTCCTCAAAGAGCTAAAAACAGAACTACCATTTAATCCAGCAATCCCATTACTGAATATATACCCAAAGGAATATAAATCATTCTACCATAAAGACACATGAATGTATATGTTCATTGCAGCACTATTCACAATAGCAAAGACATGGAATTCATCTGAATGCCCATCAATGGCAGATTGGATAAAGAAAATATGATACGTATACACTGCAGAATACTATGCAGCCATAAAAAACAATGAGATCATGTTCTTTGCAGAAACATGGATGGAGTTGGAGGCCATTATCCTTAGCAAACAAACACAGGAACAGAAAACCAAATACTGCATGTTCTCACTTATAAGTGGGAGCTAAATAATTAGAACACATGGACACATAGAGGGAAACAACAGACACTGAGGCCTACTTGAGGATGGAGGGTGGATCAGAAAAAATACTATTGGGTACTAGGCTTAGTACCTGGGTGATGAAATAATCTTTATAACAAACTCCCGTGACACAAATTTACCTATATAATAAACCTGCACATGTACCCCTGGAACTAATTATTATAATTATTACTTCAAAAGGATTAAAATGAAAATAATGGTCAGGTATCCCATTACAAATGAGAGAATAAGTGGTACATTAGAAGAAATTGGGGTTGTTACTGATGGCATACCAATAGCAGTTGGACTAGATGCTGAGTAAAAGTGACTGAAAACACTTCAAGAACTGTTTGTTCCTGAACAGTTCTTGAAGGTTATCATTGGATGATGGTACAGGGCAACAACAAATGCCCATAACAATGGCTATTCAGGAAATATGTTCTTTTGTAATCATGGAGGAGTCTCTGACTACTTTAGAAATATATGACCCTCTACTAGGATAGACTACTTAATAAATTCATTGATTCCTTAAAAAAGCCAGATTTATGAAGTCCTCTTATGTTTCTCTAGTGTCCTTCCCGGTATTCTGCACATTGGTGGGCATGCAAAAAGGAGCTCAGTGAATGTACACACTTGTTGATTAGGTGCAAAAAAAAAAAAAACCCAATTAATGTACATTTACAAATGCATCTCATTTATCAATTAACACCAGCTCTAACATCAGGTCCAGCACTTTGTTAGCCATTTTTTTTTTCCATTTCAGGCACATGTACTAGAAAAATACATTTGTTTTCTTTGGAAATATTTTCCTGTTCATATTTTACTAAGTTAGACTGGCCTTATCCTTACTGATCCAAATTAGTGCAATATTACAGCATACACACTCTTGAATACCTATTCCTTTGTTCTCACACTATTCAAAAGCTATTTTCTTAGTTTAGTTTTCCAAAACGTGATTATTTCCAGCTCTTCCATTTTAAGCTCAAGTATCTTTTAAATAAACCATGATAAAGATAAATGTCTTGCATATCAACTCATAAAGACAAACACCTCAATTTCAGACTTTATTCTGTTTATAGCCAAAAAATTTGGTATAGAATATTCTTATTATTTATAATCCCATTATGTCCCCAAGACATTGAGTCATGTAATGTTTTGGGCTGATTTTTTTTCTCGCTTTTCCTTTTTCTTCTATTAGTGCAGTAAAATCAGTATCTCAGCCTTTGAAAAATGTGTTTCAGGCTCTCCCTCTCCCTCTCCCTCTCAGTCTCCCTCTCCCTCTCCCCACAGTCTCCCTCTCATGCTGAGCCGAGGCTGGACTGTGCTGCTGCCATCTCGGCTCGCTGCAGCCTCCCTGCCTGATTCTCCTGACTCAGCCTGCCCAGTGCCTGCGATTGCAGGCTCGCGCCGCCACGCCTGACTGGTTTTGGTGCAGACAGGGTTTCGCTGTGTTGCCCAGGCCGGTCTCCAGCCCCTAACTGCAAGTGATCCGCCAGCCTCGGCCTCCCGAGGTGCCGGGATTGCAGACGGAGTCTCGTTCACTCAGTGCTCAATGGTGCCCAAGCTGGAGTGCAGTGGCGTGATCTCGGCTCGCTACAACCTCCACCTCCCAGCCGCCTGCCTTGGCCTCCCAAAGTGCCGAGATTGCAGCCTCTGCCCGGCCGCCACCCCGTCTGGGAAGTGAGGAGCGTCTCTGCCTGGCCGCCCATCATCTGGGATGTGAGGAGCCCCTCTGCCTGGCTGCCCAGTCTGGAAAGTGAGGAGCGTCTCCGCCCGGCTGCCATCCCACGTAGGAAGTGAGGAACACCTCTTCCCGTCCGCCATCACATCTAGGAAGTGAGGAGCATCTCTGCCCGGCCGCCCATCGTCTGAGACGTGGGGAGTGCCTCTGCCCCGCCGCCCCGTCTGGGATGTGAGGAGCACCTCTGCCCGACCCCGACCCCGTCTGGGAGGTGAGGAGCATCTCTGCCCGGCCGCCCCATCTGAGAAGTGAGGAGACCCTCTGCCCGGCAACCGCCCCGTCTGAGAAGTGAGGAGCCCCTCCGCCCGGCAGCCGCCCCGTCTGAGAAGTGAGGAGCCTCTCCGCCGGCAGCCACCCCATCCGGGAGGGAGGTGGGCTCAGCCCCCCGCCAGGCCAGCCGCCTCATCCGGGAGGGAGGTGGGGGGGCCAGCCTCCCGCCCCGCCAGCCGCCCGTCCCGGAGGGAGGTGGGGGGGTCAGCCCCCCACCCGGCCAGCTGCCCCATCCGGGAGGGAGGTAGGGGGGTCAGCCCCCCGCCAGGCCAGCCGCCCCGTCCGGGATGTGAGGGGCGCCTCTGCCCGGCCGCCCCTACTGGGAAGTGAGGAGCCCCTCTGCCCGCCAGCCGCCCCGTCCGGGAGGTGAGGGGCACCTCTGCCCGGCCGCCCCTACTGGGAAGTGAGGAGCCCCTCTGCCAGGCCAGCCGCCCCGTCCGGGAGGGAGGTGGGGGGGACAGCCCCCTGCCCGGCCAGCCGCCCCGTCCGGGAGGGAGGTGGGGGGGTCAGCCCCCCGCCCGGCCAGCCGCCCCGTCCGGGAGGGAGGTGGGGGGGTCAGCCCCCCGCCCGGCCAGCCGCCCCGCCCGGGAGGTGAGGGGCGCCTCTGCCCGGCCGCCCCTACTGGGAAGTGAGGAGCCCCTCTGCCCGGCCACCACCCCGTCTGGGAGGTGTGCCCAGCAGCTCATTGAGAGCGGACCAGGATGACAGTGGCGGCTTTGTGGAATGGAGAGGCGAGAGGGGTGGGGAAGGGATTGAGAAATCGGATGGTTGCCGTGTCTGTGTAGAAAGAAGTAGACATGGGAGACTTTTCATTTTGTTCTGTACTAAGAAAACTTCTTCTGCCTTGGGATCCTGTTGATCTGTGACCTTACCCCCAGCCCTGTGCTCTCTGAAACATGTGCTGTGTCCACTCAGGGTTAAATGGATTAAGGGCGGTGCAAGATGTGCTTTGTTAAACAGATGCTTGAAGGCAGCATGCTCGTTAAGAGTCATCACCACTCCCTAATCTCAAGTACCCAGGGACACAAACACTGCGGAAGGCCGGAAGGCCGCAGGGTCCTCTGCCTAGGAAAACCGGAGACCTTTGTTCACTTGTTTATCTGCTGACCTTCCCTCCACTATTGTCCTATGACCCTGCCAAGTCCCCCTCTGTGAGAAACACCCAAGAATTATCAATAAAAAATAAATAAATTAAAAAAAAAAGAAAAATGTGTTTCAGGATCTATTTCATTTAAGAAGGTCATATGATAAGCAGGAAATATAAACAGTTTTTAAATCAAAATCTTTTTATGTTTGCAGTGAACTTTTAATAAGTTCAATCCATTGTTTTCCATCCATCATGCCTTAAGGAATATGTTCTGCTTGATTTATGATGCACAAGTTTATTATTTTCCTAATTTATAATCAGTTCCTACAAGGTGCTCTGGTTAATTAGGAAACAATTTAATCATTTGATTTTCTATTTAGGAATCCTTAACTCATTTTTTGCTGTGCATTTCCAGAGACCATGGCTAGTATTTGGCAGGTTTTTCACCCTCTTTTGGTGCTTATTCTTTTGTTCTCTACCTGATGCTAAGCCTTGCTCTATCACCTTAAAAACATCTCTGTAACTGGCTTCCTATCACTATCACCATCCTTCCTCCCACAACTACATTTTGTAGTGCTAGGGGTTTTCCCAAGGGGCTAATCAAACATTTATTGGCTAAGTTTGAGAAAAAAATCTTTAGAGGGTATCACAATACCTAAAACAGTTGTCTAAAGAAACATTTACACACACATACACACACACATTAAAATGTTTATTTATTTTTTAGCTAACCGTTCAGCTTGCCTAGAAAATCCATAGGATTTTTTAAAAAATAAAGACATTAGTTTTATTTAAATCATACCTGGCATAATTTGTGATCCATCCAGGAGATTGGGCAAAAACTTACAAAAATTTGTTTTAGAGCAGAAGTCTCTTTGGAAAAGGGTAGAAAGGGAGAGTAGTTGGGTGATTCCTTACTTCAAGACGTTTTCAAGCACCATGTGAGTGGCAAGGATGGAGTTAGGGCCACTTGAATGCATAAGAGTAATTTTTTCTCGAATCAGAAAAATGTCTATAAAATACAAAGATCTGATCTGATACAGTTATTTTTAAAAATTGTTATCTCTTCAACAATATCCTCTCTTTACCACTCAGGAAAAAGGATATTGGTAGCTGAGAAATATTCTGACCATTTCTACAACTGTTTTGTATCTTTATGTCATGTTTAGCCTTAACTACATGGAAATATTATTTATGTTAAAGAGATTATAAAAGCATCACAATATGTATTGGTGAAGAATGTAACATTAAGCACTCCCATGCACTGATAATACATCCTGTATTGGGCAATGACATTATAGTTTTTATGGATGCCTAAAGTGACCAGCAGGCTCTATTTTCTTGGGCAAGCGAATGGCCCATATAATAACAGTATGTAATACCTCCCCAGATAAATAATTTATGTTTATTGTGGGAATTCATTTTACTGGTCATCTAGGCCATGAAGATAAAGAAGAGGCTAACACAATCAATACTATCTTAGCTATGGCCGGTGATAATTGGACACAATTTACTTGCTTTTTATCAGCCAAAATGAATAGGTTGACCTCCCTGATTTTGCTAGGATCATACTGGCACAAACTAGATTGCATGGAGAATGTGAAACTAACAGTGGATTGGGTATATTCAGAAAACAGTGGGAAAGTAAACTTAAGGATCGGCTAAGGGTTTTTTGTTTCTTTGTTTTGAGACAGAGTCTCAGTTCGTCTCCCAGGCTGGAGTGCGGTGGTGCAATCTCAGCTCACTGCAAAACCTCCGCCTCCCAGGTTCAAGTGACTCTCCTGCCTCAGCCTCCTGAGTAGCTGGGATTACAGGCGTGTGCCACCATACCCAGCTAATTTTTTTGTATTTTTAGTAGAGACAGGGTTTCACCATGTTGCCCAGGCTGGTCTCAAACTCCTGGGCTCTAGAGATCCACTTGCCTCAGCCTCCCAAAGTGCTGGGATTACCAGGCATGAGCTACTGTGCCCTGCCAATCCCATAGATTTTTAAAAAAAGCTTTATCGAGGTATACTTTGCAAATCATAAAATGCACTTATTTTAAGTGTATAATTTAATGATTTTTAGTAATGTACAGTTGTGTGACCATTACAACACTCTAAGTTTTGAATATTTTTATTAACCCCAAAGGAGATGCCAATTTGCAGTTACTCCTTGTTTCCACACTCATCCTCAGGCAGCCATTAGTCTACTTTCTGATTCTGTAGATTTGCCTTTTATGAACATTTTATATAAATTGAATCACAAAATATGTGGTCTTTGTATGTGGCTTCTTTCACCTAACATAATAGTTTTGGAGTCCACACACATTTTAGCATTTGTCAATACTTAGTTCATTTTTATAGTATTCCATTGTATGACTATGTCACATTTTGTTTATCCATTCACCAACTGATAGATGTTTGAGTTGCTTCCACTTTTCAACTGTTATGAATAATGCTTGCATGAACATTTGTGTGCAAGCCATTATGTATACATGTTTTCAGTTCTCTTGGTTAGATACCCAGGAGTGATTTTTACTGTCATATGGTAAATTTATGTTTAACATTTTAAGAAACTTCCACACTGTTTTCCAAAGAGGCTGCACTATTTTATCTACTTGCTAGCAATGTATGAGGGTTCTAGTTTCTCCACATCCTTGTCAACACTTGTTATTTATGTCTTTTTGTTTATAATTATTCTTACATGTGTGTGTGACATGGTATGCCATAAGAGTTTGGTGGGCGTTCATTCTCAGCCATGCATCATTCTAGTGTTCTTCAGATAACTGCTGAATATCTATTATGTACCAGCCCCAATACTAGGCACCACATGTAACAAAGAAGAATGAAACAACATCCTTAACACCAAGGAGTTCATAGACTATCAGCGATACAAAAGTACTAGATGTATTTCATTGTCGGCCTTATCCTTGAAGCTTTCTAAATAATATGTCCACCTCCTTCCATGACCACAGCCACTGGAGGTTGGTCTGGAGATGGACACCTGACTCAAAGGTGACCACTGCATTGGTTGGCTACCTACCTATGACTTCTAAAGCGCTTCTCAAAGTCACATAAGTTTACTTAGATGCTCATGCAGAGAGGTTATCATCAAAGATGGGCACTAGAGTAGACAAGTCATGTAACCTAGGATCTGAAGTTACCACTGCTGCGCTATGTTATGTAAGATGAGTAGGCAGAGGAAGGCAGGTGAGAGAAAGATGAAGGACCTGACTCTGAGATGCATAAATGAGAAAAGCCACATAGAGAAATCTTGGTTATTCTGCTCAGAGAAATCTTGGTTATTCTGCTCGCCATGCTCTGGTTTGCATAATGTCCAACTAAATTTCATTTCTACTTTTTGGTGTCTGTGAGGTTGCTGTAGCATTACAACTAACTCTCACCTTCCATTTTCATTTGAGTTACTTTGAGTAGGGTGTGCTGCTGATAATCAAAAGAGCCTTCAGTGTGAGCCAAGAGCTTACGCCTGTAATCCCAGCACTTTGGGAGGTGTAGGTGGGCGGATTCCTTGAGGCCAGGAGTTTGCGACCAGCCTGGCCGACAGGGCGAAACCCCGTCTCTACCAAAAGTACAAAAATTAGCTGGGCGTGGTGTCGCGTGCCTGTAGTTCCAGCTACTCTGGTGGATGAGGCACGAGAATTGCTTGAACCGGGAGGCTCAGGTTGCAGTGAGCTGAGATGGTGCCACTACACTCTAGCATGTGCAACAGTGCAAAACTGTGTGTGTGTGTGTGTGTGTTTTTTTTAAAGAGCTTTGAGAGAACCGTTATAATGCTAGTTCATAAGTCTTTCCAACCTGTCCTTATTTATCACTTTTTTTCTTTCTGACTGTGGACCTACAGATAGCATTTAATTTTCCATCTTAGTAAAGGTGAGTGGTGAAATGTGTAAGCCAAATCACCAGACCACTTACTTCTCTTCTCAAATTTCATACTCCATATGATTTAAAAATAATTAGTAATGTAACCCGAATACTTGTCTATTATTAATTCGACCAACTTGTGAACTGCCCACACATTCCAGGCACTGTACATACTGCTGGGAAAAAGTGGCAAATAAGAGGAGGTCCCCAGCGAGCCCCCAGTGAGCTTACATTCCCATAGGTGGTAGCTTGAGTCACAGTAAGTTACATAAAAGGATTAAAAATGTTGTGGATAGTTCACAAAATGGATACAAGAGATGATATTATTGTACTTTATCAGGCACATGATGATGTTATTTCTCTTGTGAATGATGCTGTGATGAAAATGGCTGCCTGGAGCCGATTGTTTCCCCAGGGTCTGAAGAGTAAATTACGGTAAAAATGAGCAAAAGTAATTCACCTACAACAAGCAGAGAGACTTAATTGAAGGCAATAAACTCCCAGAATGGTGGCCCCAGGGGAAAAAAAGAAAATCCAAAAGCAAAAAAATCTCTCCAAGTTTCTAAATTAATTGCAAAGATCCAGGGCGAGGGTTACCCCTAACTCTGACTCCACAGAAACTGACTGGAGAGTCCACAGAACCCCGAGATTTTTTCACAGACACCCCAACCTGGAGACGCAGGCATACCAAGAGGTCTCATTGTCTTTGTTCTCCTTACCAAAGCGCATTTGAAATGGTGCTGGGAAAGCGGTGAACTGGAAGTAATGGATCCCGCTGCCTCTCTGAGGAAGAGAAAAATCCCATGACCGGATTTGAGGAAACAAACGGAAGTCTAAGTGCACCCACTTCCGGAGTGGGCACCGCTCCTCAGGTAATTTAACCACGGCTCAGGGAGTCTAATGACAGCCCTGCATGGCTTCCGCTAGCCTCTGTGGGAAAACGGAGGTTTGGACAGTCTTCCCCTGGCACATTTGGGCCATAGCCTTGAAGGGAAAGATTTGAAAGCTATAAGGTGGGAGAAAACATAAAATAAAAACAAACCTCACACCAACTCTAGGACTATGGAAAAATGGCAGAGTTTCCACCAAGAGAAACATGAATACCAAGTGAGAACGTGAGCAGAAGCTTACCTGTCAATGCCAACTGTGTGCCCATCCCTCCTGGGCCACCTCATTACAGATCAGGTTATGCCATGCCTCTGTCTTGGGAGAAAATGGTAAGAGCAGTAGGCTAGCAGTCAGCCGAACTAACTGTCCTCCCAGCTAGCTGACCTCGTTTGTGAAATAGGGCACACGAATGCAATCATGATCCTAAGCTCCCTTAAGCTCTAAAAAAATAATATAGTGTAGTGATTCTGTCTAAAAAACGCTGACAAAGAATGCATCTACTTCCTAGTAAATTCTACAGCTGGAAGGAAGTTTCTAGAGGCACCTCAGCACTGACTTCAGTACCCATCACTCCACAACTCAAGGATGGAAACCTTGAACGTCTGAATTTGCTGAACTGCTTGAGATGAGGTGAGAGAAAAGGACTTTTTTTTTTTTTTGACACGGAGTCTTGCTCTGTGGCTCAGGCTGGAGTGCAGTGGCCCGATCTTAGCTCACTGCAACCTATGCCTCCCGGGTTCAAGCGATTCTCCTGCCTCAGCCCCGCAAGGACCTGGGATTACAGGCACCCACCCACCAGGCCCAGCTAATTTTTGTATTTTTAGTAGAGATGGTGTTTCACCATGTTGGCCAGGCTGGTTTCGAACTCCTGACCTCAAGTGATCCACCCACCTCAGCCTCCCAAAGTGCTGAGATTACAGGTGTGAGCCACCGTGCCCGGCCGCAAAGGGCTTTTAATAAATGATGCTCCTTAGTCTTTGGTATGTTACTCAAATAACCACCAGTGAATGGAATTACAATCTTTGGGCAGTTTAGCAAGATTCTTTATAGCAAGCTTGGCTCCTACCAGCGGACTATTACTCTAAAAACACTCTGGGAGCAATTACACACTCAGTAACCCCTCATTAAGTAGCAATTTTACCTAACCTTACCCGTTTCCTTTTGAGTGTGAGAGTGAAGGGAGAAATGAATTAAAGCACATCAAGAAGCTCTGTATGCTCTTGGCTTGGACGGTATGGTGAGCAGCAGGGGGGCATAATATATGCAGTAGCGCCATGCAGAAGTTGGGGGAGGAGAGATTTTGGTTAACACTTCCCACTCTCCCACCGCCCACACTTCAAATCAGTCCGAATTCCCGTGCTGTCAGAGAAAAGGGGAGGTGTGCGAGGGAAATAAGGACTTGCTATCACCGGTCCCATTTCAAATGGTAAATTCAGGTAGTATTAATCCTGTTTCAGAGTTGGGGGTATAACTCAAGGCTAGAAACAGCTGAGAAACAGCATGAGACAGAATCCCTTGAGAAGGAGGTGATCAGCTATTTCTCTCTTCTCATTTCATCTTAATTCTTGATGGTAAGATTTTTTAAAATTTCCTCAACAGGCCTACGTTAATTTATAAACGAATTATGCCCATGTAATAGGTGCTGAAACAAATGCATACAAGATAGGGAGATAAAATAGATCCAGAAGTAGAAGACCTCAGAATAATACACTAAACTATTTTTTACAGATATCTTTTTTCCTATATAATGATTCCAAATTACCTAATGACAAGTTTGTTTTCCTTTTTTTCTCCTGTTTTATTTTCCCTGTTTGCTTTCTTTATTTCTGGCCACTGAAAACATGAATATTGTTAATAAAGAATATTCCTAGGGTCCCTCCCCTCTCTCCCTTAATTCTGGAATCTGCTTCCATTCTCCTTGCCCATAGTACTGGAATGTTTGTTATCAATAATCATGAGATATAATAAGCGACATTTCTTTATTTTATTTTATTTTATTTTATTTTTGAGACAGAGTTTCGCTCTTGTCCCCCAGGCTGGAGTGCAATGGCGCGATCTTGGCTCACTGCAACCTCTGTCTGCCGGGTTCAAGTGATTCTCCTGCCTCAGCCTCCCGAGTAGCTGGGATTACAGGCACCCACCACCAGGCCCGGCTAATCTTTGTATTTTTAGTAGAGAAGGGGTTTTCACTACGTTGGACAGGCAACATTTTTTTCTTAATGGTGTGTGGGTAAGGTCTTGGTAAGGAAAAAACTAAATTTTAGTTTTATGACATTTTTTCAGATCACTTGTTTTTAGAGTCATCTAGTATGAGAGGCTATACAGTGCATGGAGCCAGGCTGCCTGTCCCTTCCTGTCCCAGCACTACCACTTGCCACTCTGCCCCTGTTTTCACCTTTGCAAAACAGAGATGAGACTAGTTGCTAACTCCTATAGATTTACCTGTAGAAAGAACCTAAAGCCTAGCACAAAGAATGTCTTCACTGAAAGTGAACTATAGAATTCACTTCTCCAACCAACATTTCTTGAGGCCCTGCTGCCACAGGAATTGTTACAGACATGTTTAAAGATACGGAGAACTAGAACCTTGCTTTTAAGAAGCTTTTTTTTCAAGTAAAAAAAATCTCAGGAATATTCGTTCATTTTATCAAACACGGGTGTGGTGGCTCATGCCTGTAACTCCAGCACTTTTGGTGGCCAAGGTGGAAGGATCACCTGAGCTCAGGAGTTCAAGACCAGCCTAGACAACACAGTGAGAGCCCATCTCTAAAAAAAAAAAAAAAAAAAAAAAAAAAATCAGCCAGGAAGTGTGGGGGTGTGCATACCTGTAGTCCCAGCTACTGGAGAGGCTGAGGTGGGAGAATGCTTGAGCCTGGGAAGTAGAGGCTGTAGTGAGCTGTGATCATGCCACTGCTCTCCAACCTGGGTGACAGAGTGAGACCCCATCTTAAGAGCAAACAAAACCAAACCAAGCCTGACAAATCAGACTGCATAGTATTCTGCAATTCAGTTAATCTGTTGTTTAATTAGATTGTTGGTTGTTCTCTTTTCAGCTGTGGATGTAGCTGTTGTGAACATTGTTGGAGTCGTCATTCTTCTATGTTACTTACATGTTTGCATACTGTTCTGTTTTTGAAAAATATTTCCAGGGATGTTTTGATAACTGTTGCCAGATTAGGGGTGCATACCTAATTTGATTTCTTAGTGAATACAAACTATTTCAGGATACCATCCATGATCCCTTCTACTTTCTCTCAATTTTCTTTTAGACATCCGTTGTGGACTCTTCTTTTTTGCCCTTTGCTGGATGGTAGGTGGAGGACAGTTATCAGAGCTGCAGAGAAGGAAATAACCTGTCTGGCATCAGACACTGATCCTGTTACCATCTAATCCACACAGGTGAGATCATAGCCCAGTCCACTCCAGATACCAAGAACATTCTGGATTCTCTAGTTGAGAGAAATACTATAGCCAAAGATTCGCAACTGAGTGTCAAGTCATACTTCTTTTTCGTCTTCAAATTTCACTTCTTGATTATTGTCATGTGACTTTGTCACCTGATTTGAGTTGCTAGGTTCCTGACTGCCCGCTGTGTGTGAGTCACTGCTTTGGGTCTCAGTTGAGCAACTCTGTTTCGATGGTGGTTCTATCTTGTCCTCTAGGCTTTGTAGGGCCTGGTCCTGTGCTCTCCCCTTAACTAGTTATCTAGATCCTGCCCCTGCCCTTTGGTTTACCCTGACTGCCCATTTTGCACCATGGGTTCAGGCTCATCTCTATCTGACTTGAAATGAGAAAAATGAAATAACCAAGTTACTTCTTCTCTCCTTGTGCTGGTTATCTATTGCTATGTAATCTATTACCCTGAAACCTAGTGACTTAAAGAAACAATAATTATTTTATCTTTCCTATTTTCTATGGATCAGTACTTTTGGGAAGGGCTCAGGTGAGAAGTTCTGGATTGGGGTCTGTCATGCATTTGAAGTCAAAAGATGGCTAAGGTGGGAGCTGCTGGGGGCTCACCCCGCATTTCTCTCTCTGTAGTCTCATGGCTTCCCTATGTGGTCTCTCAATGGGCTAGGTTAGGCTTCCTCACAACATGGTATCCTCAAAGCAGTGGAAGTGCTTACATGGGGGCCCAGGGCTCCCACATCAGTGTTCTGGTGAAAAGGGCAGAAACAGAATTTTATGACCTAATCTTGCAAGTAGTGTTTTGTTCGCCATACTCAATAGGTTGAAAACAGTCACAAAACCTAGCCCATATTTAAGAGGGGGGACTTAAATTTCATTTCTTGATGGGGGATGTGGCCATCTTTGGAAAATATAATCTGTAACAGCCCTCTACTAGATACTCTTCTCCAGTTTCCCTCCAACATGACAGCTAATATCTTTGGAAAAGTGGATGGGCAAAAGAGACTGTGTCTTCTCACCTCAGAGGAATGCCTGTTCATCTGTAAAACCAGATCAAATGCCCCTCCATCCTCTCTGAGGCCTGCCTTAACTCTCCATAGTGCTGTTTCTTCTTCTGAGCTATAAAATAACAAAATTGCTGGGCGCAGTGGCTCAAGCCTGTAATCCCAGCACTTTGGGAGGCCGAGGCGGGTGGATCATGAGGTCAGGAGATCGAGACCATCCTGGCTAACACGGTGAAACCCCGTCTCTACTAAAAATACAAAAAATTAGCCAGGTGTGGTGGCGGGTGCCTATAGTCCCAGCTACTCGGGAGGCTGAGGCAGGAGAATGGCGTGAATCCGGGAGGCAGAGCTTGCAGTGAGCCGAGATAGCACCACTGCACTCCAGCCTGGGCGACAGTGCGAGACTCGGTCTCAAAAAAAAAATAATAATAATAAAATAAAATAAAATAAAATAAAATAAATTAACAAAATTCTGGCCTAGTGCCTTATATTTTACAGATCACGCTGTAAAATATTTCACTTTGTATCTTTATTCATTCTGTATTAGTGTGTGTTTCTTTTACCTATGAGCAGGAATCCTGTATTACAAACTTGGCATTCTTTCCCACCCCTACTGGCACCCTAGCATTGAGACCCAAAGTGGTTCTCAGGGATATCTCTTGAATAAATGAATAAATGAATGAAAATAAAATACGAGTCAAAGAATAGGAAATTATACTGAAAAACATCATAATTAACCAGGTAAACTTGGCTTTTTTTTCTACTTTTAAGTTCAGGGGCACATGTGCAGGTTTGTTACATGAGTAAATTGTGTGTCTCTGAGGCTAGGTGTACAAATGATCCTGTCACCGAGATAGTGAGCATAGTACCGAATAGGTAGCCTTCCAACCCACAGCCCCCACCTATTCTGCCCCCTCAAGCAGTCCCCAGTGTCTACTGTTCCCATCTTTCTGTCCCTGTGTATTCAATGTTTAGCTTCCACTTATAAGTGAGAACATGTGGCATTTGGTTTAAACTTGGCTTTTAAATGCCTGTCTTTAAAATTGCTGTGGGCTTCAGATGTGCTTGTATTTTGGTAGGTAGTGGCCTAGTAAAAAAACTGCAACTCTCCTCAAAGATAGGAGCTCACCAGAGATACCTGCTATTTGTTCTGAGTGTCCCTTGGACTGTATTGCCTTTTATGCTCAGCAGACCAGTTAAAAGCAGAGTTGTTGACAGACCAAAGTGTAAATTAAAGGGCTGGGATACATCATTAGACATATGGTCTCCTAGGAATTGAGATTTTTCCTGTAGTAGGTGGAATTTGTAACACTCTGGCCTCTAGGACCATATGGTTGTATTTAAGAGATGCCAGCAGAAATAAATACTTGACTTTTAGTACAAGATTCTTTTTTGCTGGTCCTCCCCCACAGCCTCAGAGAAGTTTCCTGCTGTAAAATCTAAAAGCTCAACATTAATAATTGGTTTAAATCCTTTTACCAATTTGTTAGTGATAATTTGACGCTGTGTATGGAATAGGCTAGACAAGGGCTATCCCTACTGAGGGTCAGTGACCCTAGGCTGATCCTTGAGGTAGGCAAGTAGCATGATCTATGCCATGTAACTCTGGACTCAGCAACAGCTGATTGGATTGAGCTGATTCCTGACCTAGGACAACTACTCAAGCTAGCACTTTAAGAGCTAGCCTGGCTTTATAAAATCTACCCTTAAATAGAAATAAAAGAAACAAAAAGGAACTTTAACAAAATGACAAAAACAAGACTACAACAACATTAGAAAAATTAAATACTTAGGCATACATTTGACAAAAGAAGTTCAAAACTTGTGCACTGAAAGCCACAAAACATTGCTGGGAGAAATGTAAGAATATGTAAATAAATGGAGAGATATACTCTTTCATGGATTGAAAGACAATATTATTAAGGTGACAATTCTCTCCAAATTAATCTATAGGTTCCATGCAATCTCGGCCAAAATCCCAACAGGCTGTTTTGTTTAATAGCCTAAAATACTTTGAAAATGAGGAGCAGATTTGGAGGACAAACAATACCCAATGTTACAAATTATTTTAAAACTACAGTAGTCAAAATAGTATGGAATTAGTACCAAGACAGACAAATAGGTCAATAGAACAGAATAGAGATTGCAGAAATAGACCTACACATATTTGGTTAATAGATTTTTGATAAAAGCAATTCAAAGGATAGTCTTTCCAACTAATGGTGCTGAAACAGTTGTATATTCATATATGACAAAATGGACACCAATCCATAACTCATGCCATATATAAAAATTAGCTAAAAATTAACCATACACCTAAATATGAAAGCAAAAATTATAAAAGTTATATAAGAAAACAGTCAAAAATCTTAGTGGCCTTGAGTTAAACAAACTATGTTCGCTATAACACCAAAAGCACATGCCATAATAAATCTGATAAACTGGACTTTATCAAAACTAAAAACATCTGCTCTTTAAAAGACATTGGTATGAGAATGAAACGATAAACCACAGACTAGAAGAAGATATTTGCAAATCACATCTCTGAGAAAGGATTTATATCCAAAATATATAAAGAATTCTCAAAACACATTAGTAAGAAAAGATCAACCCAATAGAAAAATGAACAAAAGATTTGAACAGATATCTCCCCAAAGATGTGTGGAAGGCAGATAAGCACTTGAAAAGATGCTCAACATCATTATTCATTAGGAAAATGCAAACTGAAATCACAAGTAAATACCATCACACCTATTAGCATGGCTAAAGCTACAAGTATTGACATACCAAGTGTTGGTGGAGGTGTGGAACAGATGGAACTCTCACACATGGCTGATGGGAATGTAAAATGGTACAACAGTTTGGCAGTTTCTACAAAATGTAAATATGCAGTTACTAAGTGATTTAGCTGCCTCATTTCAGGTATCTACTAACCAAAATGAAAGGATATGTCTATTTGGAAATTGTAAACAAATATTCATAGTGTTTTATTCATAATAGCCCCAAACTGAAAACAATCTAAATAGTTATAAACAGGTAAATGGCTGAAAAAATTGTTGTTTATCCCCACAAAGGAATACTACTCAGCTGTAAAAAGTAATGGACGTACAAAATATCATAGATAAATCTCAAAATCAGTATGCTGGGTAAAAAAAACAAAAACAGTGAAAAGGAGTGACTGTATGATTCCTTTTATAAGACATGCTAGGAAATGCAACCTAATTTCTAGCAGCAGAAAACAGATCAGCAATTGCATGTGTACAGGGAATGGGGGTGGGGGGGGGTGGGGAAGGGCAGACGAGTGGGATGAAAAAGGTTCAGGAAATTTTGGTAGTGACAGATATGTTCATTCTTCTGATTGTGATGATAGATTTGTGGGTATATACATATGTCCAAACTATGAAAATTAATTTTATTTATTTATTTATTTATTTAGAGACAGAGTCTTGCTCTGTTGCCCAGGCTGGAGTGCAGTGGCACTGTCTTGGCTCACTTCAACCTCTGCCTCCTGGGTTCAAGCAATGCTCCTATCTCAGTCTCCCGAGTAGCTGGGATTACAGGCATGTACTACTGTGCCCCGCTAATTTTTGTGTTTTCAGTAGAGACAGAGTTTCGCCATGTTGGCTAGGCTGGTCTCAAACTCGTGACCTCAAGTGATCTGCCTGCCTCGGCCTCCCAAAGTGCTGGGATTACACTGTGCCAACCTCAAACTGAATTTTAAATATGTCAATTATACCTTAACAAAGCTATGAAAGAAAGAGAGAAAGGAAGAAGGAAGCAAACAAGGAAGAAAGGAAAGAAGGAAGGAAGGAACCCAAGAGAAGCAGAGACGAACAGCACCTGGGTCATGCTAACAGCAGAGCTCTAGAAAAGTGATTCCCATTGAGGAGGCCACAGGGTAACCAACCAGATGGCTAGATCCTCCTTGGATCCTGAATAAGCCACAGTTCAATGCTGGTGAAGACTGACAATCAAGCTGACTAATCTTTACCTGAGATTTCTGTTTCCCTCACTGCCATGTGTATCCCCACTCCTTCTCAAATTATGAGAAATAGCTTCAATACAGTCCAGAGGGACTGATTTAGCAGGTATTCTGTCTGCTTTACCGCTTTCACATGAACACATCTTTCATGGGCTTATTTGCCACCTAAACTGAAACTGAAATTTAGTTTTTCCTTTCACCTCTCTCTTTTCATTTGAGATGTATCTCCGTCTTTCTAGTTTGTCTAGCCAGTATCTAGACTGAGACATTTGTGACTCCTCACTCTGAGTTTTCAGGTCAACCTGTAAACTTGGAGAGAGAAGGGAAAGAGAGACAGACAGACAGACAGATAGACAGACACACACACACACACACACACACACACACAGTCAGCACTCCCTGGCTTCCTTTGACGTCTATACGTCCAAGCTGGCTGTTCTGTCATGCACATTTACTTGCTGTTGCATGAGACTAGTGGTACCAAACTGAGAGCTACTGGATGGCAGGGACTGTGTTTTCTTTATCTTTGTGCTTAGTATAGTAACTACCATAGGTGGGTGCTCAATACATGATTATTGAGTGAATATTTGAAATTGGAGAAGACATTGCTTCATGTTAAGCGACAGGAAGAGTTTCTATTCTGACTTTTTAAGCCAGGCTGTTTCTACAACGGGCAAGAATTATTTTTATGTAAACCAAGTGAATTAGTTACAACTCTTTCGGTTGCAAGTTATCTCATTTACTCATTTCGTAAATATCTCTTGAGTACCTACTATGTTCCAGCCACCATTTCAGGTATAGCTATGAACAAATAGACAAAATATCTCTGCCTTCATGGAGTTTACATTTTAGTTTGGTGAGGCAGAAAGTAAATAAGATAATTAACAAAAATATATAATGTGTTAGATGGGATAAGTGCTTTGAAAAAAAATAATAAATGAGGGAAGGAACTTAGGGAGTGCCAGGGTGTGGTGAGGGTTATAATTTTATAGAGGATAAGTAAGAGAAACTCTATACAGAATTTGGAGGACTTGCTTTCAACTTGAGCTACTTAAAAAACAAAGGGAATTTATGAGTTCACATAAATGTAAAGGATCCACCCCTAGCACAGTTGGATGTAGAGCTTGAAGTGAAGCTTTCTGAAATCTATAATATCTCTTTTCATCTTTTGGCTTTGCTTTCTTTTCCTTGGCTTCGACCTCTAGCTGATTCTCTCCCAGTGACAATATGGCTGCTATATTTAAAACAGCACAACTAAGAAGCCCTAGGGAAAAGAGAGATTATCTTCTCCAGTGGTTCCAACAAATGTCCTGATGTTGAGTCTCATCATCTCATTGGTCTGGCTTGGATCATATGGAACTGGGAATACACTGATGATCCAGGCTCAGTCAGGTGTCTGCCCATGGGGGAGAGGTAGGAAAGTGGGGTCTGCTCACCCAAATTATAGAGAGTAAAGTGGGGGTGGGGGATCCCACAGATAGGAAATGTGCCATTATCAGCAAACAGAGGTTAGGTGCGGGACAGGCAGTCACAACAAATGACCCCCAGCCCAGCATTTGGTTGGAGAGGAGAGACGCTGCTGACTGAGGCTCACCAAGCATCTGCCGTGCATAAACGGAAAGAGCAGCCATAGGTCAGAGCCACAGTGAAGCTCTGGCTTAGTGCAAACTTCTGCTTTACTGGGCATTAGCCTGAGGCTGCTTGCACATGACCCTTCCCCATGTGCAAGCATTCCATGTTAAGAATGTTTAATCCTCAGGACCTCAGAGAAATTTGTTTCCAGTGATGCTGTTTATTTTTTTGCTTTTATTTGTTTATTTTTTTAAAGACAAGGTCTCCCTCTGTTGCCCAGGCTGGAGTGCAGTGGTGTGATCATAGCTCACTGTAACCCTGAACTTCTGGGCTCAAGCTATCTTCCTTCCTCAGCCTCCCAAGTAGCTGACACTATAAGCATGTACTACCACACCTGGCTAAAGGTGATATTGTTGAAATGAAAACTTAGCTGTATCTGAGGGAAGGGATATGTGTTATATTTGTAGAGGATTGATGTCAGGGACAGACTGTTTACAATGAATTCCCTAATGAATCACTTCTGGGATGATTTCCAGGTGTAGAGGTAAGAACGTGAAGTGAGAGGGCTGAGGTTCCATAATCCTTGCATTTTTCTACTTTCAAAAGACAGGAGATTGGCTGGGCACAGTGGCTCATGCCTGTAATCCCAGCACTTTGGGAGGCCAAGGCAGGTGGATCACCTGAGGTCAGGAGTTCGAGGCCAGCCTGGTCAACATGGTGAGACCCCATCTCTACTAAAAATACAAAAATTAGCTGGGTGTGCTGGTGCACACCTGTAATCCCAGCTGCTATGGAGGCTGAGGCAGGAGAATTGCTTGAATCTGGGAGGCGGAAGTTGCAGTGAGCTGAGATCGGACCACTGCACTCCAGCCTGGGCAACACAGCAAGACTCTGTCTTGAAAAAAAAAAAAGACAGGACAGCACAGTGGTTAAGGACGTGGCTTTGGAGTCAGAGAGATCAGGGTTAAAAGCCCAGCTCTGCTACTTCTATTGACTTTGGTTTACCTCCCTGCCTCTGTTTTCTCATCTGTAAGATGAAATGGCCTAACATCAATACTATATGGTTCTTGAATGGATACATATAAAGTCAAGTCTTACCTCTTAGTTGTTACAATCATCAAATGTATGGCCAGACAAACGGCCACATCAGGAATTATCCACATGGTATTATTTGGGACAGTAAAGGCATGTACTGAAAAGCATTTCTGCCACAAACCTGCTTTGGGTTATAAGGTTCCCATGTCCTTTTGTACTTTTGGTTTAAGATATCAAGGTTTGTTTAATTATATTCTGGGAAATTTTGAAGGTTCTAAGGTTGTACTTCAAGGACCACTAAAGAAGGGAAAGGGTGGGGGAATCAAATAGTCCTTGGGGGCCCCTCACCCGCTACTTCCAGTAGATAAATTTTATTTTTATCTGTTTTACAAGCTGATTCCACATGAGAATTTCTTTGACAAAGAGTTCTGTGGCTGAAGAAAAAAGTTTGGACAGTGCTGCATCAAGGCATTGAAGCTTCTATTAAAAAACATCATGATGTCCTGAACTATGATCTTAACTTAAAAAAAAAAGAAAGAAAACATCATGATGTCATATGGAAAGGCACTGGGTTGTTTTGCTTGAAGGAGAAAAACCACAGAAGGGATGGTGCCAACTCTCTTCATGTATTTGAAAGGTCGCCAAGTGGCCCAGAGAGTCAACTAGAGGCAGATTTCAGCTTGATGGAGAGAGGAGAAAGATGTTTCTAGCAATTCAAGCTCTTCTTCCAGCAATCATTTTAGGGGCAATGGTACACTGCTGTCCCCGGAGATGTCCCAGCAAAGGCCTTAGGCTGTCAAGTACAATACCAAGGAGATTCCATCAAGAGCAGCATGATGGACTGTGACTGCCAAGATTACATCCAAACTCTAAAATTCTGTGATCTGGAGTAATGCATTACGGTGTTACACCCCAGTGAATGTCTTGTTAAAATTTCATCACCTATGTTATAGATTCTAAGAGTATGGCCTCAAAAGAATGTGCCATAGGACACTTTTGTTTTGAACTAATTGGAGATTTACAAACAAGTTCAGAAAATAGTAAAAAACTATTTCATTACCCCTCAACCATCTTCCCTTAATGTTAACATCTTACATTACCATAGTACAATAATCAGAACCAGGAAATTAACATTGGTAGGATACTATTAGCAAAATTAAATATGCTATTTGAATTATATCAGTTTTTTCACTAAAGTCTTTCACTAAAGTCTCATTCCAACATGAGAAATCTGGTTCTTATTATCTGCAATATGTTATTTGATTACTGCTAGTAGAAACTACATACGGTAGTTTAAGATTTATTAATGCATACCCTTGTGAGAAATTGACTTCCTGATTAGTTTATACCCCTATTATCCAGAATCAAAGAATTTAGAGCTGGAATGTAATGTCTATAATCACAGTCCATCTTTTACTGTTGAGGGAATCTCCTTGCTATTGTTCTTGAGAGCCCATCTTTTTGGGAAATTTTCCCTTCCCAAAAAAAGGGAACTTTTTGGCATGATTTTTCATTAAGAACAATATTGTTATTCATTCAACAGACATGTATTTGGCACTTATCTACAGATGTGTGTCAGGCACTAGGAATACAGAAATAATAGATATAGCTCTTGCCTTCTAGAAATTTGTAGTCTAGCAAGAGGTAGGTGTAAATGAACAATTATAATAGAGTAGAATGTGGGATTGGGAAGAGAAAGCATATAATAACACTGTATGGGCTACGTGCTATGCTAGGTATAAATACTACAGGAACACAGAGTGAGTACCTCACCCCTCTTGAAGTATCATGAAGACTTTCTGGAGATGATGGCTGAGTCAAGTCCAGAGGGACTGAATCCCTAGACTCAATTTATCCAGCATCTCCTCCAAATCTTCCAACTACAAGGAATCTAATTCTGAAAGTGACCAGAGGATCTACTTATCAATTCAATGAGCTAGTGATATGGTTTGGTGTGTCCCCACCCAAATCTCATCTTGAATTCTAGTTCCTATAATCCACATGTGTTGTGAGAGGCACCTGGTGGGAGGTAGATGCATCATGGGGGTGGTTACCTCCATGCTGTTCTTCTTATAATGAGTGAGTTCTCATAAGATCTAATGGTTTTATAAGGGGTTTTCCTCCTCCTTCGCCCTGCACTTCTGCTTGCTGCCACCATGTGAAGAAGGTTTGCTTCCCCTTCCACCATGATTGTAAGTTTCCTGAGGCTTCCCCAGCCCTGCAGAACTGTGAGTCAATTAAACCTCTTTCCTTTATAAATTACCCAGTCTTGGGTACCTCTTGATTGCAGCATGAGAATGGACTAATACAGCTAGTATATTATGCTTGTAAGGTTCTCCACTAAGGTGCTTTTGCTTATTATTTCATTGGCTCCTCAGAATAGCCTTGGCAGATCTGTAGAACAAATATTTGGGCTGCTGTGTGGAGAAAAACTGTAAGAGGGCGAGAGTAGAAGTCATGGTTCAGGCCAGAGATGATGAGTCTCAGTTTCCTCATCTGTGAGATAAGGAGTGGTAGTACCTATCTCACAGGATAAATGTGAGAATTAGAGATAATATATATAGTGTGACCATGCAATAAAACTATGGCTGCCACTGTCAATATACATATCTGTCAGAGTCCCATCAGGAAACAGATGGTGCACTCAAATTACAATAATTCAAAGAGGGTTTAATGAAAGGATTATTTTCAAAGCTGTTGGCAATGTTTAGGGAAACCCACAAAGAATGGTGTAGCACCCCAGGTATTATAACAGAGCAGTTACCAGAGCCAGGAAGGAAAGCTCCAACAGAGAGGGAGGTCATGAGAAGAGTCATGATGGTTGGTTAAGGGGTGAAGGGACCTCGTTCCTCCCTCCCTCTGCTGCCAGTGTTACTCACTCACCAAACCCAACCAGATGCTAGAGCGTCCAAAACCTATTGCTTTCATCCATTCAAGTCAGCCTCTTGGGACAGAAAGCAGTGTTTCTAGAGTGGCTTTAGAGGGACAAGTGGAAGGTGTGTGTTTCAACTCATGAGGCAAATTGAGAAAGTCTCAGAGAAGGGTAATTTTCTGGGAAGATACCTCAAGAAGGGTTCACTGCGCATCCCCAGCTCGCTTGTCAGTACGCCTTCCATTGCCCTGGCTATTGGCCTGTCTTTTAATTGGAAGTTTCTGTGGACATTTGTTGTTTTCTCTGCCAGCCTCCACTCTCCTTTCTTCTAGCAAAAATATCTGCTTTTCTTATAGGGATCCATTCCCCCACTACTCTCAATCTGTCTGCTCCAGTGGGATTTGTATCCCAAGATGAACATGTGACCAAGGCCCAAGTCAATCAGCATGGCCTATTCTCCCGGCCATTGTAATTGGTTCATGATTAAGCACATGGCTGAATTAGAAGTCGTGAGACACTGTGAGTCTCTCATTAAGAATAGAGGGTGAGGGAGAGAAGAGCTGATGCTTTCATTTTACCAACCAGAGTGATAATCTTGAGCCTGAAAATGAAACCAACGTAGCAAAAAAGAGACCTGAGATCCCTGAACGTGGGATCTTCTGAATGTGCTATCTTCAGCTGTGCCTGAGGATAGCACCACCACTAAACTTTGTTGTTAAGTAGGCCAAAAATTTTTGTTTTCAGTTAATTTGTGTTGTGTTTGATTTTCTGTTACACCAAAAAGAGTCTGGACACAGTTCTTTTGTTGTAGATAATAAGTTTAATACAAATCTGAGTTCAAAAATAAATCTAAGGCAGGGTCATAGTTCTTAGAGGCTGTTCCATATATCCTGTAATCCTGTACTGTACTATACTGTATTCCATGAAAGAACAGTGTTAGTTATGTTCTAGCATAACATAAAGGCAATTGATATGGTAATCAGCTGTAAATGTAATAACAAGACAGTTGAGATTTGTGTTTTAAAACACATTCTTGCACAATTACTTCCCCATTAAATTCATACAAGAAGCTGAAGTTAGAAATCAAGATTGATATCACATATCTGCTGAGTGGTTGTCTGGGTAGAAAATGAAAATCGTGCTAAAAGTTAAAATCCTCTATTTGACTGAATTGACAAAATAGTAAAATTCCAATTGATCTAATTCCCGGTGGCCAATGATTTTACTTTTCTTAACAAAAACTATGATTTGGAAATTAGGAAGCTCTCTCTCAATCACTGATCAGCTGTTCTTGTTTAAATGCCTAAATTTCATGCTTCTCTGAGTAGGGGATTTAAAAGAATAAGAACTTAAAAATGCCTCTATATCAATATTCTTAAATTTCAGCTAATTAAATTTTAGAATGCAAGGAGCATTTTTAAAAACATGACTAAAATTAAAAATTCTAGAAGTTAACTCTTAACCTTGCGTTTACTTAGGAAATTTAGAAATCATTTTCTTCTATAATAAGAGTGTTTCCTTTTTGCTAACAGCTTTATTGAGATGTAATTCACATGTTGCAAAAATCACTCTTGTAAAGTGTTCAACTCATTGGCTTTCAGAATATTAACAAAGCTGTGCAGTCATCACCACTGTCTAATTCTAGAATTTTTTCATCTTCACTACCCTTTCCCCCCTCATCTCAGCCCCTGGCAACCACTAATCTAGTTTCTGTCTCCAAGGATTTGCCTCTTTGGATATTTCATATCAATGAAATCATGCAATAGGTGGTCTTTTGTGGCTGGCTTCTTCGACTTAACATAGTGTTTTCAAGGTTCATTCATGTTATAGAACAGGACATCTTTTGCCTATGCTTGAAAAGAACAACGAGGACCTTGATGAGTAAGATGCTAAAGTATCCCTGCATCCCCTCTGATATGGTTTGGCTGTGTCCTCATCCAAATCTCATCTTGAATTTCCACTTGTTGTGGGAGGGACCTGGTGAGAGGTAATTGAATAATGGGGGCAGGTCTTTCCCGTGCTGTTCTCATGAGAGTGAATAAGTCATGAGATCTGATGGTTTTATAAGGCAGAGTTTCCCTGCAGAAGCTCTCTTTTTGCCTGCTGGCTTCCATATAAGATGTGACTTGCTCCTCCTTGCCTTCTGCCATGATTGTGAGGCCTCCCCAGCCATGTGGAACTGTAAGTCCATTAAATCTCTCTTTCTTTTGTAAATCAGCCAGTCTTAGGTATGTCTGTATCAGCAGTGTGAAAACAGACTAATATACCCTCTGACCTGCTTTATCAATTCCTTCTCCACAACATAGCCAGAATGGTTCCCTCCCTCTCTTCCTTCCTTCCTTCTTTTCTCTTTCTTTCTCTCTCCTCTTTCTTTCTTTTTCTTTCTCACTCTCTCTCTTTCTCTCTCTCCCTCCCTTTGCCTTTCTTTCTTTCTTTCTTGCTTTCTTGCTTTCTTTGTCTGTCTGCCTTTCCTTTCCTTTCCTTTTTCCCTTCCCTTCCCTTCCCTTCCCTTCCCTTTCCTTCTTCCCTTCCCTTCCCTTTCCTTCCCTTCCCCTCCCCTCCCCTCCCCTCCCCTCCCTTCCCTTCCCTTCCTTTCCTTTCTTTTCTTATTTCTTTCACAGGGTCTTGCTCTGTCACCCAGGCTGGAGTGCAGTGGCACTATCATGGCTCACTGCAGCCTCGACCTCCTGGGTTCAAGCAATCCTTCTACCTCAGCCTCCTGAGTAGCTGGAACTACAGGCATGCGTCACTATGCTAACTTTTGTATTTCTCTGGTAGAATTGGGGTTTCACCACGTTGCCCAGGCTGGTCTCAATCTCCTGGGCTCAAAATATTCACCTGCCTCAGCCTCCAAAAGTGCTGGGATTATAGGCATGAACCACTGTGACTGGCACAGAATGGTTTCTTTGTTTGTTTCTTTTTTTTTTTTTTTTTTGAGACAGAGTCTCACTTTGTCACACAGGCTGGAGTGCAGTGGCATGATCTTGGCTCACTGGAAGCTCCGCCTCCTGCTCTCGAGTTCACGCCATTCTCCTGCCTCAGCCTCCCAAGTAGCTGGGACTATAGGCATCTGCCACCATGCCCAGCTAATTTTTTTTGGTATTTTTAGTAGAGATGGGGTTTCACCATGTTAGCCAGGATGGTCTTGATCTCCTGACCTCATGATCTGCCCACCTCAGCCTCCCAAAGTGCTGGGATTACAGGCGTGAGCCACCGTGCCTGGCCCAGAATGGTTTATTAAACTGTATGTCAGTGCACGGCCCTTCCTTCCAAGTCAGCATGACCCACCAGGCCCTGTTCCACCTTGCCAGTTCCTTAGCTCCCCTCTTTTCTTCTTCAGTTCCCAGGTATGCTCCCTCTAGCCCAGGGCATCTACTCATGCTGTCCCTGCCCCCTGCAGCTGCCCTTCTTCTTTCTGCTTTAGTCAGTGCCTTAGATTCCTTCTTCAGATCTCAACCCCAGTGTGATTCTCTCAAGTCTAGGTCATGTTCCTTGAATACTTTTCTGCATAGCATTTATTCAGTTTGTAATTATACTCCCATCAGTGTGACTATTTCATTCCTTTTTATAACCCCCAACTAGACCATATATTTTCAAACACTAGAGATGATGCCTGTGTGGCTCATTAAAAAATATTTATAGTTCCTAGCACATAGGGGGTGCTCCCTTTTCCTCAAAGAATTTCCAAAATATTTTAGTATAGTTTTTTATGTTTGGTGTATTTATTAATAGTAGAGTACTTTGAACATTGGAAACTCTGTCAACCAGAATGTTGGATTGACCTTTGTCTGACCAGGCTGTGTAATAGAATTCACTGTTCTTTGTTTAATGTTGACAATGCTGATCAATAACAGTGGGTTAGAATCATGCAGAGAGCAAAGGGAATGAGGAGTTGACATAAAAAGCCCACCAAATTTGTTTTTTTTTTTTTAATTTGAGTCCTTTTACTTCATTCTGGAAGCCACTTGGAATGGATACTTCAAATCAATACAATATTGGATCAAGAAGACTGCACATTTCATCCTAAGAGTGGAATCAGACACTCAGTGCAAAGAAATAGGCTGTGGAAAGTCCTCTCCATGGGGTAACAGGGTTGCCTCGCACTCTGTGCTTCCCTAGAACAGTGAGCTTCTTCCACACACTATTGTTCTTTTTTTTTTTTAGAGACAAGCTCTCACTCTGACACCCAGGCTGGAGTGCGGTGGCACAATAATGGCTCATAGCTCACTGTAGCCTTAACTTCTGGGGCTCAAGCGATCCTCCCACCTCAGCCTCTTGACTGGAGGACCAGAGGTGTGTACCACCATGGCGGCTAATTTTGTTTATTTTTTGTGGAGACAAGGTCTCACTGTGCAGCCCAAGTTGATCTTGAACTCCTGAGCTCAAGCAGTCCTCCTGCCTTGGCCTCCCAAAGTGCTAAAATTATAGGCATGAGCCACCAGGCCCACCCCACACACTATTGTCTGTTATTTTTTTTTTAAAATAATGTTTTTAGAGACGGGGGGGGGGTCTTGCCATGTTGCCCAAGCTGGCCTCGAACTTCTGGTTCAAACAATCCTCCCACCTTAGCCTCCCAAAATACTGGGATCACAGTTTTGAGCCACTATGCCCAGCTGAAATACTTAACAGCAATTCCTTTCCAGCTCCACTGCAACATACCCATGCATAACACCTGTGGTCCTCGAACTTTAGCAGTTACAGGAATCATCTGGAGAGCTTG
This sequence comes from Homo sapiens, assembly GCF_000001405.40. NCBI lineage: Eukaryota > Metazoa > Chordata > Mammalia > Primates > Hominidae > Homo > Homo sapiens. The sequence continues at coordinate 61,410,550 of NC_000003.12, read as the reverse complement.
TTAAAATGCAGATTGCTGAGCCACACCCCTGGAGACTTCAATTGTGCAGTCTAGGGGTTGAGTCTGAGAATTTGCATCTTTTTTTAAAAAATTAATTATTATTATTATACTTTAAGTTCTAGGGTACGTGTGCACAACGTGCAGGTTTGTTACATATGTATACATGTGCCATGTTGGTGTGCTGCACCCATTAACTCGTCATTTAGCATTAGGTATATCTCCTAATGCTATCCCCCAAATTTGTTTTAAAGCAACCTCCCTCCTTCTTTCTCCTTTTCCTTCTTCCTCCCTCACGCACCTTCACTCCCTCCCTCTCTCCCAGCCAGAGAGCAGCTGTTGAATTAAATTATAGGCCTCTTTCCTTTCCAAATAAGAATCAACATATATATATATATATATATATATATTTTTTTTTTTTTAACAACCCTATATTTTTATGGAACAATAAGTTACATGATCTCATCTTTTTACAAGGTAATTATATTAGAAAAACTCTTAAAAGTTTTATATATAGTTGATCTAAATGCCTTTAAAAACATGATGAACTATGGCAGATTTGTTCTTAGAAAGAATAATTGATATCCTGAGGGACCAAATGAAATGTTATGGGAGTCCCTGTCTTCACAGGTGTTATGAAATTCAAAATCAACATTGAGCGTTTGTCTAGACCAGTGGGCAATCTCACTGCTCTCCACCTCCCGACAGCCCTCCCCTTCCTGTCCAGGGACATCTGGCGATGTTTGGAGACTTTTTATTGTCACAAATAGGGGGTAGGGAGCTACTGGCATCCAGTGGGTAAAGGCCTGTGATGAGCAGGACAACTCCCACAACAAAGACCTACCCAGCCCAAATGGCAGTAGTGCCAAGGTTGAGAAACCCTGGTCTATACAAAATAAGTGTTTTGAGATTGTATTAAATTACCGCCAAATAGTTATTTATTATTCCCTTGTTAAATAACAGTTTGTGGAAATTCTTGAATAGTAAGATACATGCCTTCCTTTGTTCATTCTGCCAGCTTTTCTTTACTACTTTATGCCAGGGACTGGGCTAGGCACAACAGATAGATACATGGTTTAAAATACGTGATATTTATCTCTCAGGTGCTTACAGCCAGAGAGACAGACACATAATTTGACATTTAATATATGCGTGTGTTCAGGGCATCCTGGTCACATATACAAAGAACACTTTACCTCATCTGGGATTCAGCAAGACTTTATGGAGGACATGATACACCTGGAATGCATCTTGAAGGTTGGTGAAAGTTAGGCAGGGGAAGAAAGGGCATTCCTGGCAGGAAGACTGGTGCACCAGAGGAACAGATGTGTGAGCCCAGTATCTGCAAGCAGTTTCATGTTACTAGTGTAGCATTAAATGCAAGGAGAGGCAAGAGATAAAGCTGAAAGGATGGATAGGGCAGGTGATGGGGGTCTTGTGTGCAGGTTGAGAAACTAGAGGGAAGGGGAGGCAAGGGTTTTAAGCAGCAGAGCAACATAATCCAACTTGTCTTTTATATAAATAACTCTAGCCACCTTGGAAGTGATGGATTTAAGGGGTCAAGATTGGATGCAGGGGGACCAATTAGCAGGCTATTCCAGTGGCACAGGTAAGAAATAAGAAGTGACTGGATGAAAGCAATGGCAGTAGGATGGAGAGGAGGACTTGGAATGAGGGATATTAATGAGACAGAATCAGCAGGGTGTTGATTGATTGGATGTGAGGGTTGAGGGAGAGGGGGCACTCCCAGATTTCTGGCTTGAACTTCTTTGGATAGAGTGGTATTTATTTTTTATTTTTTTGAGATGGAGTCTTGCTCTGTCGCCCAGGCTGGAGTGCGGTGGTGCGATCTTGACTCACTGCAACCTCCGTCTCCCAGGCTCAAACAATTCTCGTGCGTCAACCTCCTGAGCAGCTGGGATTACACATGGGTGCCACCACGCCCAGCTAATTTTTGTATTTTTAGTAGAGACAGGCTTTCACCATGTTGGCCAGGCTGGTCTCGAACTCCTGGCCTCAAGCATTCCACCCGCTTCATCCTCCCAAAGTGCTGGGATTACAGGTGTGAGCCACCACACCCAGCCCAAAATGGTATTTAAATGCAAGATGGGGTCAGAGTAGAAAAAGCCAGTGATAATTTTGTTGTGGGCACATTAAGTGATACATCAACAGGAAGCACATCTGAAGATGTCGAAAGATCAGGATTAGAAATGTTGATTTGGGATTCTTCAGCACAGAGCGGGAGATAAACTCATGAGAATAATGAAACTGTGCTAGGGCTGCCATGATGAAATAGCACAGGGTTAGTGGCTTAAACAGCAGAAGTGTATTTTCTTTGGAGGCTGGAAGATCAAGGTGCCTGCAGGGTTGGTTTCTTCTGAGGTCTCTCTCCTTGGCCTGCAGACAGCTACCTTCTCTCTTTGTTCTCACAAGGCCTTTTCTTTGTGTGTGAGCATCCCTCATATCCTTTCTCTCTCTCTGTCTCTCTCTCTCTTCTTATAAGAACACCAGTCATATTGGATTAGGTCAGTTAAACGTAATTACCTCCTTAAAGGCTCTATTGCCAAATATAGTCACTGCAATGGACTGAATATTTGTGTCATACCCACCCCCCACCAATTTATATGTTGAAATCCTAACCCACAATGTGATGGTATTTGGAGGTGGAGCCTTTGGAAAGAAATTAAGTCATGAAAGTGGAGCCCTCATGAATGGGATTAGTGCCCTTATAGAAAAGACCCCAGAGAGTGCTCTTGCTCTCTTTCCACAATACAAGGGTTCAAGGAGAAGTTGGCCATCTGCAACCCAGAAGAGGGCTCTCACCAGCGCCTGACCATTCCTGCACCCTGATCTCAGACTTCTAGCCATAACACAAAATGCATAGAGAGGAACAATGACTCCAGGGTAGAGACTCTGATGACCCAAGGGCAGAAGGTTACAAGGTACTAATTATTATGTAATATGTAAATATATGTGTGTGTGTTGGTATCTATATAGCTTATCTCTATTTGTGTGCATGTGTAGTATTTGTTAGATTAAGAAAAATACATAAGACATAGAGAAGAAAAGAAAATGGCTTATAGAAGTCTACTGCTCAGGGCTGGATGCAGTGGCTCATGCCTGTAAGCCCAGCACTTTGGGAAGCTGAGGCAGGTAGATCACTTGAGGCCAGGAGTTCGAGACCAGCCTGGCCGACATGGTGAAACCTCGTCTCTACCAAAAACTACAAAAATTAGCCAGTCGTGGGGGTACATGCCTGTAGTCCCAGCTACTCAGGAGGCTGAGGCACAAGAATTGCTTGAACCCAGGGCAGAGGTTGCAGTGAGCCATGATTGTGCCACTGCACTCCAGCCTAGGTGACAAAGCAAGACTCTGTCTCAAAAAAAAAAAAAAAAAAAAAAGAAAAAGTCTACTGCTCAGATTACTTTTGTTAACATTTAAAAATAATTAAAAGTAAAGTGGTGGCTCATGCCTGTAATCCCAGGACTTTGGGAGGCTCAAGTGGGCAGACATACCTTGAGCTCAGGCACTCAAGAACAGCCTAGGCAACATAATGAGACTTTGTCTCTACAAAAAAAAAAAATACAAAAATTAGTCAAGCATGGTGGCATGAGGCTGTAGTCCCAGCTACTTCGAAGGCTGAGGTGGGAGGATCCCTTGAGCCCAGGAGATAGAGGTTGCTGTGAGCTGAGATCGCACCAGTGCACTCCAGCCTGGGCCACAGAGTGAGACCCTGTTTGAAAGAAAAAAAAGTAAAGCATAGTGTTATGGGTTAAATTGTGTTGCTCAAAAAGATATGTTGAAGTTCTAATGTCTGGATCCTGTGAATGTGACCTTATTTGGGAATAGGGTCTTTACAGATGTAAGCCAGTTAAGATGAGATCATCCTGGAATAGGAAGGGTCGGTCCTAATTCAATGATTGGTGTCTTCATTATAGGGAGGGAAATTTGGACACAGAGAGAGGGATACCATGCAAGGACAGAGACACATAGAAGGAATGTCATGTGACAACAGGGGCAGAAACTGGAGTGATGCATGTACAAACCAAGGGATGCCAAGAATTTTCAGCAAGGACAAGAAGCTAGGAAGAGGCAAGGGGCAGATTCTCCCTCAGAGCCTCCAAAAGGGAACCAACCCTGCCAACAACTTTATTTTGGATTTCTAGCCTCTAGAACTGTGAGAGAATAAATTTCTACTGCTTTGAACCACCCAGTTTTCAATACTTTGCCACGGCAGTCCAAGGAAACTAATACACATATCCATTGTAAGAATACTTGAAAATAGAGTAAGATAGTGTGTTAGTCCATTTTCATGCTGCTGATAAAGACGTATCCGAGACTGGGAAGAAAAAGAGGTTTAATTGGACTTACAGTTCCACATGGCTGGGGAGGCCTCAGAATCACCTCAGAATGGTGGGAGGCCAAAGACACTTCTTACATGGTGGCAGCAAGAGAAAATGAGGAGGAAGCAAAAGCAGAAACCCCTGATAAAAACCATCAGATCTTGTGAGACTTATTCACTACCATGAGAGCAGTATGGGGGAAACCACCCCCATGATTCAAATTATCTCTCACCAGATTCCTCCTACAACACATGGGAATTATGGGAGTACAATTTAAGATGAGGTTTGGGTGGGAACACAGAGCCAAACCACATTAGATAGCAAATTATAAGTCAGGATGTTTTTAAAATTTCATTAGATATTTTGGAAATCTTTCTACATCAACACGTAGAGAAATTCCTTTCTTTTAAGTTGCTGCCCAGTGGGAATATCAATGTTTGGTGGTTGGGCAGAGCAGAAGGAGAAGAAACCTTCAGAGAGATAGGAGGATAATTAGCCATGAGCAGCATCTTGGAAAGGGAAAGTATCAAGAAGTCAGCTGGGTTCAGTGGAGAAGATTGAAGGAAGATCCAGGAAAATCAGGACTGAAAAAATTTTTTTTATTGGCACTGTGAAAGTCCTAGGCCGTCAATGGAAGAACGTTTCCATGGAATAAGGAACTAGAGTAGCAGCAGCTAATACTAATTAAATTATTATTGTTCTCAGGTGTCCCTTCTCTGAAACAGAGCAAAATGATGGACAGGACAAAATAATCACAGGTGAGTGTGAGGTACAATAGTAGAACAGAAGTAAGAAATAATTATATAAGGCATAAAAGGGCAACATTGTATTTTAATGTAGCTTCAGAAGTCAGTATTGGGCTCTGTCTGTAAAGGTCATTAGTAAAGGTCTCAGAAAATAAGGCTTTTAGACTAGTATATCTCACCTCTCATAAAGTTACCTGTTGTCAAGTTCATATATACAGTTTTGTAACTGTATAAATATGCTGATATGGCTTGGCTCTCTGTCTCTACCCAAATCTAGCCTTGAATTGTAAGTCCCATAATCACCAAGGGTGGGACCAGGTGGAGGTGATTGGATCACGGGGGTGGTTTCCCCCATGCTGCTGTTCTCATGATAATGAGTGAGTCTCACAAGATCTGATGGTTTTATAAGCATCTGGCGTTTCCCCTGCTTGCACTCACTCCGTCCTGCCACCCTGTGAAGAAGGTGCCTGCTTCTCCTTTGCCTTCCACCATAGTTGTAAGTTTCCTGAGGCCTCTGAAGCCATGCAGAACTGTGAGTCAATTAAATCTCTTTCCTTTATGAATTACCCAGTCTGGGGTATTTCTTCATAGCAATGTGAGAACAGAATAATACATATGCCCTCCTAACATTTACTGAGAATTTATTGCATGCTGTGCACCGTACCCTAAGCATATCTCGTTTAATTCTCACAACTACCATCTGAGGAAGGTCCTTAGTACCTTCATTTTACGAATCAGGAAACTAAGGCTCATGTAAATTACTTTTCTTAAGGTCACTGGGAAAGGGGAGGTGCTGCTGAGTACACGTTTACTTCCAGGCTCATGTGGTTCCAGAAGCCAGGCTCTTAATCACTAGGCCATAAAGCATAGTGGGGGTAGAGAGTGGCGAGGAGATGGCTTTCCCCTCTCCTTGTTGAACAGCAAATTGTTGGTAAATGGAACCCAATGCTAGCTGCACTATGGACCCCAAACAGTACTGCCTAGCTAGACTGAGCTGATTGGGGAAAAGGGGAGAAAGAATACCTTCTGGCCAGATTTGATCAGCTTCAGGTAAAACAATTGAAAGAGGCATCCTGGAATACTGTCAAATTTAAGTTTGTGTGTCTTATTATGTAATATTACATGACATTCTTATTGCCTCAAAAAAAAGTAAGCCATCAGTGGAAGAAATGCATTTGTTCCTAAGACCCAGTATAGACAGACTCTTAGCCATGTTAGCCCAAAAGATCTGAACTTGGTGAGAGTGGTGGGAGTTCAGAACCTAGTGGGCCCTGGAGCAGAGACTCCTTGATACAGCAGTTCCCTCTGTTCTACAAGCCAAGGTGAAATGCTTCTTGATACCTGTTTATTTAAAAAATATATGTATACACAGTATTTGTATATACATATATATATACTATGTACATATTCATATATACAAGTATACACACATGTGTATGTAGAACATCAAGCATATAGAAAGGTAAAATGAATAAAATAGCAAATACTTATGTCAGGGATGATATATAAAATGTTTAACAGATACCAGTCATCAGACAGTCAGAAGAATGTTAGCCAAAATAAGTGCATGGGCTACACTGATAAACAGAGCTGTCTGTGAGCCCTGCCCACCCCACTTCACCCCTAGAGCAATGTTTCTATCCACTGTAATAGCAGAGCAGACGTTGAGATTAAGATAGTATTTTTATATGCAAACTTCTTTACTCTGCTTCGTCCATTATTAGCATTCAGTAAATGTTTTTTATTTCTATGTCTAATAAGGCATGAAATAAATAATACATATATATTAGTTTTAAATTAAATAGAAACACAAACTCTGCCTACAGAGGGCAATTTCTAATAATATCATTGTCTCACCTAAGCTGTTCCTATCCTCTCCTTTTGATTCTTGATCTTCTAGAGGACAGAGAAAGGGTTAAATATAAGAAACAGTTAAGAAGGGGGCTATGGAAATGACAGGCCAGAGCTTTGGTTGCACATAGTCATTGGGTCACCTCTTAGAGTTATCCCCCATCCTGGCAAGGTCAAAAGTGGTTTGTCTGGACATCCTCATTTCAATATAATAAAAGATATGTGTTTATTGCTAATTTGTCTGGTAAAATATTTATAAGGGAAATCTGTGTCCCAAGGTAAGAAAGAGTGTTCCTGGCCCTCGTAATACATCCTGGTTAATTCACTTCTCCAATTCTTGTGAGTCACCAGATATAGCCACAATACAAGTAATACTTCCTTCTGGATCCATGAACCCTATCATAAAATAGTAGTGGTAAGAGTGTTAGATAAATCTCGGAGATAATGAAACCTGCCTTACTTACCTCATAGGTTTCTTGGGAGGATAAAATGAAATAGTGGGATGTGAGCATGTTTTTAAAAAGCAAAAAGTGTTATAAAATTCAAGGTAGTATTTTTTTGTGCCTCGGTTGCAAAATTGTTTTCCATTATATTCATTGTTTATCACTTCACCACGTATATGCATATGAAAAAAGTATTCATAGTTCTCTTTTCTTATCCTCAAGGAATTGGAATTCTTTTTCTCTTCCTCTATGAAGGTAGTATCACCTAGATTTTAATAAAATTCTCGATTCTTCATTTATTGTTTCTACCACCTTTCAGAGTGAGTTTAAGATAAGTACATAGCTCACTCTCTGAGACCATGTAATCTTTTGAACAAATCTAAACAGCACAAATGAAAGGATCTCTCTGGGAGTAACATCTCCAGTCCACTTTCAACACCTGTGGATCAATCGTTTGGTAAATTAACACTCTGTTATACCAACATATTATGTCACCCACATGGATAATAACATACTTGCACTTCATTTATAGATGTCTCCCTTCTTTATCTGCAATGTAGGCTGTACCGATTCTACACTCCCCATTCAAATGTATCTTGATAGTCTTTCTTCTGAGGCATCATTAATATTTTAGCATAGCCAGTAATTTCTTTAACTCTAATAGCTATCCATTTGTAAAAGGAAGATTGCAGAAATAATGTAATAATACATATTTAAATGGTTTTCATTTTTGAACAATGCATAGCTTTTTATAAATAAAACCAAAGACATGAAGCTAGAAATAAAATGAATATGTGGGCTGTATATATTTGTCTCTGAATGCTACTCGGATAAGAAATAAGTCCCTAGATGAAAATAATGTGAATCATTTCAAATCTAACAGCCTCATATTAAAATAAAATTGCATTGATGTATTTGTAAAATCCATGAAGAATTCTATAAGGAACTTTTGATCTTGGCAGGATCTAGGGGTAGGAATACAGGCCAAAAGAGGGAATATTTGTGTTTTTTATCCAGTAGATTCTGCAACATAGTCACATTTAATTTACTAATAAAGGAGGTATCATATTTTCAGACTAAAGTATTAAGGATGAAATTTGAAGACCAAACTAATTGCATTTCCTTACGTGGACTATCAGACCTACAAGAGTACTTATCATCCAGTCTAGGAATAGATCTTTTTATACCCCATTTGTATTGCTAATTAGTCCCTGAACTCCTTTTTGCTAAGCCTCCACATGACCTCAGAGTCCTCAACACAGTGCTCTAGGCAGCAATTAATAGACATGCAGAGGTGACATACAAGTGAACTCTTTATTAATCCTTCTATAGACCATTTCAAATAATCATCTTTAATTTATTTCAAAAATATGTCACAAATATTTCTCACACACTATTATGTTATAGACATTGGGCATACACCCAAATGGAAGAGATCTGAATCCTGCCCTCAAAAGACTTAACAGTTTAGAGAAGGAAAGAGAGAAAGTAACAGATGATTAAACATAGTGTACTAAAAGCAAAGATGGGGATATGCATAGGCTACATTTAGAAGGGCCTCATAACACAGCCTGGGGGCTGGACCTGATGTTTTTCTTAATAGATGATGACTGCCTTTGTCTTGAATAACAGGGAGGAGTTATCCAGGAAAGGCTGGGATATTCTAGACAAGCAGTCATCAACTTGGTGTTTTGTTTTGTTTTTGATCTCAGACCCTTTTGCACTCTTGAGGGTTGTTAAGGATCTCAAAAAGTGAAACACTGCTGGGCGTGATGGCTCGTGCCTGTAATCCTAGCACTTTGGGAGGCCGAGGTGAGTGGATTACTTGAGGTCAGGAGTTCGAGACCAGCCTTGCCAACATGTTGAAACCCCATCTCTACTAAAAATACAAAATTAACCAGGCATGGTTGTGCACACCTGTAATCCCAGCTACTCAGGAGGCTGAGGCAGGAGAATCACCTGAGCCCAGAAGGTGGAGGTTACAGTGAGCCAAGATCATACCATTGCACTCCAGCCTGGGCAACAAAGCAGGACTCTGTCTCAAAAAAAAAAAAAAGGAAAAAAGGAAAAAAGGAAAAAAAAGTGAAACACGGAATTACCATACGACCCAGAAATTCCACTTGTAGGTATATATTCCAAAGAATTGAGAGTACAAACTCAAATAGATACTTGTACATCAATATTCACAAAGCATTAATCACAAAAATATCCATCAACAGATCAATGGATCAACAAAATGGAGCATAAACATGCAATGGAGTATTTCCAGCCTTTAAAAGGAATGAAATCCTGATACATGTGACAACAGTGGATGAATCTTGAAAACATTATGCTCAGTGAAATAACTCAGACACAAAAGGACAAATATTGTATGATTCCACTTATATGAGGACATTTATATTGTACCTCATATGAGGCACAATAAATATTGTATGATTTCACTTATTTGAGTAAAATGGGTAGAGACAGAAAGTAGAATAGAGGTTACCAGAGGCTGGAAGGAGGGAGAAATGGGGAGTTACTGCTTAATGGGTATAGAGCTTCAGCTTGAGATGATTTAAAAGTTCTGGAAGTGGATAGTGGTGATGGTTGCAAAACACTGCAAATGGACTTAATGCCGTTGAACTGTACACCTAAAAATGGTTAAAAGAGTAAATTTTATGTTACGTGTGTTTTATGACAATTTTTAAAAAAGTAATTGAGGACCCCAAAGATTTTTTGCTTATTGAGTTATATCTATCTGTATTTGCTGATTTCAAAAGTAAAATTGAAAAAGTAAAAAATATTTATTATTACATTTTAAAATAAAACAACAAACCTGTTGCATGTTAACATAAATAATACTTTTGTGAAAATAATTATATTTTATAAAACAAGTACATAATGAAAAGAGTGGTATTACTTTATATTTTTGCAAATCTCTTTAATGTCTAGGCTTGATAAAAGACAACTGAATTCTGCTATCTGCTTCTACATTCAATTTATTATGATACATTGTTTTTGTGGAAATATAAGAAAATCTAGCCTCACAGATTTACATAGTTGAAAATAAAGGCCTCTTCAGATAATTGTGGAAATTCTTTTCTGATATTATATCAGAACTGGACAAGTGGCAGTTTTTTAAAAATAATACTTTTTTCTGGCGTTATTGAGGCACAATTTACAAATGAAAATTGTATATATTGAAGACATACAACATGACGATTTGGTATGCATTGTGAAATGATTACCACAGTCGAATTAACATGTCCATCACCTCACATAGTAACTATTTTTTTGTGTGTGTGGTGGTGACACTAGAGATCTATTCTCAGCAAATTTCAGGTTTACAATACAGTACTATTAACTATTAACTAGAGTACATCCTGTACTCTAGAATCCCAGAAATTACTCATCTTATAAGCAAAAGTTTGTACCCTTTGATCAACATCTCAGCATTCCCCCACTCCTAGCCCCTGGCAATCACCCTTCTACTCTCTCTCTGAGTTCCAATTATTACTGTATTTTGAATTTTACCAGTAAAAATGTTGTGGATCTTTATTTTTTCTCTAGTTTTATAAATACCTACATAGTAGCCTCAATTTTGCTTCTTGACTTGCAACACCAGAAATATGTACTATCTAGCCCTTTGCAGCAAAAACTTGCCAGCCCTGTTCTTTTCTCTTCTTTTCCTTTCTTTTCTTTTCTTTCTTTTCTTTCTTTCTTTTTTTTTGTTTTATCTTAACAAACATGCTTTTCTCTTTTATTTTATTTTATTTTATTATTATTATACTTTAAGTTTTACGGTACATGTGCACAACGTGCAGGTTAGTTACATATGTATACATGTGCCATGTTGGTGTGCTGCACCCATTAACTCGTCATTTAGCATTAGGTATATCTCCTAATGCTATCCCTCCCCCCTCCCCCCACCCCACAACAGTCCCCGGTGTGTGATGTTCCCCTTCCTGTGTCCATGTGTTCTCATTGTTCAATTCCCACCTATGAGTGAGAACATGTGGTGTTTGGTTTTTTGTCCTTGTGATAGTTTGCTGAGAATGACGGTTTCCAGCTTCATCCATGTCCCTACAAAGGACATGAACTCATCATTTTTTATGGCTGCATAGTATTCCATGGTGTATATGTGCCACATTTTCTTAATCCAGTCTCTCATTGTTGGACATTTGGGTCGGTTCCAAGTCTTTGCTATTGTGAATAGTGCCACAGTAAACATACATGTGCATGTGTCTTCATAGCAGCATGATTTATAATCCTTTGGGTATATACCCAGTAATGGGATGGCTGGGTCAAATGGTATTTCTAGTTCTAGATCCCTGAGGAATCGCCACACCGACTTCCACAATGGTTGAACTAGTTTACAGTTCCACCAACAGTGTAAAAGTGTTCCTATTTCTCCACATCCTCTCCAGCACCTGTTGTTTCCTGACTTTTTAATGACCGCCATTCTAACTGGTGTGAGATGGTATCTCATTGTGGTTTTGATTTGCATTTCTCCGATGGCCAGTGATGATGAGCATTTTTTCATGTGTTTTTTGGCTGCATAAGTGTCTTCTTTTGAGAAGTGTCTGTTCATATCCTTCGCCCGCTTTTTGATGGGGTTGTTTTTTCTTGTAAATTTGTTTGAGTTCATTGTAGATTCTGGATGTTAGCCCTTTGTCAGATGAGTAGGTTGCAAAAATTTTCTCCCATTTTGTAGGTTGCCTGTTCACTGTGATGGTAGTTTCTTTTGCTGTGCAGAAGTGCTTTAGTTCAATTAGACCCCATTTGTCAATTTTGGCTTTTGTTGCCATTGCTTTTGGTGTTTTAGACATGAAGTCCTTGCCCATGTCTATGTCCTGAATGGTATTGCCTAGGTTTTCTTCTAGGGTTTTTTATGGTTTTAGGTCTAACATGTAAGTCTTTAATCCATTTTGAATTAATTTTTGTATAAGGTGTAAGGAAGGGATCCAGTTTCAGCTTTCTACATATGGCTAGCCAGTTTTCCCAGCACCATTTATTAAATAGGGAATCCTTTCCCCATTTCTTGTTTTTGTTAGGTTTGTCAAAGTTCAGATAGTTGTAGATATACGGCATTATTTCTGAGGGCTCTGTTCTGTTCCATTGGTGTATATCTCTGTTTTGGTACCAGTACCATGCTGTTTTGGTTACTGTAGCCTTGTAGTATAGTTTGAAGTCAGGTAGCATGATGCCTCCAGCTTTGTTCTTTTGGCTTAGGATTGACTTGGCAATGTGGGCTCTTTTTTGGTTCCATATGAACTTTAAAGTAGTTTTTTCCAATTCTGTGAAGAAAGTCATTGGTAGCTTGATGGGGATGGCATTGAATCTATAAATTACCTTGGGCAGTATGGCCATTTTCACGATATTGATTCTTCCTACCCATGAGCATGGAATGTTCTTCCATTTGTTTGTATCCTCTTTTATTTCGTTGAGCAGTGGTTTGTAGTTCTCCTTGAAGAGGTCCTTCCCATCTCTTGTAAGTTGGATTCCTAGGTATTTTATTCTCTTTGAAGCAATTGTGAATGGGAGTTCACTCATGATTTGGCTCTGTGTTTGTCTGTTATTGGTGTATAGGAATGCTTGTGATTTTTATACATTGATTTTGTATCCTGAGACTTTGCTGAAGTTGCTTATCAGCTTAAGGAGATTTTGGGCTGAGACGATGGGGTTTTCTAGATATACAATCATGTCATCTGCAAACAGGGACAATTTGACTTCCTCTTTTCGTAATTGAATGCCCTTTATTTCCTTCTCCTGCCTGATTGCCCTGGCCAGAACTTCCAACACTGTGTTGAATAGGAGTGGTGAGAGAGGGCATCCCTGTCTTGTGCCAGTTTTCAAAGGGAATGCTTCCAGTTTTTGTCCATTCAGTATGATATTGGCTGTGGGTTTGTCATAGATAGCTCTTACTATTTTGAGATATGTCCCATCAATACCTAATTTATTGAGAGTTTTTAGCATGAAGGTTGTTGAATTTTGTCAAAGGCCTTTTCTGCATCTATTGAGATAATCATGTGGTTTTTGTCTTTGGTTCTGTTTATATGCTGGATTACGTTTATTGATTTGCATATGTTGAACCAGCTTTGCATCCCAGAGATGAAACCCACTTGATCATGGTGGATAAGCTTTTTGATGTGCTGCTGGATTCGGTTTGCCAGTATTTTATTGAGGATTTTTGCATCAATGTTCATCAAGGATATTGGTCTAAAATTCTCTTTTTTTGTTGTGTCTCTGCCAGGCTTTGGTATCAGGATGATGCTGGCCTCATAAAGTGAATCAGGGAGGATTCCCTCTTTTTCTATTGATTTGAATAGTTTCAGAAGGAATGGTACCAGCTCCTCTTTGTACCTCTGGTAGAATTCAGCTGTGAATCCATCTGGTCCTGGACTTTTTTTGGTTGGTAAGCTATTAATTTTTGTCTCAATTTCAGAGCCTGTTATTGGTCTATTCAGAGATTCAGCTTCTTCCTGGTTTAGTCTTGGGAGGGTGTATGTGTCGAGGAATTTGTCCATTTCTTCTAGATTTTCTAGTTTATTTGCGTAGAGGTGTTTATAGTGTTCTCTGATGGTAGTTTGTATTTCTGTGGGATTGGTGATGATATCCCCTTTTTCATTATTTATTGTGTCTATTTGATTCTTCTCTCTTTTCTTTTTTAGTAGTCTTGCTAGCGGTCTATCAATTTTGTTGATCTTTTCAAAAAAACCAGCTCCTGGATTCATTGATTTTTTGAAGGGTTTTTTGTGTCTCTATTTCCTTCAGTTCTGCTCTCATGTTAGTTATTTCTTGCCTTCTGCTAGCTTTTGAATGTGTTTGCTCTTGCTTTTCTAGTTCTTTTAATTGTGATGTTAGGGTGTCAACTTTTGATCTTTCCTGCTTTCTCTTGTGGGCATTTAGTGCTATAAATTTCCCTCTACACACTGCTTTGAATGTGTCCCAGAGATTCTGGTATGTTGTGTCTTTGTTCTCATTGGTTTCAAAGAACATCTTTATTTCTGCCTTCATTTCGTTATATACCCAGTAGTCATTCAGGAGCAGGTTGTTCAGTTTCCATGTAGTTGAGTGGTTTTGAGTGAGTTTCTTAATCCTGAGTTCTAGTTTGATTGCAGTGTGATCTGAGAGACAGTTTGTTATAATTTCTATTCTTTTACATTTGCTGAGGAGAGCTTTACTTCCAACTATGTGGTCAATTTTGGAATAAGTACAATGTGGTGCTGAGAAGAATGTATATTCTGTTGATTTGGGATGGAGAGTTCTGTAGATGTCTATTAGGTCCGCTTGGTGCAGAGCTGAGTTCAATACCTGCATATCCTTGTTAACTTTCTGTCTCATTGATCTGTCTAATGTTGACAGTGGGGTGTTAAAGTCTCCCATTCTTATTGTGTGGGAGTCTAAGTCTCTTTGTAGGTCACTCAGGACTTGCTTTATGAATCTGGGTGCTCCTGTATTGGGTGCATATATGTTTAGGATAGTTAGCTCTTCTTGTTGAATTGATCCCATTACCATTATGTAATGGCCTTCTTTGTCTCTTTTGATCTTTGTTGGTTTAAAGTCTGTTTTATCCGAGACTAGGATTGCAACCCCTGCCTTTTCTTTGTTTTCCATTTGCTTGGTAGCTCTTCCTCCATCCCTTTATTTTGAGCCTATGTGTGTCTCTGCAGGTGAGATGGGTCTCCTGAATTGAGCACACTGATGGGTCTTGACTCTTTATCCAATTTGCCAGTCTGTGTCTTTTAATTGGAGAATTTAGCCCATTTACATTTAAGGTTAATATTATTATGTGTGAATTTGATCCTGTCATTATGATATTAGCTGGTTATTTTGCTCGTTAGTTGATGCAGTTTCTTCCTAGCATCAATGGTGTTTGCAATTTGGCATGATTTTGCAGTGGCTGGTACCGGTTGCTCCTTTCCATGTTTAGTGCTTCCTTCAGGAGCCCTTTTAGGGCAGGCCTGGTGATGACAAAATCTCTCAGCATTTGCTTGTCTGTAAAGGATTTTATTTCTCCTTCACTTATGAAGCTTAGTTTGGCTGGATATGAAATTCTGGGTTGAAAATTCTTTTCTTTAAGAATGTTTACGTTGCAGGAAGGCTTCTGGGAGGAAGTGAAACAAAGGTGTAGACATGTAGAGTCTTGTCAAGGCAGAAGGGGGACAGTGGTTCCAGCTGCCACCATGCGTTTAGGAAATCACTTCTGGTTCTATAGGACCAGATCTGGCACACTGGTTGCTGGGGGTGGCTCGGGGGACTGGGAGGTCCAGGCTTGGGAAGGGCCTCGGACCCGAGACCTTAAGGAGTCACTGAAAGCCCACTTTAGGATGTTGGTGAAATTTGCATTTTTACTTTATTTTTTATTTTTGAGATGGAGTCTCATTCTGTCACCCAGGCTGAAGTGCGGTGGTGCAGTCTTGCTCATTGCAACCTCCACCTCCTGGGTTCAAGCGATTCTCCTGCCTAGCCTCCTGAGTAGCTGGACTTATGGATGTGCTCCAGTACGCCCGGCTAATTTTTGTATTTGTAGCAGAGACGAGGTTTCACCGTGTTGGCCAGGCTGGTCTGAAACTCCTGGCCTCAAGTGATCCTCTTGCCTCGGCCTCCCAAAGGGCTGGGATTACAAAGGTCTGGAATTACTCCAGCGCAGTGGCTCACTGCTGGAGATTTGCATTTTAGAAAGAGCCCTCTGGCTGCAAAGTCCTGGGGCCACTCTCTGGAGAAGGCATGAAAGAATGACGCCCTCTCCCTCTCCCTCTCCCTCTCGCTCTCCCCCTCCCCCTCCCCCTCCTTTTCCCCCTCCCTCTTTGCACGGTCTCCCTCTGATGCGGAGCCGAGGCTGGACTGTACTGCCGACATCTCGACTCACTGCAACCTCCCTGCCTGATTCTCCTGCCTCAGCCTGCCGAGTGCCTGGGATTGCAGGCGCGCGCCACCACGCCTGACTGGTTTTCATATTTTTTGGTGGAGATGGGGTTTCGCCATGTTGGCCGGGCTGGTCTCCAGCTCCTGACCGCAAGTGATCTGCCAGCCTCGGCCTCCCGAGGTGCCGGGATTGCAGATGGAATCTCGCTCACTCAGTGCTCAATGTTGCCCAGGCTGAAGTGCAGTGGCATGATCTCGGCTCGCTACAACCTCCACCTCCCAGCCGCCTGCCTTGGCCTCCCAAAGTGCCGAGATTGCAGCCTCTGCCAGGCTGCCACCCTGTCTAGGAAGTGAGGAGAGTCTCTGCCTGGCCGCCCATCCTCTGGGATGTGAGGAGCCCTTCTGCCCAGCCGCCCAGTCTGGGAAATGAGGAGCGCCTCTAGGCGCTCACCTCCCATCTAGGAAGTGAGGAGCGTCTCTGCCCGGCTGCCCATGGTCTGGGATGTGGGGAGTGCCTCTGCCCCGCCGCACTGTCTGAGATGTGAAGAGCGCCTCTGCCCGGCGGTGACCCCATCTGGGAACTGAGTAGTGTCTCTGCCCTGCCGCCACCCCGTCTGGGAGGTGAGGAGCGTCTCTGACCAGCCGCCCCGTCTGAGAAGTGAGGAGCCCCTCCGCCCAGCAGCCGCCCCGTCTGGGAAGTGAGGAGCCCCTCTGCCTGGCAGCCGCCCAGTGCAGGAGGTGGGGGGCAGCCCCTGCCCAGCCAGCCGCCCCATCTGGGTGGTGGGGGGCGCCTCTGCCTGGCTGCCCCGTCTGGGAAGTGAGGAGCCCCTCTGCCCGGCTGCCACCCTGTCTGGGAGGTGTACCCAACAGCTCATTGAGAACGGGCCATGATGACGATGGTGGTTTTGTCGAATAGAAAAGGGGGAAATGTGGGGAAAAGAAAGAGAGATCAGATTGTTACTGTGTCTGTGTAGAAAGAAATAGACGTAGGAGACTCCATTTTGTTCTGTACCAAGAAAAATTCTTCTGCCTTGGGATGCTGTTAATCTATAACCTTACCCCCAACCCTGTGCTCTCTGAAACATGTGCTGTGTCCACTAAGGGTTAAATGTATTAAAGGCGGTGCAAGATGTGCTTTGTTAAACAGATGCTTGAAGGCAGCGTGCTCCTTAAGAGTCATCACCACTCCCTAATCTCAAGTACCCAGGGACACAAACACTGCGGAAGGCGGCAGGGCCCTCTGCCTAGGTAAACCAGAGACCTTTGTTCACATGTTTATCTGCTGACCTTCCCTCCACTATTGTCCTATGACCCTGCCAAATCCCCCTCTCCGAGAAACACCCAAGAATGATCGATAAATACTAAAAAAATTAAAAAAAAAAATGTTGAATATTGGCCCCCACTCTCTTCTGGCTTGTACAGTTTCTGCCGAGAGATCAGCTGTTAGTCTGATGGGCTTCTCTTTTTGGGTAATGCAACCTTTCTCTCTGGCTGCCCTTAACATTTTTTCCTTCATTTCAACTTTGGTGAATCTGACAATTATGTGTTTTGGAGTTGCCCTTCTCTAGGAGTATCTTTGTGGCGTTCTCTGTATTTCCTGAATTTGAATGTTGGCCTGCCTTGCTAGATTGGGGAAGTTCTCCTGGATAATATCCTGCAGAGTGTTTTCCAACCTGGTTCCATTCTCCCCATCACTTTCAGGTACACCAATCAGACGTATATTTGGTCTTTTCACATAGTCCCACATTTCTTGGAGGCTTTGTTCATTTCTTTTTATTCTTTTTTCTCTAAACGTCTCTTCTCACTTCATTTCATTCATTTCGTCTTCCATCGCTGATACCCTTTCTTCCAGTTGATCGCATCAGCTACTAAGGCTTGTGCATTCGTCACGTAGTTCTGGTGCTATGGTTTTCAGCTCCATCAAGTCCTTTAAGGACTTCTCTGCATTGGTTATTCTAGTTAGCCATTTGTCTAATTTTTTTTAAGGTTTTTAACTTCTTTGCCATGGGTTCAAACTTCCTCCTTTAGCTCGGAGTAGTTTGATCATCTGAAGCCTTCTTCTCTCAACTCGTCAAAGTCATTCTCCGTTCAGCTTTGTTCCGTTGCTGGTGAGGAGCTGCGTTCCTTTGGAGGAGGAGAGGCACTCTGATTTTTAGAGTTTCCAATTTTTCTGCTCTGTTTTTTCCCCATCTTTGTGGTTTTATCTACCTTTGGTCTTTGATGATGGTGATGTACAGATGGGTTTTTGGTGTGGGTGTCCTTTCTGTTTGTTAGTTTTCCTTCTAACAGTCAGGACCCTCAGCTGCAGGTCTGTTGGAGTTTGCTGGACGTCCACTCCAGACCCTGTTTGCCTGGGTATCAGCAGCGGTGGCTGCAGAACAGCGGATATTGGTGAACCGCAAATGCTGCTGCCTGATCATTCCCCTGGAAGTTTTGTCTCAGAGGAGTACCCGGCCGTGTGAGGTGTCAGTCAGCCCCTATTTGGGGGTGCCTCCCAGTTAGGCTACTCAGGGGTCAGGGACCCACTTGAGGAGGCAATCTGCCTGTTCTCAGATCTCAAGCTGCCTGCTGGGAGAACAACTACTCTCTTCAAAGCTGTCAGACAGGGACATTTAAGTCTGCAGAGGTTTTTGCTGCCTTTTGTTTGTCTGTGCCCTGCCCCCAGAGGTGGAGACTACAGAGGCAGGCAGGCCTCCTTGAGCTGCGGTGGGCTCCACCAAGTTTGAGCTTCCCGGCCGCTTTGTTTACCTACTGAAGCCTCGGCTATGGCAGGCGCCCCTCCTCCAGCCTCGCTGCCGCCTTGCAGTTAGATCTCAGACTGCTGTGCTATTAATGAGCGAGGCTCCGTGGGTGTAGGACTCTCTGAGCAAGGCACAGGATATAATCTCCTGGTGTGCCATTTGTTAAGCCTGTTGCAAAAATGCAGTATTAGGGTGGGAGTGACCCGATTTTCCAGGTGCCGTCTGTCACCCCTTTCTTTGACTAGGAAAGGGAATTCCCTGACCCCTTGGGCTTCCTGGGTGAGGCGATGCCTTGCCCTGCTTCAGCTCATGCATGGTTTGCTGCACCCACTGTCCTCCACCTACTGTCCGGCACTCCCCAGTGAGATGAACCCGGTACCTCAGTTGGAAATGCAGAAGTCACCCATCTTCTGAGTTGCTCATGCTGGGAGCTGTAGACTGGAGCTGTTCCTATTCGGCCATCTTGGCTCCACCCCCAAGTGGCAGTTTTTTAAGGGTTTGTATCACTGTGGCATCTGAAACATATTAATTAAGTATGCTGTTAAATTACAATCCATTGATCTGCCTTGCACTTTGAATGGATTTTTTTACTTACAGATAATTTTGCAACATTGTGCATTGAGTATTTGGGAAATCGTAGATCTTTGACTTTTGCAGGTCTTCCTAACGTTGACATATTTCATTGAATAATAAAAAAAATCACATATATAAACATTAACCCCAATCTTATCAGAAGAGTTTTTAAGTACTGGAAATTGTTAAGCTCACAGTAGTGAATATGATTTTTCAAAAATTCAAGTACTAGAACACTTGAATTCTACCACTGGCAACAGAAACTGTCAGTTGTTTTGAAGAGCTAATTTTGTTCACTTTAAAGAAAAGTTTTAACAAAATATCTGCCAAACACCCAAGTCCAAATAACCATACTTTATTTTGTTCCATGAGAAAAGCACATAGTTCATCTTGCAACTCAAACCTCCACACAAATGCTTCCCACCCTGGGACGTCCATTGGATGTTGTTGCACAACATACATACTTTATACGTATTTCCCATATTGTCACACAGAATGTTAAGAAGATATGTATTCAAGGGTCAAGATTTAGTAAAACTAATCATTTATAGTCCTTCAGCAAAGACATTCATTTTTCTTTTTCTTTGGTAGCTGCAATCGGCAAAGACATTCTTAAGTCAAACTGGCATTTAAAAAAACCCTGGAATTACATGACAGTGAAGAATACAACAACTTTGAGTACAGCTTGGTGTCATAGCCTTGATTCATGCTGTGGCACAAATAGCTTTTCCTACCTCTGCTGTTGCACCATTAGTGCCCATGTCAGCACAGTGAAAAAGCAGATATCTTAGTATTATGAAAATCTTTTTGATCTTATGGACTACCAGGGGTCTGCAGACTTTGAGAACCACTCTTCTAGTCAGAGGGAGATACATATAAAGGCCAGAAGGAGACAAAGAGATTAACTGAAGTCATAAGAGTGGCCACAACTTATATTTATTCAATTAAGTAATTAAAGTATCTACCATGTTCCAGGTATTGCTGTAGCCCTTGCGCATACAGTGGTGAACAAAACTAGTCATCTCTTTCTCTTTCTATATTTGCCTTTTCTATTGTAGTAAAATATCTATGACATAACCTTTACCATTCC
The DNA here is from genome assembly GCF_000001405.40 of Homo sapiens. Lineage (NCBI taxonomy): Eukaryota > Metazoa > Chordata > Mammalia > Primates > Hominidae > Homo > Homo sapiens. The sequence goes on along the minus strand of NC_000003.12, from coordinate 61,389,916 downwards.
ACCATTTTTTTAAGTGTACAGTTCAGTGGCACTTTGTTTAGTTTTCATTTCTTTCTTTCTTTTAATTTTTTTTTGTAAAGATGGTGTCTTGCTATGTTGCCCAGGCTGGTCTCAAACTTCTGTCCTCAAGCAATTCTCTCACCTTGGCCTCCCAAAATGTTGGGATTGCAGGTGTGAGCCACTGCACCCAACCACTTTGTATACTCTTTATTCAAGTCTTTTTCAGATATTTTCACTCAGTCTGGGGCTTGCCCTTTTAATTTCTTTCCAGGGTCTTTTGAAGAGCTGTTGTTTTAAATTTTATTATAGTCCAATTTGTTAATTTTAAATTGTGACTAATCCTGTTTTGTCTTGTCTAAGAAATTTTTGTCTACCTCAAGGTTGTGAAGGTATTCTATATTTTCTTGTAGGAGTATCAGAATTTAGTTTTATGTTTAAGTTTATGATTCATTTCAAGTAAATTTTTGTGTATGATGTGACATAGAAGCTGAGTTTTGTTTCTTTTTTCCATATAATATATGTTTGATCCAGGAAAATTTGTTGGAAAAAAAAATTCTTTCCCCATTTAATTATTTTGTCACATTTGTCTTAATTACTGTAGTTTTATAGTAAGTCTCAAAATTAGTCAATATAGCCTTCCAATTTAGCTTTTCTTTCTTTTTACCTTTTTTAAAAAGATTGTTTTGGTTACTCTAAACCCTTTTGAATTTCAAATACATTTTATTTATTCATTTATATTATTATTTTTTTGAGATGGAAGTCTCACTCTGTCGCCCAGACTGGAGTGCAGTGGGGCGATTTAAGCTCATTGAAACCCCTGTCTCCTGGGTTCAAGCAATTCTTGTGCCTCAGCCTCCTGAGTAGCTGGGATTACAAGCGTGTGTACCACATGTGGCCATTTTTTTGTAGAGACGGGGGTCTCATCATGTTGCCCAGGCTGGTCTTGAACTCCTGGCCTCAAGTGATCCACCTGCCACGGCTTCCCAAAGTGCTGGGATTACAGGCATGAGCCACCACTCCTGGCACTAAATACATTTTATAATTACTGTGTGAATTTCTACAGAAAAAAATCTGGATAGGATTTTGATAGGATTTGTGCTGAATCTGTAGATTCATTTGAAGATGGTATGTCTCTCCATTTATTTATGTTTTCTTTAATTTGTCTCAGCTGAGTTGTGTTTTCAGTGTAAAGAATCTCCTTTTTGTCAAAATTAATTCCTCAGTGTATATTTTTGATGTTATTATAAACATTTCAAAATCTCATTTTCTGATTATTTGTTGCTAGTATAAATGCAATTAATTTTTGTATATTGACTTTGTGTCCTGCAGTCCTACTAAATTCACTTATTAATTGTATTAGCCTGTTTTTGCATTACTATAAAGGAATACCTGGGACCAAGTAAGGTTTTTTTTGTTGTTGTTGTTGTTTTTTAACAGAGTCTCACTCTGTCACCCAGGCTGGAGTGCAGTGGTGCAATCTCGGCTCACTGCAACTTCTGCCTCAGCCTCCCGAGTAGCTGGGATTACAGGCACGCCCCACTAATTTTTTGTATTTTTAGTAGAGATGGGGTTTCACCATGTTGGCCAGGCTGGTTTTGAACTCTTGACCTCAAGTGATGCACCTGCCCCAGCCTCCCAAAGTGGTGTGATTACAGGTGTGAGCCACTGTGTCCAGCTGAGACCAAGTAATTTATAAAGAAAAGAGGTTTAATTGGCTCACAGTTCTGCAGGCTATACAAGCATGACATCAGCATCACCTTGGCTTCTCGCAAGGGCCTCAGGAAGCTTGCAACCACGGCAGAAGGTGAAGGAGGGGCAGGCATGTAGAAAGCAAGAGAGCGGGAGAGGTGCCATACATTTTTGAACAACCATCTCTGGCATGAATTCAGTGAGAACTTACTCATCACCAAGGGGATGGTGCTAAACCATTCATGAGGGATCTGCCCTGAGGCTCCAAACACCTCCTACCAGGTCCCACCTCCAATACTGGGGATTACATTTCAACATGAGATTTGGAGGTGACAAATATCCAAACCACATCAGTAATGCTAGTAGTTTTTTGTTTTTTAAAGATGCTTTTGATCTTCAGTGTAGACAATGTGGTTACCTGTAAATACTATTTTATTTCTTCCAATTTCTATGCTTTTTATTTCTTTTCCTTGCCTTATTTTACTAGGATATCCAGTTGTATGTTTAATAAGATTGGTGAGAGTGAGAATTATTGCTTTGTGCCTGATCATAGGGATAAAGTGTTTCATAGATTAACAATTAGTATAATATTAGTTGTATGTTTTTCTTAGACATCATTATCAAATGACGAATTTCCCTTCTAGTAGTTTTCTGAGTGCTTTACTTATCAAATGATTTTTGTGTATTTATTATGATGATTTGATTTATCTCAATGTTAACATGGTGAATTACATTGAATTGATTGCTACTTGAATATTGAATGAACTTTTCATTGCCGAGGTAAACTTCACTTGGTCATAATATAGAATGTATTTTTTTTGTATTCCTAGATTTAATTTACTAATATTTTGTTGATGATTCTGGCATCTGTACTCATGAGGGATATTCACCTGTGATTTTATCTTTTTGTAATATCTTTGCTAGGCTAGTATCAGAGTTAATACTGGCATTATAAAATGAGTTGCAAAGTGTTCTCTCCTCTTTTATTTTCTGAGTTTGTTTAAGATTGTTATTATTTCTTCCTTAAATGTTTGATAGAATTCACCAGCACAATCATCTGGACCTGGAGTTTTCCTTGTGGGAAGATTTTTTATTATGGATTCAAATTCAGCTTCTTTATTAGATATTGGGCTATTCAGATTTTTATATTTTTTTAATCAATTTTTATGAATTGTGTTTTTTAAAAAAATAGTTCATTTCATATAACTTGTCAATTTTATAGGCATGAAATTGTTAGTAAAATTGCCTTTTTATTCTTTTAATGTCTTTAGGAATTTTGTGGTAACTTTTCTTTTATTCCTGATATCAATAATTTCTGGGCTTTATTTTTGACCAGTCTTGTCAGGGATTTATCAATCTGATTAACTTTTACACAGAACTGACTTGTTTTTTAATTTTTCTATATAATTAGTTTCTTTATTATTTCCCTCTTTCTATTTACTTTGTATTTAGTTTGCTCTTTTCCTAGATTCTTAAGATGGAAATGTAAATGTTTGATTTTATACTTTTCTTCTTTACTAATATTATCATTTAAAGCTATAAATTCCCCCTTAGCACTGCTTTAGCTGCATCCCACAATTTTCATGCATTTTAATTATGTTTTGATTTGAAATATTTTCTAATATATATTGAGATTTCTTCTTTGACCCATGGGTTATTTAGAAGTATATGGCTTCATTTCCAAATCCTTACCATTTTAAAAATATTTTATTAAAGACCTGGCAAATTTTGCTGACAGATTGTATGTGGAATGTGAGAGAAAGACTGTGATGAAGGTTGACTCCAAGGTTTTTGGCCTGAGCAACTAGGTGAATGGTAGTGAGATGTACTGCCGGGGGGAATACTTTGATAGTAGCAAATTTGATTTGGGAAATCAATAAGTCAGTTTTTAACATTTTTAAGTCATATTGGTGAATGTATATTTATAAAAGTCAGGGAATGACCATCTCCAATGTTCTAAAAGAAAGAATTAATTTTCCTTTCGCTGGAGTGATACACATGAAGTGGAAAAAGAAGAGTTTAAATAAGTAATTACTCACTAAATAAAACTCTGTAAGTAGAGTGTTTACCCTGTGGTTCTCTGAGTTCTGTTTGATTATAAGTGTAAGATTTTGATATTTTCAAAAATTAGTAATGTGATTCATAGTCAAAATTAAGGGTCACACATTTGCCTTAGGAGGAGCGAAAGGGCATGTGGCATGTGTTAGCATTATGTTAGAAGTCACTGGTGAAACTATGTTCGACCTATGAATAGCTACTGTATTATTCTCTTATTGGAAGAGCATCAGAAAAATCAAATAGTGATCAAAATAGAAATAGTGGAAATAGTTATAGATATGGATAGCTCTCTGCTTCCAGGATGTGATGATGATCTTTACATGGAAAAAATCTAGTAGTTTACGACTCAGTACCTCTATTTGTCTATTAGAAGCTATGTGGAATAAGATGGCATACTTCATGCTCTTCTTATCTCATTTTTAACTTAGATAAAAGCCAAGTTAAACATTTGAAAAATTCAACTATTTTCTTCAATTTTTGCATTGGCTTAACAAAAAGTGAAATAGAGTAAAAACCTCCTTTCTACCCTTGTCACCCACGGATCCAGTTTTCCCCCTGCCCACCAGAAAACACACATTTTTGGGGTGTCTTTCTAGAGTTTCTTTATGCATGTGTACAAGCAAATATAAATGTATACTCATTTACTCCCCCTTTTCCATATAATGGTAGTATATCATACATAATATTCTGTACTGTGCTTTTCTCACTTAGAAATATATCCAGGAATTTTTTCAAGCTGCATATTATTTCCTTATATGGAATACCATGAACCATAATTTATATAACCAATCCTATACTGATGGACATTTAGATTTTAAAAAATCTTTTCCTATTAAAATTAATGCTGCAATGAATAGGCTTATACATAAATCAATTATCTCTAGGATAAATTCCCACAGGTGAAATTGCTAGATCAAGCAGCATTTGCATTTGTAAGTTGTTAGATATTGCTAAATTGTCCTCTATTGGCAAGCCCAGATATTTCAAAAGTATTTATTTCTGGAGCCCTATAGGTCTCCAGTGTTCAACTTGCTGCAAAAATTTGTCTTTATTGGACCAGAGGAAGGAGGAAGATAGGTAACATTTTGTGAAATTATTTTTATAAGTAACTTCAAATTCTTTATGAAACAAAGAAAAAATATAAGAAGAGAGAAAACATTCAAGCATTACTATGTATGATGTATTATTCTCGGCTATTTGTGTAGATGAATCCTCACCACCAGTCTGTGAAGTTAGTTTCGTTTTTCTTATCAAAGATGAAAAACTAATTCTCAGAAAGATTACATATTTCATCCAAGATTGTGCTAATGGTTGTTCAACAGGATCTAGAAGCTTTTTTTTCTTCTTTCTTTTTTTCTTTTTCTTTTTTTTTTTTTGAGACGGAGTTTCGCTCTTATTGCCCAGGCTGGAGTGCAATGGTGCGATCTTGGCTCACTGCAACCTCCGCCTCCCAGGTTCAAGTGATTCTCCTGCCTCAGCCTCCCGAGTAGCTGGGGTTACAGGCATGCGCCACCATGCCTGGCTAATTTTGTATTTTTAGTAGAGATGGGGTTTCTCCATGTTGGTCAGGCTGGTCTCGAACTCACGACCTCAGGTTATCCGCCCACCTTGGCCTCCCAAAGTGCTGGGATTGCAGGTGTGAACCACTGTGCCTGGCTTGCTTGCTTTCTTTCTTTTTCCTTCTTTCTTTCTTTCTTTCTTTCTTTCTTTCTTTCTTTCTTTCTTTCTTTCTTTCTTTCTTTTGTTATACTTTAAGTTCTAGGGTACATGTACACAATGTGCGGGTTTGTTACATAGGTATACATGTGCCATGTTGGTTTGCTGCACCCATCAACTCGTCATTTACATTAGGTATTTCTCCTAATGCTATTCCTCCTCCAGCTCCCCACCCATTGACAGGCCCCGGTGTGTGATGTTCCCTGCCCTGTGTCCAAGTGTTCTCATTGTTCAATTCCCACCTATGAGTGAGAACACGTGGTGTTTGGTTTTCTGTCCTTGTGATAGTTTGCTGAGAATGATGGTTTCCAGCTTCATCCATGTCCCTACAAAGGACATGAACTCATCATTTTTTATGGCTGCATAGTATTCCATGGTGTGTATGTCCCACATTTTCTTAATCCAGTCTATCATAGATGGACATTTGGGTTGGTTCCAAGTCTTTGCTATTGTGAATAGTGCCACATTAAACATACATGTGCATGTGTCTTTATAGTAGCATGATTTATAATCCTTTAGGTATATACCCAGTAATGGGATGGCTGGGTCAAATGGTATTTCTAGTTCTAGATCCTAGAGGAATCGCCACACTGTCTTCCACAATGATTAAAAGCATTCCTATTTCTCCACATCGTCTCCAGCATCTGTTGTTTCCTGACTTTTTAATGATCGCCATTCTTACTGGCATGAGATGGTATCTCATTGTGGTTTTGATTTGCATTTCTCTTATGACCAGGGATGATGAACATTTTTTCATGTGTCTGTGGGCTGCATAAATGTCTTCTTTTGAGGAATGTCTGTTCATGTCTTTTGCCCACTTTTTGATGGGGTTGTCTTTTTCTTGTAAATTTGTTTAAGTTCTTTGTAGATTCTGGATATTAGCCATTCGTCAGATGCGTAGATTTGGACTTCTTTCTTTCTTTTTTTTTCTTTTCTTTTTTCTTTCTTTCTTTCTTTTTTTTTTGTTGAGACGGAATCTTGCTCTGTTGCCCAGGCTGGAGTGCAGTGGCGCGATCTTGGCTCACTGCAAACTCCGCCTCCCAGGTTCACGCCATTCTCCTGCCTCAGCCTCCCGAGTAGCTGGGACTACAGGTGCCCGCCACCATGCCTGGCTAATCTTTTGTATTTTTTTTTTTAGTGGAGACAGGGTTTCACCGTGTTAGCCAGGATGGTCTCAATCTCCTGACCTCGTGATCCGCCTGCCTCAGCCTCCCAAAGTGCTAGGATTACAGGTATGAGCCACCGTGCCCGGCCGGCCTTCCTCTTTATTAAGAAGAGGGACATGTTCGTATCTGGGGAGATTCTATCTCTTATGACAGGCTCCTCTGCCCTGCGATGGTAAATCCATCTCTTGTGTTGGTATGAACTGCTAGGAACATATATGATGACCATTGGGTTCTGAATCACCCAAAACTTGGCTGAACTCACTGTCGGAAGATAGCACAGAGTTTAATTCTCTGGAATAGATAGTTTTAATACTTCTGTAGAAAATCTTATAATAGCATTTTCATTTATACAGTCTAAGATAAGGCAATCAGATCTTTTGCTTGAGGATATAAATTAATTGCTGGCAGAAGTCAGTCAAGAGGAAGACTATATGTTTTGACTAGGGTACAGTGAGCAAGAAGAAGTCGTAATTGAGGCAGGCCACAGATTTCTAGATGACCTGAGGCAAGGCATTTGGCCATGACTGTTTTCAGCACTCTGTCTCCAAAATGGAAGGTCCTTATAGATAACACTGATCACTAACAACATACTTGGCATAGAATTAGTCATGATTGATGATGCAGCATGTAATATGAAATGGATAAGAGAACAGACTTTTTAGCCAAATAAACCTACATTTGAATGTTTTTTCTGTTCTTTACTGGGTGTGTGACATTGGGAACTTTAGTATTTTTTCTAAGTCTTTCTTTCTTTGTCTGAAAAATGAGGATAACAGTCGTACCCACCTCATAGGGTTGTTGTGAAAATTAAGTGAGATTACATGGATAAAATGCTTAGTAAAGCGCCTGGAACATAATAAGTACTCATTAAATGATAGCTGCTCTTATTATTTCATGTTAATACTCATGTTTTCTATTCTGAGATCTCTTTACTCCGGACTGTGGGGCGGATTTCTGTACTGTGAGAACCAACTTTGTGTGTTTAATATGGCTGTATGCTCAGCTAAATTAAAACACAGAGGTAAAGCTCTACCTGACCTTGTCGGTGATTAGCTTTTGCCTTTCCATGCATGAAATTTGATTATCTTTATCATTGTCTTAGCTTGTGTTACCTACGTATCATAAAATTATCCCAACATTTTAATATCCTGTCACAAACATTTATCTTTTTGACCTTCAATGGAATTGTGGTAAGTCTGTCTGCTCCTGAATGCATCTATCTATCTCATGTAATGTGAAATTACCAGTGCTGAAGTTTAATACTTATACCTTGGTCACTTAGATGCCGTGAGCTTTGATTCATCCTTGCCACTAGATGGCACTATAATAGAACACATTCATCATAGTTGTGCTTTATTGTCTGGGCAGACATGCCATAGAAATAGGAGCTAAGGAGGTGTAGCCTCCACGTATGAAAATGAAGATGAGAGGGCTTTGACATAGGGACATTTCGTAAATAGGAGAGTTTAGTGTTTGAGTTTTATGTGGTTTGGGTTCCTCCAAACCACATAAAACACATAAAATGATCTCCAAACCACATAAAATGATTTTGAGGATAGGAATAAGGGAGCAAGAAGAACAAGACTGGAAAGGAAGAAATGGAGAAACATGAGGATAATGTTTCAAGACTACTGCTGTGGGCAACAGGGCTTAATTCTACAGGAGCATCCTAAGAAGCATGAAGGATGCCTCCCAGAATTGTCCACACAATTGTGGGGCGGCAAGAGTGCTTATTCATTAGCTCCTGTCCATTGGTTAAGGTTGCTCCCTGTTCTTTCGCTGCACATATGTATAAGCCAAAAAACTCCTGCTGGAATCCAACATGGCCATGGGGCAGAAAGTAAAGATTCTCAGTGTGGCCTAGAGATAAGACGTCATCAGGTGAAGCAGATCTGAGAATGCATTCAATTATCTATTCCAACCTGGTTAAAATCAGATATAAGGCTGGGTAGATGTGACTCAGGGCACCAGATGTATCTACTACAGCGACCTAATAAATCATGTAGTCTGTAAATTCTTCCAGTTGAAATAAACAAAGAATCTTAATGAACCACCTGCATCTCCAAATCCTTGGGGGCTACCCAATGGGTATTCCAGCAAAAGTTTAATGAATAAAAACATAAAAGATTATGAAATTCAGAGAAGGAGATATCTTGCCTTTTATATCCTAGTAGGAAAAGTTTCTCAAATCCTTTTATTGTTGTGTACTAGAATATAGAAACAGGAAGTGTTTGTTATTGTAGAAGCAGGAGGAGTTTACCAATCGGAAAAATCTGGGTTGGGCGGTATGTAGTGAGGGAATTGTAGTGGACTGGGGCTCAAGACAGTTTAGGATCTAGCTGTGATAACTGTCTAGCTGTGATGTTGGATGAATTACTTAGGTCACCCTAAGCTGAAATTGTGGGACCTCAGTGTCTTTATCTGTAGAAGATTGTATATATAATATATATAATTATTTTATATATATATATGTTGGCTGAGTTCAATCATCTTTAAGATTTCTTCTAGTCCTAAGATGCTATGAAAATTATACATGTAGAAAAATAGGTGACTTTTGTGAGTGGGCATATTATACTGATATGTGTATTCATGTTTGCATACGTGATATGATGAGTTTTTCAACATTGGAATTGATTATCTACTTGACACTGTGAAAATATCCTTGATCTTTAAAAATTGAAAAGTTTCGTTGGATTCAGAATGATGTGCCAGATAATATTCAAGTACATACAAGAAATACTAGTTCTAAAGCATTCACAGGTAATATAAATGAAACCCTGTTTTCTTTTATTGGTTAGTTATATAACATTCTTCAGTTTTACAAATTAAGTAATTATTTAATAGTTATTTTAATCGAAGCAGGGAGAAGGTGCAATCATCTTTAGAGGTGGAAAATCACGTAATTTATTGCACATACTGGACACTTTTGAGAGTGAAAGGGGGCACCAGTTATAATTAGTAATTATTTTGGGATAAGAGATATAACTCAGAACCACCCCAGGCAAACTGGGACAGAATATTGCCTTATTTGAAGGTTGATTTCAACTTCCTTATTGGCTAAGAAAGTAGTAGGATAAATTTAATCCAAATTCCCTAGAATTAGACAGACCCTCCACTGAGACCAAATATAAAATCTCAGTAAAATACAAAATAAAAGCTGTTTGAAGCCATCAGACAATAACCAAGGTAACTGAAAGTTGAGAGGCCAGGATCTCAAAGAAAAAGGAAAAACAGAGGGCGAGTCCTGAATTTGCTAATGCTTTTGCCCTTAGAATCTTTGCTAATTTGCCTTGTGGGACATAGAGGCTGAAGAGAAATCAGAGGTCTAGAGTTTGCAGCAGTATCACTAAGATGAGACCAAAATTGAACTTCAGGGCTAGTTAAGTACCCAGAACTTAAGGGCATCAAAATCCTGAAGAAATGGGAACTTCAGAGAAGTGATCCTAGCTTTTGCTATACCATTTCCCTTCAAGTCGTTAGCGAATTCTTAAACTGGGCATGTGTGGAGCGAGAGGCTAAGAAACCCAGAAAAAAAAAGTAGTTGCCTTTTAGCTAAAAAACTAATCAGAGCTCTTGGCAGTCTCACAGTGCTGGGGAGAAACAAAAATTATAATTTAGAACCTGCCAAGGATCTCAGTAAATTCCCCAGGCTTTTAAATGAGACCTCTGAAGTGTTATGACTGATGATAGGGATAAATCAGTAATAGATCAGCCCTCACAAAGTCTTAAAAATAGTCTCCAATTATTTCAGTCTCTGATTGGATCAGGATTTCCTGCCTTTTAGGCAGAAGAAAATAAAATCTTCTCTGGAGAAATATAATATCATCCAGAGTCTCTACAATCATTCATGTGTAATGTCAGCCTTCAATCTAAAATTATCAGGTTTGCCAGGGAACTTGACCAAATGACAAAAGCTAAAAGGAAAAAAAATCAGCAATAGGTCTACAGGTGATGTGGATATTGAGGTTATTTAACTAACTATAATTAATAGATTTAAAAAGTAGATTCTAAAAATAGAGACTATCACTAGAAAATTAGAATCTATAAAAGCATAGTCAAATGGAAATTCTAGAGCTGAGAGGATTAAGAAGTAAAAAAATGAGTTTAACTGCAGATTAGAGAACAGAATAGAGAATTAGTAAGCTGAAAGTAGATAAGTAGAAAATGTTAAGTTTGAAGTGCAGAGAAGGAAAATTAATGGAAAATCTAGATAGTAGCATAGGGTACATATAAAAATTGGCACAAGTGTTGAATATATGTTTATTTGAAGCTCCAGAAGGGGAGGAGAGGGAAATGGAGGAGAAGAAATATTTGAAGATATGCTGGTCAAATAATTTCAAAAACAAGTGAAGGATCTCAAACTGCAGGTTCATGAAAGTCTACAAACCCCAAACAGAATAAATACAAAATATCACGGCAAATAGAGCTAAAAACTCATAAGTAGAAAATCTGAGTCATATTTAGAGAAAACAAGACAAATCATCTTTAAAAGAGTTACAATAAACTGACAGTTTTCCTTTCAAAAGAAATATCCTTCAATGAAGGATGAAACAGATACATGAAAATGAAATGAAAATATTCATTTGAATATCCTTAAATGAAGAAATATATCAAATGAAGAAATAAACAAATGAAGAGGAAATAAACTCACTTTCATATCCAAGTAAAACAGAAGAGAAATTGTTGCCAGAAAATGCATGTTAAAATTAAGCACAAGGGGAGTTATTCATCAGGAAGTTAATGGTCTTAGATGGAAGCGTAGAAATGCAGGAAGAAGTGAAGAGCAATGGGAAAGACAAATATGTGGGTAAGTTTAAATAAACACTGACTCTTTAAAAATAACAATAATAATGTCTAGTGGTTTGAAACTATATGTAGAATTAAAACCCATGACAACAACAGCATGGAAGGCAGGAAGGGAGTGAATGGAGTTGATTCTTGCATTATCTGGGAAGTGGTACATTTTCTGATCTAAGGTAGATTGATAACTGGATGTATGTTACTAAATGAACAAAAAAGAAAGTATGACTAATAATGTAATAAAAAGGAGAAAATGTAATGATAAAATAATTACTTGATTAATAAAATAGAATGCAAGACAGGAGAAAAAAGGAACAAAAAAGAGATGAGATAAATAGAAAACAATGTGGTAATCTGGTTTGATATATGGAAGAAGAAAGGACATTATAGTGGAAAAACTGCAGAAGTCCAAATCAAGCCTGAAGTTTAGTATAGTAGTATTGAGTGTTTAGTACCTATGTGGGTTTCTAAGTTTTAACACATGTACTGTGATAATGTAAAATGTTAAAATTAACTGAAAGTGACTGAGGGATATATAGGAATGCCTTGTACTATCTTTACAATTTTTCCGTACATCTAAAATTATTTCTTCCAAAAAGTTTATGAGAAATAAAAGGAAAAGGTGATAACTCTAGAAAAGTGGGCAAAATCTTGAGAATGACGTAAAAAATGTAATATTCAGATGCCCAATACAGATAAATAAAAGATGGTCACCTTCATTAAATATGAGAAAAATGCAATTTTTAAAAATTGTTTATTTTATTTTTATTTTTATTTTAATGGAGTCTCATTCTGTTGCCCAGGCTGGAGTGCAGTGGCACGATCTCAGCTCACTGCAACCTCCCCATCCCGGGTTCAAGTGATTCTCCTGCCTCAGCCTCCTGAGTAGCTGGGATTACAGGTGCATGCCACCACACCTGGCTAATTTTTGTATTTTAGTAGAGACAAGGTTTCACCATGTTGGCCAGGCTGGTCTTGAACTACTGACTTCAGGTGATCCACCCACCCCTGCCTCCCAAAGTGCTGGGATTACAGGCGTGAGCCACCACACCCAGCCAAAAAATGCAAATTAAAGCCTCAATGCATCATGACCACACATCCTCCATCATGGCTTATGTGAAAAAGACAGAATACCAAGATTGTTGAGGATGTTGAATGACTGGAACTCATACACCACTGGTGGGAGTGTAAATTTACAAGATCATTGTATTAAAATTTTCCTTGGCAGTGTTAACTAAAGCTAAACATAATGCCTACACTATCATCCAGAAATCCTGATCTAAGTACACATGTGCTAAAAAATGTGGACAAGAGCCAGGTGTGGTGGCTTATGCCTGTAATCCCAGCACTTTGGGAAGCTGAGGTGGGCAGATTGAGCTCTGAAGTTCGAGACCAGCCTGGGCAACATAGTGAAACCTCGTCTCTACTAAAACAAAAAATTAGCCAGGCAGTGGTGGTGCACGCCTGTAAACTCAGCCTCTAGGCTGAGGCACTAGAATCACTTGAACCCAGGAGGCAGAGGTTCCAGTGAGCTGAGTTCGTGCCACTGCACTCCAGGCTGGGCAACAGAGCAAGACTGTCTCAAAAAAAAAAAAAAATCAACAGCAACAAAAAACTGGACAAGAATGTTCAGTATCACTTTACTCTTAATAGCCCCAAACTGAAACAACCCAAATGTCCCTAGATGGGTAAATAATTTGTGACATTGGCATACAATAGAATATTATAAATTAACTTTTTAAAAAGCAACTACTGTACAAACAAAATTATGGATGAATCTTACAGACATAATGTTGAGGGGAACATCTAGAAAGAAAAGAAGTACATTCTTCATGATCCAATTTATTTGGAAGTAAATAAAATTAACCAACAGTGATGAAGGTCAGAACAGTGGTTACTTGTTGAGGAGGTAATGACCAGGAGGGGCAACAGGGAGCCTTCTGTGGTGCTGGTGGTGTTCTATATCTTGATATCATTTGTGGTTACAGGAGTGTGCCCACTTTGCCAAGATTCATTAAGCCCTTAGGATTTAGGTGCTTAACTGTATGACTATTACATATTAATAAAAAAGTCAAACCCACAAATGCCCTGGAAACCTGAATTTCAAATTAAAACATGTTTTCACTCAGCTTTATAGTATTGATACAAACTATAGCATATTTTTTGAGTGGGGGACAGAGTCTTGCTCTATCACCCAGGCAGGAGTGCAGCGGTGCAATCTCGGCTTACTGCAACCTCCACCTCCTGGGTTCGAGTGATTCTCATGTCTCAGCCTTCCGAGTAGCTGGGATTACAGGCCAGCACCACCATGCCTGGCTATTTTTTTCTGTATTTTTAGTAAAGATGGGGTTTCGCCATGTTGTCCATGATGGTCTTGAACTCCTGGGCTCAAGAGATCCACCCACCTCGGCCTCCCAAAGTGCTGGGATTATAGGCGTGAGCCACTGCACCCAGCCTATAGCATAATGTTTTTGTAAAAGTTCTATAAGTTGTAGAAACTGAAATTCCAACTAATGTATTGTTCTAACATAATAGAAAGATTTTATTTTATTTTATTTTATTTACATATTTTTGAGACAGAGTCTTGCTTTGTCACGACCAGGCTGGAGTGCAGTGATGCGATCTCAGCTCACTGCAACCTTCTCCTTGTGGGTTTAAGTGATTCTCAGGCTGACTCCTGAGTACAGGCGTGCACCACCACACCTGGCTAATTTTTGTATTTTTAGTAGAGACGGGGTTTCACCATGTTAGCCAGGCTGGTTTTGAACTCCTGACTTCAAGTGATCCCCCTGCCTAGACCTCCTAAACTGTTGGGATTACAGGCGTGAGCCACGGCGCCTGGCAATAGAAAGATTTTAGTGTCCACTTGTGTGTGTGTGCATCCTTTAAAAATCAATAGATATATAGAATGCTCTTATTAGAAAACATCTGCACTATACTTTAATAACTAATTAATTGGTCTTCCATTCTTAGGGATTTATGCTCTGCATGAACAGATCCGAGGAGACCAGTTACAATTATTGTACAAACTAAGGCCAAATTAGGCAGTAGACTCTCCTGATGTTCTAATATTTTGAAATGTAGAAGGAACTGTTTGAATGCCTAATAAGGCTTTTACAAATTTTGGGACTTCATGATCAAAGCAAACTACAATTAATACTCATGGAAGATTAACTAAGAGAAAAATGCAAAGGTGAATCAATATCCTTGAGAGAAGACTGAGAAATAGAGCAAGCCAGCAAGGGTTTTAGAGCCTACAGGATTCCTCTTTTCAAATAGTAATTATATATATATTCAAACATTCTCTCTCTTTCCCCCTCTCTCTCTCTCTCTCCACACACACACACACACACACACACACACACACACACACACACACTCTCACAACTCTGCAAGATACTCTTGTTATCCTCCTATTTCATGGATATAGAAGCTGAGGCTTAGAGAGATTATGTTGTTCAACTCAGGACACCATGTCCGTGAGTGGAGGGTCCATTATTTAAATATAGATATGGCCAACTCTATAGCCCATGCTTTTATTCACTCCTATTCACAGCAGTATTTCTTGAAGTATGAATTATGCCACCTGCATCCAAATAGCAGGGGAAGCTTGTCAAGTATTCATTCCCAGGTGCCCAGTGCAGCTGGAGTTTCTGAAGTTGGAGCTTATGAGTCTCCATGTTTCTTAAGGGCTCTGAAGGTTGAGAAAAACCGCTTCGGTTTTGCTGTCATGATTTTGAATAGGAGTGGGACATTTTGTCCAAACCCAACTTAGCAAGTACCAAGTTTACTCAAGTATCAAATAATAGAAGAGAATAATGCTCCTTAAGTGTGTACATGCTGTTGTTGTCGCACACAATTCCTCTCCCATTCACTAGCATTTTACCTGAGATTTTCAAGAGTGTAGATGTTTTCTAACCATTTTCAAGCTGTTGAGTGCAGTATACACAAAGGAAACATTGAGTTTGTTTAAATAAACATTTGTAACTCCCAAGAAGAGTATGTGCCTATTGATTGTTTCCACTACATTCTAAATATTAAGTTGAAGCAATACATTAATCAGAGGGACCATTATTCTGCCTACGCTGTTCTCTGTATCAAACCCCTTGAGACTGGTTGAAATACCAAATATGATGTGGCATGTGTTTCTTCAGTAAAAGATAGAAGACAAAAAACGATGTGAAAACAATCAAATAATATGTAACGGCTGATTCTTTCAGCCTTAATGAAGTTATTAGGATGTTTCCTTCTCCAAAGCCTTACTTTCTTTAAAAAAATGAAAGGAAGATGGGAAAGGGGTAAATAGAGGTTGTTAAAGCTTAAACTTTGCATTTTCTCCCCTCTCAGTTTTTAGAAACAATATTGAAAATTTGAAAATTTCTTGGTACAGGGACAGAAAAACAACAGTAAATAATTAAGAAGCTGAGTCATTAGGGATGTGAAGTGCAGTCAGACTTGGGTTTGAGGCCAGCTCTTCTACTGAGCATTAGGATCTTCGGTGAGTTCCTTATCATCTCTCTTCAGTTTCCTCCTCCTTAAGTATAATAAGAATGGGACTTATTTCATGGGGCTCAGAATCCCCTTTACATGAAATAATTGCATGCGCGATGGATAGTACAGTGCCTGGAACATAGTAAGCATATAAAAGTCATTAGCTATTATTGTAACTGCTATTGTCTGTTTCTTCTATGATACTTACCATTTATGTTGAATGAAAACTTCCTTTAATAGAAACTAAATATGAAATGTACTATTAGAAATTTCGTGAGTTCAGGAACTTATGAAATAAAAATAACAAGAGGCCATTTAACAACATTTCCAGGCTTGTGTGATTTTAAGGGATCTGCTGCGCCAGGTGTATGCTGCCTTAAACAAGTTCCTTATTGTTTCCTGGATTGTGCTGCTGTAAAGGTTTCTTCTGTTTTCTTCCAGAGCCAGAGTTGCTGGTTTCTTTTCTGTACATTAGCAACTCCCACACCGCTCAGATATAAGGTTTGAGAACCAAAAATAAAGTTGTCTTGTGATACCGAGGAAAAGTTGATAGAAATGAGGTTAGCTTGTCAGTCTGGTATGTTTTCTGAAGATCTCTTCATTCTAGTTCTATTACTATGTGCGGAATTACCATAGTGATTTTTTTCTCTACTAAAAATAAAATTTCCTCCTATATATAGAATGTGTGTTTAGTACAGAAGAATTGAAAAAAATAGAAAAGTAGAAATATGAAAACGAATACTTTCTAATTCTAACAAAAATTAGAGTTAACACTTTGGATTGCTTCATTATAGACTTATTTTTTCTTCCATGGAGATATATATATATATATCTCCATGGAAGAAATACATATATATGTATATATTTCTCATTAACAAGCAAAACTGTGTATAGAGATTTGTATCTGTCTTTTCTCCCTAAGGTATCTTCATAGATATCTCCTATCATAGTATATTTTCCCAATTTAGTTTCTTTTTATTGACATGAAAAATATTTTTAAAGACAGGTCTACCACTCAGGTGTGATTATATTATATTTTAGACATAATTTTTTACTAATTCACTTAGTCATCAAATTTTTATAATGCACTTACTACTCAAAAAGCACTAGACCGTAACTTTTTGTGGACAGGAACTTTGGTCATGTCCACCTCTATCTCCAGTTTCTAGTACTGTGCCTGGGAGGTAGAGATGTGCAGCAGATGTTATTGAACAAATGATTATTGAGTAAACACTTGTTAGTATATCCCTTACCTCAACTAGGGGTTGAAGTTTTCAAAAAAGTCACACTGCTGTCACGAAAGTGTATCTGAGCCAACTCTGTGTTGGATTCTGAAGTGTGGGGGTGACAGGCTTGACTCAGTGAATAGCTTTTTTTTTGTTCCAAGGTCTGGGGGAAAGGAGATCCAGACTCAACTTGTTTTATGGTTTTTAAAATGGAAAAAAAGGATCTTTGCCGATGGCATTTGTGTGTATTTGTGCGCGTGTTTGTGTGTGTGTGTGTGTGTGCACATGGATGTATATAAAAATATACTTTCAAGGCCTGACCCCATGGCACACACCTGTTATCTCAGCACTTTGGGAAGCCAAGGAGGGCAGATTGCTTGAGTTAAGGCTCAGGCATTTGAGACCAGCCTGGGCAACATGGAGAAACGTCGCCTCTACTAAAAATACAAAAAAGTAACTGGGCTTGGTGGCACACGCCTGTAGTACCAGCTACTTGGGAGGCTGAGGTGGGAGTATGGCTTGAGCCTGGGAGGTCGAGGCTGAGTGAGCTGAGATCACACTGCTGTACTCCCGCCTCGGCAACAGAGTGAGACTCTGCCTCAAAAAAACAAAACAAAACAAAACAAAACAAAACAAAACAAAACAAAACAAGTTCTTTCAAAGAAGCTCTTCACATACATATTTATTTTTTGAACAGAAGTATATTTGCATTTGGTCTGCTGAGACCTCTCAAATTACTTCCATAACCTCCCCTCAATGTTCCATCGGTCTTCCAAATACTAAGAACACAGCACTCTCATAGCAAAATGCTTCATAGGTCAACTCAAGCTGGAGCTAGGCAGAAAGTGGTTTCCAATCTGAAAAGGTAATTTCCTTTCTAAGATTTAAGATTAAAAAATAATTGAGGCCCAGGAAGATGGTCTGTCCTATAAGAAAAATGACTTCTTCCCTCGTGACACTTTCTTGTTGGAGGTGAGTTCAGAGTAGAAGTTGGCTGGGAATGTGTGTAGCCTGAGCAGATGGAAGTGGGGGTATGGAGTGGGACCCAATTCCAAACTCATTTAGGTCAACTCATTGAAACAATCATAATCTGTAGGAAGTCCTACAGCACAGACTCTGGCAATATTTCCATGCCCTTGGTCTCATCCCTGTGCCTGTAAAATATACTTATTATGCTATGACTTTTCTGTCTGTGTAACAGGGATGGACATACTTGTAATGTTTCTTTGTTACCTCCGTATTATATTGTTTTTAGGGTTAAATCCAGAAGGAGTAGTGCTGGCTCTCTTGGTTGGAGAAAAGTGCCTAACAGCCACTGCATTACTACTATTTTTAAAATGTTTGATATGTTTTTATCAAAGTAATATGCACACATGTTTAAAAAGCTGTACAGAAAGACTTGTCATGAATGCAGTTGTCCCCTGCTCTGTCCCCTCCCCACCACCAGAGGGAGACCCTTTTAACCATTTCTGTTTTCAAGTGATTACCTTAGTATCTCTAAATGATATTCATTTCCTACTATTTTTTAATTGTTCCAATTGCATTGTCAACTGCTGACTCCTCAGAAGGACCATCAGAAAAGCCTGTTGACCAAGCAAAGCTGAGTTTTTAGACTTATTCCAGTAGGGAGAACACGTTCATAGACTTCTAGTCGTGTCTCAGAAGGAAGAGGTCAGGGAAAGATATCTGTAGAGTTTAGGGTGATTTTTCAGGCTAGTCTTGCAAAGCAGAAACTGATTGGAATTGGGCTGAGGTTATGGCATACTAATTTTTGATTGGTGGGAAAAAGGTGAAACTTTGAACCAAATGTTGATGTTAGTTTTGATAAGTAAGCTATTTAATTAGTTGACAGTCTAATCTTCCAGGAGTAGTTATTCTTTGGAGCAAAGAACTGAGTAATTTATTGTTTTGTCCCAGTATTGTTTAGCATAGAAACAGAAGGCAAGTTTAGTATGCGTTCCTAGGACAGTGTTGAGTAACTTTTTGCTATGATCATGAAGATTGAATCAGATTATTATTATTATTTATTTTTTAGAGGCAGAATCTTGCTCTGCCACCCAGGCTGGAGTACAGTAGGGCAATCATAGCTTACTACAGCTACAAACTCCTGGGCTCAAGCGATACACCACCTCAGCCTCCTGAGTAGCTGGGACTACAGGCATGTACCATCATGCCCTGCTAATTTGAATTAGATGATTTATACCTCCCACCACTCCACTTCTTATTCTTCAAAACTAGCCCATTCCTTCAATGACCAACTCTACTCATGCAAGCTAGAAACTTAAGCTTCCTATTCTTTGCTCCATCACCACAGGTAGCATCTCTTTACCATCCCTTCCCTCAAGCCCCAGTTTTGTAGGATGGATTTGTTCTATGATTCTTGATGATAAGGAAACTCATATTTCTTTAGTTTGCCAAATTAAATAACATCTAACTCAGACCTCACCAGTCTACTTGGCATGATGCCTAATCAGAGTTATTTCGGGTACCCCCTCCCCTCAGGGCTGGAAAATGGTTCCAGGGACTTAATGAGTATTAAGAAAAATCAGGGTACTGGGCTTGATACCTGGGTGATGAAATAATATCCATGACAAATCTCTGTGACAAGTGTTTACCTATGTAACAAACCTTCATATGTACCCCCAAACCTAAACTAAAAGTTAAAATAAATAATTAATTAATTAAATTGATAAATAAATAAAAAGAAAACTCAATTAGTGGTGACTCTTTTTTTCTCTCTAATCTGGGTTCATTTCAGGGAGGTTGGTTCTGAAGCCCCTCTTTCTTCTCTTCCATGCCAGATGTGGCTGCTGGGACTTCATACCATCTTTTAACATTAAGCTTAGTGCTCAGTCCCCAGGGATTCACATACTTGCTCCATCAAAGCTCCTGTCAATCATAGGTAATGGGGCGTGCGTCTGCACTTTCACTGAGCCCTTTCATTCCCTGGTTTTGGGGTAATTCAGCTTTCTCTGGGTTCAGGTTATTTTCCATCACTTCAATTTTTGAGAACCTCCATCTCTGGCACTTCCAGTTCTAGCATTCTAATACATGTGGCAGTTAAGGCCACAGGCTCTGTTATCAGCCTTCCTGTGTTGAAATCATCATTTTCCCCAGACCTCTCTATGCCTTGGAGCTCCCTAAGCCTCAGTTTCCTGGCAAGTGAGAATGACAATAAATCCCTGCTGCATAAGGTTGTGGTGAGGAAGAAATAATGTAATTGTCATGAGGCATTCTTTGCACCATGCCTGGCACTTAGTAAACCTTCAGTAAAGGTCAACTATTCTTATAATTATTATATTGCTCTGTTATTTGAGGGATTTTTTTTTGTTTGAGATGGAGTCTCACTCTGTAACCCAGGCTGGAATCTCGCTCTGTAGCCCAGGTTGGAGTGCAGTGGCACAATCTTGGCTCATTGCAACTTCCAGCCTCTGGCTTCAAGGGATTTCCTCCTCATGCTCCTGAGTAGCTAGGACCACAGGTGCACATCGGGGTTTCACCACGTTGGCCAGGCTGGTCTTGAACTCCTGACCTCAGGTAATCTGCCTGCCTCGGCCTCCCAAAGTGCTGGGATTATAGGCTGAGCCACCATGCCTGGCCTAATTTGAGGTTTTTAAAAACAAAGTCTTCAAGTTTTCTCTGGGCAAGGGAAGCTCAGTACTCCAGTACATAAAGCCCTGGCTCCTTTCTAAGGAGGAGAAGAAAAGAATACGGTGAAAGTTAGGAAGAGATGATTTCTTAACCTGTTTACCCTGTCGCATTAGAAGCCTTGGCTTTATGATAGTACAGAGCTTCCCTAGATCAGGAGATGGCAAACTATAGCCTGCAGTGTTCCTTGTCTGATTTTACAAATATAGTTTTATTGGAACACAGCCACATCTGTTTAAGTTTTATTGTCGCTTAAAATCAGCTTTAGACTATGTAAATCTATGTATGACCCACAAACCTAAGATGCTTAATATCTGTTCCTTCAAGAAAATGTGTCTGGGCACAGTGGTCCATGCCTGTAATCCCAGCACTTTGAGAGGCTGAGGTGGGTGGATCAGGAGGTTAGGAGTTCAAGACCAGCCTGGCCAACATGGTGAAACCCTGTCTCTACCAAAAATACAAAAAAAAAAAAAAAAAAAAAATTAGCCAGGCACAGTGGTGGGCGCCTATAATCCCAGCTACTCTGGAGGCTGAGGCAGAAGAATTTCTTGAACCCAGGAGGCAGAGGTTGCAGTGAGTCGAGATCTTGAC
This sequence comes from Homo sapiens, assembly GCF_000001405.40. Lineage (NCBI taxonomy): Eukaryota > Metazoa > Chordata > Mammalia > Primates > Hominidae > Homo > Homo sapiens. The sequence goes on along the minus strand of NC_000003.12, from coordinate 61,368,531 downwards.
ACTCCACTCTAGCCTGGGTGACAGAGGAAAACTTCGTCTCAGGAAAAAAAAAAAAAAGGAAAATGTTTGCTGATTCCTGGCTTAGACCATTTAGGTTGACTTAGAATTTAAGTTAAAGTACATTGAAGTTAAATGTGCATGGCTGAGTAGTGTGGGGTCAAGGAAACTACTCTGTGATGCTCAGCCTTCAAACAGAATGACATTGACAGGTCCTTCATGTTAACTGAGCAGGAAAGGCAAATAACTGAGTCAAGGAACATCCCCACTGCCTTCCATGTGTGCTGTAGCGGGCCTCCCAGAAGCTCCTTTGGATTCTGCCCTTACACATGGGCAAGAGAAAAATCCAACTTTTAAAGGACGCCATGTATTGTAAATATCCAAACACAAAGGTAGTTTTTCTTTTCACTCTTGAAAGAAAGTTGAGTAAACAGCAAGGAAGGAAGAAGGAGCTTTTAACCTAACTGGGCCAGTCTCCAGAGCCTGAGGATGCAGGGCCAAGGGCATGTAAGTGTGGCGGTATGGGGAGGGGTGACCTGGGAGGAGAAAATTACAGCCTCTGTGCTAGAAAACAGAGCTGCCTTTTTTCAAGTTGGCTGTCCCAAGTCACCCTAAGCAGATGTCCAGATAGACTGAGTTGCTTAGATAACTAGATGGTATCATTTCTTTGTTTGTTTATTTATTTATATTATACTGTAAGTTCTGGGGTACACGTGCACAAGGTGCATGTTTGTTACATATGTATACATGTGCTATGTTGGTGTGCTGCACACATTAACTCGTCATTTACATTAGGTATATCTCCTAATGCTATCTCTCCCCCATCCCCCCAACCCCATGACAGGCCCTGGTGTGTGATGTTCCCCACCCCATGTCCAAGTGTTCTCATTGTTCAATTCCCACCTATGAGGGAGAACATGGTGTTTCTAGTTCTAGATCCTTGAGGAATCACCACACTGTCTTCCACAATGGTTGAACTAGTTTACAGTCCCACCAACAGTGTAAAAGTGTTCCTATTTCTCCACATCCTCTCCAGCACCTGTTGTTTCCTGACTTTTTAATGATCGCCATTCTAACTGGTGTGAGATGGTATCTCATTGTGGTTTTGATTTGCGTTTCTCTGATGACCAGTGATGAGAGCATTTTTTCATGTGTCTTTTGGCTGCATAAGTGTCTTCTTTTGAGAAGTGTCAGTTCATATCCTTTGCCCACTTTTTGATGGGGTTGTTTGATTTTTTTCTTGTAAATTTGTTTAAGTTCTTTGTAGATTCTGGATACTAGCCCTTTGTCAGATGGGTAGATTGTAAAAATTTTCTCCCATTCTGTAGGTTGCCTGTTCACTCTGATGGTAGTTCCTTTTGCTGTGCAGAAGCTCTTTAGTTTAATTAGATCCCATTTGTCAGTTTTGGCTTTTGTTGCCATTGCTTTTGGTGTTTTAGTCATGAAGCCCTTGCCCATGTCTATGTCCTGAATGGTATTGCCTAGGTTTTCTTCTAGGGTTTTTATGGTTTTAGGTCTAACATTTAAGTCTTTAATCCATCTTGAATTAATTTTTGTATAAGGTGTAAGGAAGGGATCCAATTTCAGCTTTCTACATATGGCTAGCCAGTTTTCCCAGCACCATTTATTAAATAGGGAATCCTTTCCCCATTGCTTGTTTTTGTCAGGTTTGTGAAAGATCAGATAGTTGCAGATGTGTGGTATTATTTCTGAGGGCTCTGTTCTGTTCCACTGGTCTATCTCCCTGTTTTGGTACCAGTACCATGCTGTTTTGGTTACTGTAGCCTTGTAGTATCGTTTGGAGTCAGGTAGCATGATGCCTCCAGCTTCGTTCTTTTGGCTTAGGATTGTCTTGGCGATGCAGGCTCTTTTTTGGTTCCATGTTTTGGTTTCTGTTATTGGTGTATAAGAATGCCTGTGATTTTTTGCACATTGATTTTGTATCCTGAGACTTTGCTGAAGTTGCTTATCAGCTTAAGGAGATTTTGGGCTGAGACAATGGGGATTTCTAAATATACAATCATGTCATCTGCAAACAGGGACAATTTGACTTCCTTTTTTCCTAACTGAATACGCTTTATTTCTTTCTCTTACCTGATTGCCACGGCCAGAATTTCCAACACTATGTTGAATAGGAGTGGTGAAAGAGGGCATCCCTGTCTTGTGCCAGTTTTCAAAGTGAATGCTTCCAGTTTTGCCCATTCAGTATGATATTGGCTGTGGGTTTGTCATAAATAGCTCTCATTATTTTGAGACACATCCCATCAATACCTAGTTTATTGGGAGTTTTTAGCATGAAGCATTGTTGAATTTTGTCAAAGGCCTTTTCTGCACCTACTGAGATAATCATGTGGTTTTTGTCCTTGGTTCTGTTTATATGCTGGATTATGTTTATTGATTTGCATATGTTGAACCAGCCTTACATCCCAGGGATGAAGCCAACTTGATCATGGTGGATAAGCTTTGTGATGTGCTGCTGGATTCGGTTTGCCAGTATTTTATTGAGGATTTTTTGTACTGTTGTTCATCAACAGTCTAAAATTCTCTATTTTTGTTGTGTCTTTGCCAGGCTTTGGTATCAGGATGATGCTGGCCTCATAAAATGAGTTAGGGAGGATTCCCTCTTTTTCTATTGATTGGAATAGTTTCAGAAGGAATGGTACCAGCTCCTCTTTGTACCTCTGGTAGAATTCAGCTGTGAATCCGTCTGGTCCTGGACTTTTTTTTTTTGGTTGGTAGGCTATTAATTATTGCCTCAATTTCAGATCCTGTTATTGGTCTATTCAGGGATTCAACTTCTTCCTGGTTTAGTCTTGGGAGGGTGTATATGTCAAAGAATTTATCCATTTCTTCTAGATTTTCTAGTTTATTTGCACAGAGGTGGTTATAGTGTTCTCTGATGGTAGTTTGTATTTCTGTGGGATTGGTGATGATATCCCTTTATCATTTTTTATTGCATCTATTTGATTCTTCTCTCTTTTCTTCTTTATTAGTCTTGCTAGTGGTCTATCAATTTTGTTGATCTTTTCAAAAAACCAGCTCCTGGATTCATTGATTTTTTGAAGGGATTTTGGGTCTCTATCTCCTGCAGTTCTGCTCTGATCTTAGTTATTTCTTGCCTTCTGCTAGCTTTTGAATTTGTTTGCTCTTGCTTCTCTAGTTCTTTTAATTGCGATGTTAGGGTGTCAATTTTAGATCTTTCCTGCTTTCTCTTGTGGGCATTTAGTGCTATAAATTTCCCTCTACACACTGCTTTGAATGTGTCCCAGAGATTCTGGTATGTTGTGTCTTTGTTCTCATTGGTTTCAAAGAACATCTTTATTTCTGCCTTCATTTCGTTATGTACCCAGTAGTCATTCAGGAGCAGGTTGTTCAGTTTCCATGTAGTTGAGTGGTTTTGAGTGAGTTTCTTAATCCTGAGTTCTAGTTTGATTGCAGTGTGATCTGAGAGACAGTTTGTTATAATTTCTATTCTTTTACATTTGCTGAGGAGTGCTTTACTTCCAACTATGTGGTCAAATAGTAGAATTGGTCTTTGATGATGGTGACATAGAGATGGGGTTTTAGTGTGGATATCCTGTCTGTTTGTTAGTTTTCTTTCTAACAGTCAGGATCCTCAGCTGCAGGTCTGTTAGAGTTTGCTGGAGGTCCACTCCAGACCCTGTTTGCCTGGGTATCACCAGCGGAGGCTGCAGAACAGCAAATATTGCAGAACGGCAAATGTTGCTGCCTGATCCTTCCTCTGGAAGCTTTGTCTCAGGGGGGCACCCAGCTGTATGAGGTGTCAGTCGGCCCCTACTGGGAGGTGTCTCCCAGTTAGGCTAGTCAGGGGTCAGGCACCCACTTGAGGAGGCAGTCTGTCCTTTCTCAGATCTCAAACTCTGTGCTGGGAGAACCACTACTCTCTTCAAAGCTGTCAGACAGGGACGTTTAAGTCTGCAGAAGTTTCTCCTACCTTTTGTTCAGCTATGCCCTGCCTCCAGAGGTGGAGTCTACAGAGTCAGGCAGGCCTTCTTGAGCTGCAGTGGGCTCCACCCAGTTCGAGCTTCCTGGCCACTTTGTTTACCTACTCAAGCCTCAGCAATGGCAGATGCCCCTCCCCCAGGCTCGCTGATGCCTTGCAGTTCGATCTCAGACTGTTGTTCTAGCAGTGAGCAAGGCTCCATGGGCTTGGGACCCTCCAAGCCACGCGCAGGATATAATCTCCTGGTGTGCCACTTGCTAAGACCATTGGAAAAGCGCAGTATTAGGGTGGAAGTGTCCCGATTTTCCGGGTACCGTCTGTCACGGCTTCCCTTGGCTAGGAAAGGGATTCTCTGACACCTTGCGCTTCCTGGGTGAGGTGATGCCCTGCCCTGTTCCATGGGCTGCACCCACTGTCTGACAACCCCCAGTGAGATGAATGGGGTACCTCAGTTGGAAATGCAGAAATAACCTGTCTTCCACATCACTCACACTGGGAGCTGTAAACTGGAGCTATTCCTATTCGGCCATCTTGGAACCTCCCTCCCCTTTTTTTTTTTAACAGCTTTATTGAGATATATTCATATACCATATGATCCACCCATTTACAGTGTATAATATTCTGTTTCTTAGTACATTCACAGTTATGCAACCATCACCACAATACATTTTAGAACATTTTTATTACACCTGAAAAAAACCAGTACAGTCACTCTCCATTTCCTCCCAACTCCATCAGCCCTAGGCAATCACTAATCCAATTTCCATCTCTCTAGATTTACCTCTTCTAGGCATTTCATATAAATGGATTCATATGATATGTGGTCTTTTGTGACTGGCTTCTTTCATTTAGCATAATGTTTTCAAGGTTCATATATGTCATAGCGTGGATCAGTACCTCATTCGTTATTGGTGTGTAATAGTCCTCATTCATTATTGCTAAGTAATAGTCCATTGTCCACTCATTACTTGGTGGACATTTGAGTTGTTTCCAATTTTGGGCTATGGTGAATAATATTGCCATAAACATTCATGTACAAGTTTTTGTGTGGCGTGTGTTGTTACTTCCCTGGGGCACCTAGGAGTGCAACTGCTAGGTCATGTGATAAGTCTATGTTTAACTTTTTGAGGAATCACCAAATTATTTTCCAAAGTGGCTGCATTGTTTTGCATTTACACCAGAAATGTGTAAGAGCTGTAGTTTCTCCACATCTTTGTAAACACTTGTTATTGTCTGCCTTTTCAACTATAGCCATCCTAGTGGGTGGGAAATGATATCTCATTTTGGTTTTGGTTTATATTTCCCAAATGGTGTTGAGTGCCTTTTCATGTTGAGCATCTTACTGGCTGTTTATATACATTCTTTGAAGAAATGTCTGTTCAAATTCTTTGCCATTTTAAATTTGGGTTATTTGTCTTTTATGACCAAGTTGTAAAAGTTTTTTAAATGTATTTTGGATACAAATCCCTTATCAGTTATATGATTTTGTAGGGGAGGAAAAAATCTTTTTCCTTCTACTCTTCTAGGTTCACAGCTGGGGCTCTGTAACAAAAGATAGCTTAACAAGAGAAAAATGGTCAGAAATTTATTCACATGTGTATATCATATATACAGAGGAGAAACTCAGGGATGAGTAACTCAAAGAGATGACTAGAACTTAGGCTTATGTAGTATCTTAACAACAATAAATGATAAATTTTCAGACAAGTTACAAGACAGGAAAATGACTGAGTTTCTAGGGCAACAAATTATGGGAAGGTGAATATATAAGAGACTAATAGTAGATAAGAATTAATTATAAAGTTTGTTATGTAGAGTCCTGTGGTGCCATCTCTGGGCTGATAAGGGTCTAGGGTTGCCACATTTATGTCCTGCTTTTAGGCAGTAAGGAGAGGGAAGAGAGCATTTCTTGTATCTACTTCTTCTCAATTGCCTTCAGCTCAAAATAGTCCTTGTGCCAAAATGACATATTTTGAGGTGGAAAGTTCTATCTTTCAGTTGCAAATATTTTCTCTTATTCTGTGGGCTGTCTTTGCATGTTCTTAATGGTGTCCTCTGGAGCACAAAAGTCTTAATTTTGATGAATCCACTTCACCCAATTTTCTTTTGTTATTTGTGCTTTTGGTGTTGTGTCTAAGAAGACTGCCTAGCTCAAGGTCATGAAGATTTACTCCTGTGTTTTCTTCTAAGAGTTTTATAATTTTACCTCTTAAATTTAGATCTATGATCCAATTTGAGTTCAATGTTCTGTGTGGTAGAGAATAAGGCTCATTTTTTGGTATGTCAATATCTTAGCATCATTTGTTGAAAAGACTACTGTTTTCCATTGAATTGTCTTGGCACTACTGTGGAAAATTAATTGACTATAAATTTGAGGTTTTGTTTCTGAATTATCAATTTTATTCCATTGATCTATATCTATCCATGTAGACTTATATTATATTGTCTTGATTACTCTAATTTTGTAGTTAGTTTTGAAATTGGGAAGTATGAATCCTTCAACTTTGCTCTTCCTTTTTTAAGGTTGTTTTGGCTATTTGGGGTCCCTTGCACTTCCATATGAATTTTAGGATCAGCTTGCAAATTTCTGCTAAAAAATCTAGCTAGGATTCTCATAGTAATTGTGTTGAATCTGTAGATCAATTTGGGGAGTAGTGCCATCTTAATAATATTAAATCTTCCAATCCATGAACATAGAATATTTGTCTATTTATTTAGGCTTTGAGTTCTTTAAAAAAAAGTTTTCAAAATCAGAGTTTTCATTTTGGATTTCTTTCATTAAATTTGTGTCTAAGTATTTTACTCTTTTCGGTGCTATTATAAATGCAGTTGTTTTCTTGAATTTGGTTTTGAATTATTACTAACGTCTAGAAATACAGTTGATTTTTGTATATTGATCTTGCATCTTGCAACCGTGCTGAACTTGATTATGAGTTCTAACAGTTTTTAGTGCAGTCAGTACCCAGAAGTCCTGGGCCTGAGCCCAGGTCCGTCTTCTATCCTGTCCTGCCCAGCATATTTGTGCTACCAAGCAGTCTAGCAGGCTTTTAACATTCAGGCTGGAGGACTATTTTCAGATATTGACTGCAAGGCCTTGAGTGGGATTTAAATGGATTTCTAACTTCTAAATATTTGACACGTTATGTGGTCACAATTTATATTCTTTCTCTGGGTCCTGCAAATAAGAGAGGTATGTTTGTTTTCTATCTATGTAACTCTGCTGCTCCACTGCCCCCACCGCTAGTTACTTGCCTCTAGTTTAATGCATTTTATTCTATCATTTAGATGTTCATTCTTTTGGGTTAAGGCATTGTTCTTTTAAGACTTTCCTTTTTCAGAGACAAGTTGCTGAAATGAGGCTGGATGAATGAACACTTGTCAGGCACAGTATAAAGTAAATGTGATTAAACTAAAAATGTGTCTTCTTTTGGGTGCTGGTGTTGGGAAATCATAATCACAGTAGCTATAACATCTGTCAAAAATAAAATGTAAACTTTGTTTCCTAAAATCTTAATTCAGGAGAAAGCCAGGCTTTTCTCCAAAATGATTTTTTCCCTTTTTCCTATCTGTTTTATTTTTCTCTTTTTATTATTTTTATGATGTATTAAATCGAAGCATTTACTTGCAGCATGCTAGTTAAGACAATTTTCTTAGCATTTGCTGAATGATTTGGCAGGCTAGACATCCTAGAGCTAAATTGTAAAATCCCATTAAAACCTAGTCATATAAAAATAAAAGATGCTGCCTGGTGCACTCCATGACACGTTATGGTGAGGTCTCATCACATTACAATAACAAATCCCAAAACGAAGTGACTACTGTGTAATAGAATATGATGGAGAGAGAGTATATTAGTGATGCAGCCAACTGCATTTAATTAAATCCATGTCCAAATTAGTTCCCTGATTGGCATGTAAAAAGAAAACATGTTTACTATGGTAGTTCAAATAGCATGATTATTGTTTTAGCACACAGGCTTTTTAGCCTGTACCCACACCCTCTTTTTTTTTTTTTTTTTTTTTTTTGGTCTTCAAGTGTCTTGCCACCTCATGGATGAAGTAGGTATAACTGAAATCTCTCTTTGTCTTGGGTAAAAAAGAAACAGGCTCTCATAGGGTAAGTAGCTTGCTCAAGTCACCAGCTAATAAAGAGCAGAGCTGGAATACAAACTCAGGTCAAGAAGATTCCAGAGTCCATGCTCTTTCATTTATGCCAAAGACTGCCCAACTATGGCCTGCAGGCCAAATCTGGCCAGCTGTCTGGTTTTGTGCCCCTCAAAAGCCAAGAATGGTTATTATAGTTTTATATAGTTGAGAAAAAATCAGAAGAAGAATAGTATTTCATGATGTGTGAAAATTATAAGAAATTAAAAACTTAAAATGTCAATGTCCATTTGTAAAGTTTTATTGGAACACGGTCATATCCATTTATTTATGTATTAACTACAGCAGCTTTTGCATTACAATGGCAGAGTTTAGTTGCAGCAGAGATTATGTTGGTCTGCAAAGCCCAAAACATTTTCTACCTAGACATTTATAGAAAAAGTTTGCCAACCTCTGATCTAGTCCATGGTTCTTAAGCCAAGTTAAATGTAAGCATTTAATGTTACATTAAACGTTCAGTTGAAGGCTGGGGCCCAGGGATCTGCATATTTAAAAATAAATACCCAGTATCATTTGACATACTTTCTTAAGTAATTATGATTACTATTACTGTCTTCCATTATGATTATGTGTGTATTTCTTCCTCTCCTTTATCCATCTTTGAGGGCTAGGACCATGCTAAAGTATCTTTGAATGAAAAAACAAGCATAGAATTTATGTATTAGTTTATTAGATATATATATCTGAGTATTCATTGTATGTCAGGTCCTCTTCAGTGGTAGAACAGAAGACCTACAGTCTAGGGGAAGACAAGAAAAAGGGCCAGGATAAAGCTACATGATAAGAAGTCCACATTAATTGATTAGAATAATACTTGCTATACATAATGGTAACTCATAAGACCCTTCAACTTTCAAAGAATAAGTTATTTTGGCTGCACGATAGCATTAGATGTATCTTACAGAATTTAAGAGTTTATACATTGGTAGTGCAAAAATAAGGTATAATGTATAGATATCACTGGAATTTGGGGGCCAGATAACCAGTGGTTAACTGTGTTTTGATCAAAATGATGAATTAGTGTGAATTCACAGGACTCATTTGTATGGCTATTTGTCTGGCTACTATATATTATAAAAACCCAACATATAGATGTCATGAGCTGTAGAAGGAACTAGATAAAGAGAGCCCATTTAACTTCAATAGGAAGGTGTCTAGAGATTAATTTTAGCACTTAGTGTCATTATGACATGTAGAATGCTGTGTTGAATAAATCTAATGGATTTTAAAGTATTTTTTAGAACTTTGACTTAATTATGATTTTCCTGGAACTGTGTAAGGCTCCTACTGTCAATATGCTAAGGTAACACTTTAGAATGAGAAAATAAATTTTCAGTTGAAACGTTACTGCCATCCATTAGACATGGAAGAAGCAGCTGTTACCACACTGCCAAACCAGGGTTATTTTTTGAAAAACACTAGTACATGCTGTAAGAGCAGAAAGTAGAAAATTACAATGCCATTTGAAAAAAGAATACCCCAACAACTTAAAAATAAACACTTTTACGTAGATGTATATATTAGTTATCTCTGGCTGTATGACAAATTACCCTCAAGTTTAGCAGTTTAAAACAACAAATATTTATTATCTCATAGTTTCTGTGTGTCTGAAATCTAGGAACAGATTGGATGGGTAATTCTGGCTTAGGATCTCTCACAAGATTACATGGCCAGGGCTGTAGTAATCTCAAGGTTCAACTGGGGCTGGAGAGTCTTCTGACCTCTCTCGCATGGTTGTTGTCAGGGTCCAGTTCCTCATGGGCCGTCAGACTGAGACTCTCAGTTCCTCACTGGCTGTTGGCCAGAGGCCTCTTTCAGTTTCCTGGCACATGAGCCTCTTCATAGGGCAGCTGGCTTCCATCAGAAAGAGCAAGTGGGAGAGCAACAGACAGCCAGGCAGAACTCCCAGTCATTTTTTAACCTAATCTCAGTGGTGACATTCCATCATTTTCATATATTTTATTCATTAGAAGTGGGCCACTAGGTCTAGTTTGCCCTCAAGGGCACAAGAGCATGAACACTAAGAGGAAGTAAACCCCAATTTTTATCATATTTCATTATAAGAGGAAAACAGGCATAACAAATCCAACCATTAGAGAAGCACCCTTCATTGGTAAAATATTTGTTGAGTGCCTACTATGTGCCAGCCATGGAGGATATGATAGTTCAAAACCAGCAAATTTCCCTGCCTTCATGTAGCATACTTTCTGTAGGAAATAAACCATTAGAAAGCATACTATATAGTGTCTGGTACACAAGGCTCTCAAAAGATGTTAGTTATTTTTTTTTTTCAGGGTAGATGGATATCTCCCCTGTCCCAGAAACAGAGCCAAACTCTCCAGTCTGTTGCATCTCTAATCCTATTGTAGACAAATATGATTTGTTTAACCAGAGCAGAAATGGCTTTTCTTTCACTTATGCTTGAAATAGGCGATTCATAATAGTTCACAACACTACACACTTGTAACTGCCTTTCTCCCATTTGTGTTTTTAAAGTGGTCTTTGTCAGAAAAAAATATAAATAAAAACACTAAAGAGTCCCACGGAAGTAGCTGTCCTAGTAGGTTTCCTGCAGCGCCGTGCTGACCACTGTATCCTTTTGCATTACACATGCCAAGTTGACCTAACGTCTTCCAGCTCCGAATTATTTTAATTGCTTTTTTTCTAGATGCATCTTTTCAGTCTCTCAAGGACTCTTTAAAAAATGGCTTCTTGAACTACAAACAAGATTTCAAATGTGTGCCTGGTTCTGCCAGGCAATTCTGCAGTTGCTTTCTCTAATTAATATTCCATATCTCAAAAAAACCGTCTCAAGATTTTAATTGACTTTTGTCACCCCCATCTCATTCAAGTACTGTGCTGGCCATCCTCGTACATTATTAATAAACCATGCGTACTCTGTGTGTTTTTTCCCTGCTGCCTGATGTTTAGTTCTTTCTTGAACTTTGTTTTGAATGACAATTGAAGGATAATTTATTGTGCTGGGCTTCCGACACTAGTACGGTCAGCTATAGTTTGCTGTGCTAATTAGGAAAAAACTGTCAATCAAAGAAGTTATTCACTTTAGAGAGTAGACATAGCTTCATTTGTCTTGTACATAAACTCCTTCATACGGTGTAGAGCTAACTTCCTATACCATTGAGAGAAGTATACTAACAAAGCTGAGTTATAAAATATTTTTATAGAAATATTGATTTAATCCTCTCAGGTTTAAAAATAGGTTTCCAAAATACAGTAAAAGGATAAGAATTTTGATGAATACAGTGATTGTTTATTAAAATGGATTCTTTGAAAGCATTCTTTAAAATACTTAAGTTCTTCCATTCATCATTCTTTGTTGTTAATTTCACAGAGTCTGCCAACTGAAACTTTCTGCCAGCCCCTTTCCAATGTATCAGAAATTTCACATGGGTTGCCACCAAATTAGCATCATTGATGCAGTGTAGTGTTCCTCTGAAGCCTGTTGATCTTCTCTGTGCATTCATCTATTCATGGGACTTCTAGGCATGGAACATCTATTTGTAGTAGTGTTGACCTTTTCCCCTGTTCAAATAACATTTTTGTAGTGCTCTTTTTTTCACCCAGGTTGGAGGGTAGCAGTGTGATCATAGATCATTGCAGTGTCACCCTCCTGGGCTCAAGGAATCCACGTGCCTCAGTCTCCCACATAGCTGGGACTACAGGCTTGCACACCACCTAATTAATTAGCACCCAGCTAATTTTTTTAAAAAACAATATTTTTTAGAGATGGAGTCTCACTATGTTTCCCAGGCAGGTCTCCTTCCTTCAGGCAATCCTCCTGCCTTGGCATCCCAAAGCGCTGAGATTACAGGTGTGAGCCACCGCACCCAGCTTGTAGTGGGCTATTCAAGTTTGTTTCTCCATCTAAAAGAGGAAGCACAGCCAACTTCTACTCAGATCACCTGAGTACTGTACATGGAAACGACTGTGCAGGCAATTGCTTTCACTGATGAATGAAGACACATCACAAAGAATCCATCCCCATGAAGAAGAATTACTGAGGAAAACACACCTAATACATTTAGGATTATTTTTCCCTCAATTATGAGAACATTGGTGTCTAAAGAGTACAGTTACAAGAACAAACATTTTGGGCTTATTATCTTTCAAACTAGATAGTTATAGCTAGAGGAAAGTGGATGGATTTTAGGAAAATTACTTGGGTATTTTGGAGTGTGGCAGGCTGATCTTTTATTCCAAACACCCACTGGGACACCCAATAATGTTATTTTCCTGTGGCCTCTGACATTTTTACTATATTTGTGCTGTTATCCCATGTTTTGTTAGGGATTTCTGACTCCAAATCCACAGCAACTCTAAAATAACTATTAATCCTGTGCCCATCATCTGCCTGTTTCCACTCAGACCTGTTCCCCACTTCCCCCTGCTCTGCTTGGTGGCCAGGAAGCTGGGCCCTGCCAATGGCATTTCCCTGACTCCCTTGCCAAGTGACTTTTGACTGGTTTGGCCATTGAAAGGCACTGGAAGGCAACTGAAGGGAGAGAGGAGAGGAGAAACCGGGTATTTTTTTTTCTCTTTCTTTCTACCTGCGGTGGGAAAAGGGGTAGGAGTCCATTATTGGCTGCCTGTCCTTCATGATTCAAACTCTCAGTGGTACGGTTCCTCCCTCTTTGGTCCAATCTCTCATTGGGCGGCTCTAGCTTCTGGGGTCTGTTAACGACACTCACTCTTTGTCTGCCCTGATCCTACGGTAATAGCCACTTTCTGCTATTAAATTTTTGCTTTGCCTCGCTGTGCCATTTGGCTTTTCTGTTCATCCAACCTTTTGTAACTAGTTCCCTGTATTAAATTTTCTTTGTAAAACTGCCTGACATAAAGACGTCTGCTTCTAGGAAGATGGAATAGACACACTTTACCATATTTTTTCTGCTAAGTAGAACTAAAAGTCCTGTACATTATATTTAAAACACATAAGAAGACTGAAAGGTAGAGAAAAGAAGGCAGACTGGCTACGGACATCAGGATGCAAATGATGGTGGTGGGTCTCCCAGGTTTCCTTTTTGCTTCATATATGTGAGACTGGATACTGGAGAAACTGGCAACCCAAAGCTGACAATGGGTGAAGATAAACAAGCCCCAAAAAGAGCCTGCTCTCTTGAATCAAAGGACCTGGAAATGGGCAGCCTTGCAAGACAGAAAACTTTAGAAAATAACTGTGACAGTAGCCAAATCCCATAGAAAAATTATTGTCCCATTTCTACCCCTACTCCCACCAGCAAAGCTTGAGTGGGAAGCCTTGGGTCCTGTCTTTGCCAGGCTGTAATGGAGATGCCAAATGACAGGGCTGCAAAATATGTAAAGCAAAAATGATAGAGCTAAAAGATAAAATAGACAAATCCACAATTACGTTGAAAATGCCAACACCGCTCTCTCAAATGATAGAATAACTCGACAGAAAATCAGAAAGATATAGAAGAACTCTTAACACCACCCACTAACAGAATCTAACAGACATTTATAGAACACTGTACCCAGCAACAGCAGAATACACATTCCTTTCAAGTGCCCACAGTACACATACTAAGACAAACCACATCATGAACCACAAAGCAAACCTCAACAAATTTTAAAGAACTGAAACCATGTGGAAGGTGATCTTTGACCACGGTAGAATCAGACCAATATGAGAAAGATAACAGAAAAATCTCCGAACACTTTGGGAAATAAACAACATATTTCTAAATCATCTTTGGGTCGAAGAGGATGTCTCAAGGGAAATAAAAAAATACACTGAACTTAATGAAAATACAACATATCAAAATTTATAGGTCACAGCAAAAGCAGTGCTAAGAGGAAAATTTATAGTGCTACTGCTTACGTTAGAAAAGAGGTGAAGTCTCCGATCAATAATCATCAATAATTTAAGCTCTGGCCAGTTGAGGTCACTCACACCTGCAATTCTAGCACTTTGGGAGGCTGAGGCAGGAGGACTGCTGGAGGCCAGGAGTTCAAGACCAGCCTGGGCAACATAGTGAGACCTTGTCTCTACAAAACTTTAAAAAATTTGCTGGCCAGGTGTGGTGGCTCATGCCTGTATTCCCAGCACTTTGGAAGGCTGAGGTGGGCAGATCATGAGGTCAAGAGATTGAGACCATCCTGGCCAACGTGGTGAAACCTCATCTGTACTAAAAATACGAAAATTAGCTGGGCATGGTGGCATGCACCTATAGTCCCAGCTTTTCGGGAGGCTGAGGCAGGGGAATCGCTTGAACCTGGTAGGCAGAGGTTGCAGTGAGCCGAGATTGCTCCACTGCACTCCAGCCTGGCAACAGAGCAAGACTCCGTCTAAAAAAAAAATTTTGCCAGGTGTATGATGCCTGTCGTCCCAGCTACTTAGGAGGATGAAGTGGAAGGATCACTTGAGCCCAGGAGGTGGAGGCTGCAGTGAACTATGATCTCACCACTGTACTCCAGCCTGGGTGACAGAGCAAGACCCTGTCTCAAAAAAAAAAAAAAAAAAAAAAATCTAAACTCCCACTTTGAGAGCCTAGACAGAACAGAACTCAATGAAGTTACCGTTGATAAGGTTTAAGGCAGTGTTAACAGAAGGCAGCAAAGGATGGCAAAGCATTCAGGTTTAGCAGCAATAGAAAGTGCTAGCACTTTTTAGGCCTGAAGGCACAAGAAGAGGGAGTTTTTGCTGAAAACTGATGTGAACTGTAGCTCTAGGATAAGAGAGTCTGGCAGGAGCTTGGTATGTATTAGAGAAATGCAGTCACTGCCAACTTAGAAGGAGGGAGCCAGGGATTGTATAAACACAGTAGCCTTTCTCTCTTTGTGCCCTCTGATATCCTACAGTGCTGCCCAGTGACTGAACGCATTAGGAAGCCAGAGGGCAGGGAAGACTTGCTGATCCAGAAAGGCCTCCCAGAGCATAGAATAGGATGGAGAGTGGTAGAGGATAGATTTGGAGAGACAAATGGAGAATATTCAGCACAGTTTCTTTCAAGTTTATCAAAAATATCTTCAACTGTAAGCCAAATATTTTCTAGAAAAATCTCTGGACTACTTTAATAAATTCGAGAGCTATTTGTAATGCTCACATTTGTAGAAATTTGAATAGAGATGTTATATTTTAAAGAGTGAGATATTTGAAAATGATTTCTTCATTTGTTTTAATACCTGCTCTACCTCCATCTCCCCTCACCATACTATACGTAATCAGTCTGTAAAAGAAATATTGCTAAGCAATGGTAGACATTAGCTTGGGGTTAGAAATATCATGAGCAGTCTAGTGTTTGACTATTGGCTTTGCCCTTTTCTTGCTGGGTGATCTTGGGCAAATTACATAACCTCTCTGAGCTTCTGTTTAGTCATCTGCAAAACAGATGTGATAATATCCACTTCCTAGAATGGTTGTGTAGCTAAGAGAATTAAATGAAAGATGAATGTGAAGGCACCTGGTAGGCACTCAATACATTCTGATTGAATTTGAATCACAAATTCCAAATTAGTGGCTTCAAAATTCATACAGTAAGGCCACAAGTTAGAAAGAAGAGTGAATTTTTAAAATAAGAAGAAAATCTGCATTTTGACTGTTAATGTCATCTATCATTCAATCAACAATTATGATAATATGATCAGCAAATGTTCCTATTGATGGGTTTTCACCATGTTTTGATTACAAATGTGAAATTTTGCTAGGATTCAACTCATATTAGGATGCAATTTCTTAATTATCTGATAACTTGCAAAAATTCCCCCAAAGAAAACAAAAGCAAGCCCTTTGTTATAGGATGTTGGTTACATCAAGACTTTGTACTTCTCTCATTTAGTCAAAGGTGAACATTACTGGTGAACATCAGCTATAGGGAAGCCTGAGGTGCATCATTTTGCAGCCCCTCTCAACAAGTTGCCATGGTAACGTTGACAATCATAAACTCTTACTAGAGACTACTGAGAGTGTAGGGGGAAAACAAATATTGCAGGTAGAGTTTTGATTCAAGAACAGTTTAATTTCTGTGGTGTTAGCCAGGTTTCCTTTTTAGTTGCAAGCTCAGATTTGGTTATTATAAACATTTATCAATTTTAGCAATCTTTGTTTCTATTAACTATGCTTTTATTGGCATACTTGTCAAGAACAAGAGCAAGTGGTACAATTCTAATAGGCAGGTATGTTTTATACATAAGAATTACCCTGCTGGGTCAAAGCCACACTCTTTGTATCTTGCCTGTGACAGAAGCCCCTAGAATCATATCAGTTTCCCTTCCAAAGCAGTTTTAAGATACCCATGGATCTGCTACCACTAAATTTTTTTTAACATAAGACTGTGGTGTAAGGGGTTATCTACATTTGAATGGTCAAAATTTTTTTAGCAGCAGCACATTCCTTCTCTGCACAAACACATACACAAAATGTTTTCAAATCCATCATATAATGAGCAGCACCACGACAGCAGGAGCCTCGTTAGCTCCGTTTGCCACCACACCCCTAGTGCCTAGAACAGTGGCTGGCACATAGTGGAAGCAACTTCCTGTCCTGCAAGCTCCAATCATGGCAAGTGCCCTGTACAGATCTACCATTTTTATCTTCTATATTTTTACGGTAACTTTTCTGTGTTTAGATATGCAAATATGTACCATTGTGTCATGATTGCCTACAGTGTCCAGGATAGTAACTTGCTGTACTGTTTTGTGGCCTAGGAGCAACAAGCTATAGCATACAACCAGGTGTGTAGTGTGGGCTATATACCATCTAGGTTCACGTAAGTACACTCTGTAATGTTTGTACAACGACAAAATGGCCTAATGACACATTTCGCGGAGCATCCCCTTTGTGGAGCGTCCCCTTAACAAATTGTCTAATGACACGTTGCTCAGTGTCCCCTTTGTGGAGAGATGCATGACCGTATTTTATTCTGGTTTAATGGTATTAGGAAAAGCCTGGAAATGGTATTGGTGATGGTGTTGTTAGTCATCTCATCCTGCCATTTCTGGAGACTCTTTAAGCAGAGATGGCAAGGGAACTGTAAATCTTAGGTATACACAAAAATGAGTTAATCTGAATCCCTTAATTAATATATTCAATGTAAATTTGAAATAGAATATACTTGTGTGTGCGTATTGTTCTGTTAACATTTTATTTAAAATATGTGTATGTGTATATTTATATCCACACATATAAAATGTGAATCAGTTATGTATGGATTCTCTGGGTGCCTTATGAATGGACATATGTATCTATGTACATATATTGTGTATAAATATATATGCACATGCACAGATACACAAAATGTGAACCAGTTATGTACAAGGCCTCTGGATGCCTTCATAGAATCCTCGCATGCTCTCCAGCCTGTCCTGACATGTGGTGGCAGGTTATAGTTGTGATTTGCTCATGTGTCTCTTGACATCCTCTGATCTGTTCTCTACACAGTAGTAGCCTGAGTGATCTTCTTAAAATATGCATCAGTGCCTGTCACTCCCTTGCTTAATATGCTTCCTTGGCCTCCCATGGCAGAAGCATCAAATCCAAGCTCCTAACTGTGCTCTACGAGGCCTCGTGTGATCTGGTTTCTAAGGCTCCGTGCGATCTGGTTTCTAATTCTCACCTTCACCTTGCATCTCTCCTTTCCCTGTCTGCTTCGGCGCCCATCAGTTAGGTGAAATTGCTGAGGTTTCTTTCTGGCCTTTCAACATATCAGGCTCATGCCCTGTGGGAGTCCTTAGCCCTTGTTCATCCTCCCTCAGGCTGAGCCCCTCCAGGGTCCTGCCAGGCCAGCTCCTTCTCAACCTCAGACCTCATTTAAGTGTCACCTGTTTGGATGTGACCATCCTCTGTAAAGTGGCACCTCTACCCCAATTTACTTTATCTCATCACCCCTGTTTACTTTTTTCATAGCATTCATTCTAATCTGTCATTAACTTGCTGTTCCCTTAATTGTTATCTTTCTCCCCTATTGGAATAGCAGCTCCATGAGAGTGGGAACTTGAACATCTTGTATTGTTGATCCCCTTTGCTTAAGACAGTACCCAGGACATACTCTATGTAAGTACTTGGGGACTAGATGCCCCCAGGCTGACTGGCGACATTATTTGCAGGGCCCAGTGCAAAAGGAAAATGCAGGTCCCTTTGTGGAAAAGTTATTAAAAAATTCAAGACGATGACAGCAGAACATTAAACCAAGCGCCGGGCCTTTCCAAGGTCTCATGGCCCTGCCTCCAGGCGAGTTACTTAATTTCTCTAGACTCAAATCCCTCTTCTGTAAAATGGTAAAATGCTAGTACCCCTCATTCGGTGCTTGTGGGCATTAAAGGCTATCACACAAGCACAGGGCTTAGTAGCAGTGCCCTGCCTCAATCCGTGCCCATAGGCAGCAGTATTATAATTAATTATCAGCCTCACCCCTGTGAGGCAAAGCCCCTGTAGCACTAATTTTCCAGCATTCTTCCTCTCTGAATAACCTCCCTAGCAACTCTCCCAAGTGACTAACCCAACTCTATCAAATGGGATGGGAATGTGGGTGTCGCTTGCAAATTATTTTGACACATTCAGGGTATGGACCAACAGCATATTTGGCTTGCTCAAAGAAATGTGTCAAACGGAGTTAGGCTGTTATGAAAACTCGTTTGACAATAGGTAAATCATGTCACCCTTCTGAGCCCACTAGTGACAGTGGGATGATAAATAATATCTGCCACCCACCTTTCTGACAAGAGCAAGGAGAGCACGAATTGGATTAAGAAGCCAGTCGAACACTTTGATTTTCTTGGAGAGAGGGGATATGCAGGCATTGCTTGCTAGAATACGTGCATATTGTCAGTCACCCTGTTTACTTAGTCTGTGACTTTGGTTACCGTGTGCATTGTGTAACAAATCAATTGCACCTTGAATGGAAAGTGTTCACAGACTTACATTCTGATTTATTTTCGTGGTGCAGCCAGCGATTCAAGTTAGCTTAGAAATGCAGAGAGGAAGAGCAGCATGTCTTTGACATATATAGTGTGGTCTCCTGGGTGCTATGGAACCATAGGGATGGACTGGGAGATATGGTTTGACTACCTGGGGAAGGAGGGGCACCTTATTTCATTTGCTGGGGGGAATGCCCTGCTGGGTGAAGGCCTGGACGCTGATTTTATCAGTGGGTTCTCTTTGCCAGTGGAAGCTACAATGATGTAGAACAAGAACATCTGTGAAGCACGCACCGTATGTAAGGAACTCTGCCTGGTGTATTACTTGCTCTGAGAGGTTGCATAGTATAGTGATTAAGAGCGTGTGCTCTAGACCAGACAAGTGACTTAACTTCTCCAAATCTCAGTTTCTTCATCTGTAAAATGGGGTGTGTTGAATATCTTCTCTCTGACCCTTCAAATCTACTCTCCAGACTTTATACTCTGATTTCTTCTCCAAAAGGATAGCTGTATGGGCATCAGCAGCAGGCTACCGTGTCCTCTTCCTGTTGATCTTGGCCAACAGGAAGCTCCTGCTGCAGCTGGGAGGGAGGGAGGAGAGTGAGGATGGGGCATTTATTTCCCAGTTTTCCCTGGCTTCCCTCACTGCCAGGTTGCCTTGGTTTGACTTTGCTCCTGGCCAAACATCACAGCTTCTATCAAGTTCCTAGAACCTGATAGATGTCCTTCTGTCAGGACATTTCACTCCATGTCCCTGCAGGCGTAAGGATAATGATAGCTCAGGCTCTGCACTCTCCCCTGTTGTTACCTGCGCCCAATCTACACCTTTGTAACTAGCCTCTTTGCTAACAAGCCCTCCTTAAAGTATTTTGAGTGTGCTGTTTGTTTTCTGCTGGGCTCCTGGCTGAGTAGCTACCATCTATGGTTGGTGTGGGGATTAAATGAATTCACATACATGTAGAATGCTGAGGAGAGTGTCTGGCACAAAACTGAAACTTGGGTCCAAAATTTACCCAAGGTTACATGGTGTTGTGAACATCTGGTGGTTGCTTCACCAGCAGCCGTTCATCTTTCCCCATCTTATCTACCCTAGGTTTCAGCTGGGAACCTCTAGGGGTCTGGAAAAGTTGATTCCACCTTTCACAATGTGGCTTAAGCTAAGCAATCAGCATATTTCACACTCCTGCATGCCATGATTGGCTTAAGGGAAGGCACATGATTTTATTTAGTCCAACCAGTGTGGCTCTTGGGACTTTTGCTGAGAATTCTGGAGCATAATACAAAGCACTGGGTGTGGTTGCAGTTGGCCTGGCTGGGAGAAGCATTTTATCATTGACCTTGTTTGAACCACCACTGCATGATGATGATAATCATTGACCCCATTTTGTTTCATTCTTGTTTTAAAATTCTCTGCAAATAATGTGTCTCCTTAATGTCTGCACTCAGGGTGGACAGCTCCCACCTCCCCACCCTTGCTACACCACTCTACTAATGCTGTATGTTCTGGATGATAAGATGACCCCACTTAAGGCTGCTAGGGGAAACCAGTCTATGGGTGAAGCTACGAAGAGAAGAGCAGAGCCCAGAAAACAGCAGAAACAGAGTTAGAGCTTTGTTCCAACCACAATCAAAGCCCTCCCTACCACTGGCCTTTTTCAATTATGCCAACCAATAGCTTTCTTACTGTTGACATTTTTTTCAGCAAAAGCATCCTTACTGATATGCTTGGATGGCATTTGGGTTTGAAACCAAGTCTTTCTGGCTCTAGAGACTGACAACATTTTCATCTGTTCATTTTCCTCATCATTTGACTTTTATAGATCAAACCACACTTCATTTTCCTTCACATGAGGATTTCGTGATGCACTTTATTATGTGAGTTTCAGGTTGGAAGCCAAGCCTGTGCTGGGGTCTCACATGGTCCTCTTACTGACTTTGGGCAAATTAGTCTCCCTGCAAGCCTCTGCTTTTCTGTCTGTAAGGGGAGGAGGTTGGACAGGCTAATGTCCTTTCTGGCATTCTGTGAGCCTCTACACATGTGGTGCAAACCAGTCTCTGAGTTGGTACAGCCTCTTTGGGCAGAGGCTAATGCAGGTTTGTGCCAATTAAAAATAAAAATGGAGCAACCCTCCTAATTAGTATAGAGATGTGGGTCATTTTTTTCACCTTATATTAATTTCCTCTAATTCAAGCTTCCTGAAATAGTTATGCTTCACAATTTGACAGTTTAGTGTCTTATAGTGTTCCTTAATCATCTCCTATTTGAAAGTCTCATCTGGCTAGGCACAGTGGCTCATGCCTGTAATCTTAATATTTGGGAGGCTAAGGTGGGAGAATCACTAGAGGCCAGGAGTTTGAAACCAGCGTGGGCAACATAGTCCCTACAGAACATTTAAAAAAAATGTTTTTTTTTTTAATTTTAAAATGTTTCATAGATTAACATTACAACATAACATTGTAATTATAATTAACATTACAACACTGTCTCTACAAAAATTTTTTTAAAAATTAGCCAGGTGTGGTGGCATGCACCTGCAGTCCCAACTACTCAGGAGGCTGAGGCGGTAGAATCCCTTGATCCCAGGAGTTTGAGGCTTCAGTGAGGTATGATCACACCACTACACTCCAGCCTGTGTGACTGAGCGAGACTCTGTCTCTAGAAAAGAAAAATTCTCATAAACCCACAAAAATATTAGATAACTTGTGGGCAACATCCACTGTAATGGTTTCAAGTGCTCTAAATCTGATCTCCATCCCAGACCTAACCACTGCATATCCCTCAGGCACCTTCAAAGCAACTTGTCTGCAACTGAACCTATTTTTTTCCTCTCCCCATCCTTTCCTTCTTGTATTCCTCATCTCCGCGAAAGCACCACCCTTTACCCAGTTGGCCAAGAATCTTCCTTCGTGCCCACTCAGGCCTGTTGATTCTGTCTCCTTAATGTTTTCGTAAAGCTCGTGTTAGTTTTCTGGAGCTGCTATAACAAATTACCACAATCTGAGTGGCTTCAAACAATAGAAATTAATTTTCTCATGGTTCATGAGTCGAGAAGTCCAAAATCAAGATGTCAGCAAGGTTGGTTCCTTCTGGCAGCTCTGAAGAAGCAGTGTTCTGTGCCTGTCCTAGCTTCTGGTGGTTGCTGGCCATCCTTGACGTTCCTTGGCTTGTAGATGCATTGCTCCAATCTCTGCTTCCATCTTCACATTGCCTCTTCTCTGTGTCTCTGTGTATGTATCCTTTTATGTTTCTTATATAATACTCTCATTGGATTTAGAGCCTACCCTAATTCATGATTATCTCATCTGGATCCTTACCTAAATTCCATTGGCAAAGCCCCTATTTCCAAATAAGGTTACTTTTTGAGGTTCTGGGTAGACATGAATTTGGGGTGGGAACACTATTTTGCCCACTATAAACCTTTTCATCCTATTTTCATGCTCTAAGTTCTAGCCCTTCCCACAACAGCCTCCTGGCAGTGATCTTTCTGTCTCCAGATTTGTCTTCCTTCCATCCCCAGTCCGCTGTTTACTTCATTTTCAAGACTTTCTAAATCGCAAATCTGGTCAGTTCCTTGCTCCCCTATTTAAACTGTTTCAGGTTCCTCCTTTCCCAGTGGCAGAGGAATGGTCTTTAAACTATGACTGGGCCATGCTGACTCTCCATGACCTGCAGGAGTGCACATGGATGGCTGTCTTTTCAGCATCCCCTGTCCGCTTCCTCCTTATGAACAGAGCCCTGATGGTTAGGACAGCAGTGGGCCCAGCTAAAACTCTATATACCAGCCTCTCTAGCAGTTGTTGCCTTGTCAGGGATGTGTGGCATAGTCCCGGCCTCTAAGAAATCAGTAGTGGCTGGGTGTGGTGGCTCACGCCTGTAATCCCAGCACTTTGGGAGGCCAAGGCAGTCAAATCTCTTGAGCCCAGTGGTTTGAGACCAGACCAGTCAACATGGTGAAACCCCATCTCTACTGAAAATACAAAATTAACTGGGTGTGGTGGTGCATGCCTGTAATCCTAGCTACTTGGAAGGCTGAGGGAGAAGAATTGCTTGAAGCCGGGAGGCAGAAGTTGCAGTGAGCCAAGATTGCACCACTACACTCCAGCATGGGTGGCAGAGCAAGACTAAAAATAATATTAATAATAAATAAGTAAATAAATAAAAATCAGTAGTAAGATGGGACTTCTAGAAAAGCTAGGCGGATTTGACGGTACATAACTTTTGTCCTTTGCCTTCCTTTACTTCCCACCTGGTATGCAGATGAGATGCTGAAGGTGTAGTAGCTGTCTCATGGCCACAAGGGTTAAGTACATACTAAAGGTGGCCTAGCAGATCAATAGCAGACCCCAACTGTGTCATGGCCCCATGATGCCTTTGTTCCAGTCTTAACTGCCTACCCTAGGAGTTACTGTTTTATTAGAAAAAAAGAAACTTTCATTTTGTAAGGCACTCTTTAGGGATATCTTTTACTCTCATTTAATAATGCTGTTCCTTCCTGATTTGATACCCTGTCTACCTCCAACCTCATCCTCTCCCTTCCCAACTTCATGTACTCAATTCTGGCCATACTGATTTATTAATACTTCCTGTGCAGTGAAAGCACAATGTTCTCTTTTTCACCTATTGGCTTTTATAGATGATGCTCTCTCTGTCCTGGAATACTATTAAGTGCCAGCTTCTCATGGAAGCTTTCCTAACACTTCCAGTCTAGGTTTAGTATTTTTATCACTCTATATACATCTCCAACCTAGTGCTTTATTGTTCTGCATTGCAATACCCGATTTACTTGTCTGTCTCTCTCCCAAGTCCCTGAGGAAAGGATCGGGCCTTTCTTTTGTGCTATGTGCAATGTCAGGCACATAGTAGATATTAAATAAATGTGCGAATGAAGGACAGAAGGATCATGTGTAGACCATAATGCCACGCAATGAGACTTATTGAGGAAATCCTATTGACTTAGGTGTATGTGGGCCACATTCCATCTTTTGTTATGCATGTGATTATAAAAACCGTGTATACTAAAAGCTTGAGGTGATACTGCAAAGCAGATGAGCCATCATTATTCAACAATGATTTATCAATGGACCATTATACATTTTTTGAGGACCGGGTCCTTACCTTACTTATATTTTCATTCCTAGTGCAGTGTCTGGCAGTTGGAAGTGCATAATTTTTTTTTCCATTAGACAAAAGTGCAAATCAGTACTTTGGGTTTTCAGAGGAAGGAGAGGATTGAAAAAATAATCCCAGAGGAAGTGGCATAGGAGCTAGGTGAGGACGGCAGGGGCTGGGACTTCAGTGGTAGCACCAGCATTGGCCAAAGTTTGAGAATGGGAAGGCATAAAGGAAGATGTCTATGGGAGACTGAGGCAGGAGAATCCCTTGAACCCGGGAGGCGGAGGTTGCAGTGAGCTGCGATAGTGCCACTGCACTTCAGCCTGGACGACAGAATGAGACCCTGTCTCCAAAAAAAAGTATAGTGTCTAGTACTCTTTGATGGAAATAATTCTGACAGTGTGAGGTGGGTCAGATCATGGAGATATTTGAATGACAAACCCTCTGGTGCTCCACCAGTCTTGTTACCTGGAGCAGAGGTTACCAGTTGTCTCTCTGGTATCAGTTCTCCCCTTCCTTTCAATATAGAACCTTGATTTTTATCTGGGCACATTTCACAGCCTCCTTTGCAGTTGGGTATGCCTATGTGAGTAAGTTCTGGTCAGTGAGGTGTAAGCAAAAGGGTTGCATGGGACTCCAGGAAGTCTATTTAAAAGGCTGAGTGTGCTGTTTTTTTTGCCTTTTCTTCCAACTGCTGCTGGAATGAAGATACAAGTGCAGAGGTCATGGTGGACTGGGAGGTAGGGGGTGCTCTCTAGGCATGTCCTCTAGGATGGATGCAAAATATCTGGTTCCAGATGACATAATAGAGAGGTCAGACCAGCACTCAAATAACTTCCTCCTACATGAGAGGGAAATATGTTCTTTTTCCCTCAAGTCATTGTTACGTGGGGGTTTCCTGTTTCATGTAGCAGAATCTAATCCTAATTGATACATCACCCAACTTCAGTGTTATGGATGTTGGGGAGCCAAAAATGAATTTTCCATAGGGCTAACTGTTAATTCAGGACATGTTCAACTTCTTGAGGGTCCTGTCTTCCTAGAACTGACTGTGGAATGAGACCAAGTGGCCCAGCCCTCCCCACTCCTCTGCTGTCCCTGCACATGGTTCCTGTCTGTTGTAAGGATGTTAATAGCTAATCACCATGGAGAATCAGTCAGAAATAACACACGGGACACTTTATTAAGTGTTCTTATACCATTTTCATAGCTACAAGTCCTCATGGATATGCCTTGGTTCATTTTCTTGGAAGTTATGGGGGAATGTATTAGTTGTTTATTGGTGCATAACAAATTAGGTATTTATTATGTTTACACCCCAAACCTAGCAGCTTAAAACAACAAACATTTATTATTCGTGGTTTCAGTTTCTGTGGGTCAGTAATATGGGCACAGATTGGCTGGATGCATCTGGCTTAGGCCTCTCATGCAGTTGCAGTCAGCCTGTCTACACTTGGGGCTGTAGTCATTTTAAGGCTCCTTTGGAGGTCTGGAGAATCCATTTCCAAGCCCATTTATGTGGCTGTTGACAGGCCTCTGAAGTTCCACTTCTAAGCGTCCTTGCATGGTTGCTGGCAGGCCTTAGTTTTTTTCACCATGTAGACTTCTCCATAGGCCGCCTGTGTGTTCATGTGATATAACAGTGGTGTTATGAAAGACAGAGAGAGAGAGAGAGAAAGAGAAAGAGAGAGACACCAGAAAGACACTAATTCAGAAGCTACAGTTTTTTTATTATATAGTCTTAAAAGTGACATCCTATTACTTCTATCATATTCTATTTGTTTTTTTGTTGTTGTTGTTTTTGGTTTTGTTTTGTTTTGTTGAGACAGGGTCTCACTCTGTCATCCAGGTGGAGTGCAGTGATGCCATCATGGCTCACTGCAGCCTCAAACTCCTGGGCTCAAGTGATCCTCCAGCCTTGGCTTCCCAAAGTGCTGATTCCATGTGTGAGTCACCGCATCCCAGCTTCATATTCTGGTTGTTAGAAGCAAATCAATAAACCTGGCTTACAGTGAAGGAGAAGGCATTATATAGGGCATGATCATCAGGAGGGAGGATCGTTGGGGGCATCTTAGAGGTTGTCTCCCACAGGTAACTTTGCTTAATTTCCTGCTCCATGCTCTAATTTCTGAGGATAATTATCTCTTCAGACATTCTCGCTTCCATGGAAGGTTTCTTTTCTGAGTTGGTGGACCCAATAATATAGTCATTCAATTAACAGATATGCAATGAGCACCTACTGGGTGCCAACCATGTGCAATGGATAGTGGATAGACCGCTAAGAAAAATGGGCGTGGTCACTGCCTGGGGCACAGCAGTATGTGGGAATTGATTATGTTTTGTTCCTCCCACTGGATAGGAGCAATTCGAGACAATCACACATTTTATCTCTGCATTTCCAGTCTTGGTTATCCATCTGCTCCAACTCATCACTAAAGGCTTCCCTGGATTCAGGTGACTCTAGGAACTTTTTCTTCAGCCAGGACACCTCCCATCAGAAAAGTAGATGATAAGGGTTGATAGGGAGGGGAGTCTCTGAAACAGGTTTGGATTCCAATCCCAGCTTCATCCCTTACTAGTTATATACTGTTTTGCACTCTACTTCTCTAAACTTAATTTTCCTTATCTGTGAAATGGGGACAAAAATAGTGTTTACTCAAAGGGTGGTTGTGAGGGTTAAATGTGAAATACTTGGCACACAGTCTGGCACATGAAGACACTTCAAGAACTTCAGTGATTCTGATTCATTACTTATTAATTTTACTGGCATTCTCTATTTGGAAGTAAAAATCAGCATAGGAAAGGAGTTCTCCCTCAAATAATCTAGTCCATCAAATCGTGTATGAGCTACCTCAAATCCTTTTTGCAACAGGCAGGGCTGGGTATAAATAAATTAACTAACGAAGAAAAAAGGATATGTATTTTTGACTTTGTATAACTGTAATCCTTTTTGCAATTGGGAAATAATCTTTCAGTAAATAGAGAATGTGGAACATGTTCAGACTAATAAAGTTCATTCAAAATGGTCAAATATTTAGCATGCCTGATACAAGCGATAGTCAACCCTCAGCACTCTCAAGTCTATGTGTGCCTCCCACCTTGTGAAATGCATTCTGGCTTCAAAATGTGCACCCAGCCTTTCCAGTGCTTCCTGCTTAAATGTATTCTGAATTTTTCACACATGCGCACACACGCTAGGAATGATGAACAGCAGTTTTAAAAACACATCGTTGAAATGCCAATTTCCAGATGGATTTGTTTTGCTACAAAGTTCGTTAACACTTGATGCACGAAATAGCGGGTGGAGAGGAGATGTAGAGTGGGTGCTTATACCCAAATAGGGTGAAACCTGCCAAGGAATGGATGGCCAAAAAGAACTGAGAAAATGAAGCAAGTACTCACATGATCTTCTGAAGATAACTCATCAAAGCTATGGAGAGAAAAGGAAAGGCAAAAACCAAAAAAGCCTGCAAGCTGGTGGGGAGATGTTAACCCTTTTAAGATTAAAGCTGTAAAATAAAGCTGTGATTTATTTTTCTGAGACTGCCTGTTTTGTTACCGAACGGCTTAATGTGTGTAGGAGAACAAAAGCTTTCAATCTATTAAATAGTCTTCTTGCTTTCCATTCCTTTCTTTCTTTTTTTTTTTTTTTAATAAAAAAAAAAAAAGAATATCTCTCAGGAAAAGCATGACCCGAGAACATATGTAGGAATATGTAGGAATTTAGAGGGAAGCCTTATCAAGCAAAGCTTTTCTGTGTTTAGATATGCTCTAATTTAAACCCTGAAAATGTGGTGATGTAGTTGCTCTTTCCAGTTACTTATAGGCTGTCTTTCTTTATGAGATGCTCAATAAGTAATGTTAAAATAATGAACAGGTGATGGCTGGGAGTCAGTCTGGGCTGTTGGCCTTTGTGCTAACTCCATCTCTGCTGGCAACTGGACATGTGATGCTGGAGGTATGGCTGTTCTAAGGTCCATTTTCCTCATCTAGAAAATGCTTGCCTCACTGGGTTTCTATGATGACGATGGCATACTCCATTCAGTCTATAAATATTTATTGAGCAATTACTATGTGCCAGCCCTGATCCCAACATTGGAGATACAGAGAAGGCCAAGACAAAATCCCTGCTTTCATAGAGTTTGTAGTCCGGGGTAGGACAATCAACAGAAAAGTAAATGTCTAAGCTGTGTAAGAATTTCTTTAGGATAGGCTGGGCACAGTGGCTCACTACTATAATCCCAGCACTTTGGGAGGCCAAGACAGGCAGATCACTTGAGGTCAGGAGTTCGAGAGTAGCCTGGCCAACATGATGAAACCGTGTCTCTACTAAAAATACAAAAATTAGCCTGGTTTGGTGGCATGCACCTGTAATCCCAGCTACTTGGGAGGCTGAGGCAGGAGAATCACTTGACCCTGGGAGGCAGAGATTTCAGTGAGCACAGGTTGTGCCACTACACTCCAGCCCGGGCAACAAAGTGAGACTCTGTCTCAAAAAAATAAAAAATAAAAGAATTTCTTTAGGATAAATACCTAGGAGCAGAATTAATTGCTGTCATTCATTTAACATGATGAAAGCACTCTTTATAATGTCTGCACCTGTCTGTCCTCCCACTGGCAAATGAGGCTTCTTTATACTCACATCCTCACCAACTCTTATCATTATCCAACTTTGTGATTTTTTTTCCAGGCATAAATGCATTTAATTTGAGGTTTTCCTCATTAGTAATGGTTTTGAGCACTTCTTCATATCTTAGTAGTATTTCTGCTATTGTAAATTGCCTGTTCATATCCTTTGCCCATTTACTTATGGGAATTGACATTCGAAGTTTATTATTATTAATCTGAATAAATTTCTTGTGTATTATAGACTTGTCCTGTCCAACATGGTAACTGCTAGCCACATGTGGCTTTCCAACACTTCAGATATGGCTAGTCTGAATTAAGACATGCTGGAAGTGTAAAATACACATGGAGTTTTATTTATTTATTTATTTATTTATTTATTTATTTTTTTGAGATGGAGTCTTGCTCTGTCGCCCAGGCTGGAGTGCAGTGGCGCAATCACGGCTCACTGCAATCTCCACCTCCCGGGTTCAAGCAGTTCTCCTGCCTCAGCCTCCTGAGTAACTGGGATTATAGACGCACGCCATCACACTAGGCTAATTTTTGTATTTTTAGTAGAGATGGGGTTTCACCATGTTGGTCAGGCTGGTCTCAAACTCCTGATCTTGTGATCCACTTGCCTCGGCCTCCCAAAGTGTTGGGATTACAGGCATGAGCCACTGCACCCGTCAGAGTTTTATATTTGAAATATAAATTAAGACATATTGGAAGTGTAAAATACACATGGAGATTTATTATTTTAAAAATGTACAATATCTCACAAATAGTTTCTACAAGAATTGCAAGTTGAGAAAATTGATGTAAATAAAGTTTCCCTTTAGAAACTATGTTGGTCCATTTTGCATTGCTATAAAGGAATACCTGAGGATGGGTAATTTATAAAGAAAAGAGGTTTATTGGGCTCACGGTTCTGCAGGCTTTACAATCATGGCACCAGCATCTGCTCAGCTTCTTGTGAAGCCGTGGGAAGCTTTTACTCATGGTGGAAGGTGAAGGAGAAGGAGGAGCAGATGTGTCACATGGAGAGACAGGGAGCAAGAGAGAGAGGAGGATATGCCAGGTTCGTTTAAACAACCAGCTCTCATGTGAACTAACAGAGGAAGAACACACTCATTAACATTGGGAGGACACCAAGCCATTCAAGAGGGATCTGACCCCATGACCCAAACACCTCCTACTAGGCCCTACCTCCAACATTGGGGATCACATTTCAACATAAGATTTGGAGGGGACGAATATCCAAACCGTATCAGAGACTAAATACAGTATTTTAACATATGTCCCTGAGTTGTTTTTCAGAAACCCAACCTCCCACCAAATGGATTTGCTGGCATGTAGATCTCAGATAAGGGGGAACTGAGGACTGAACTCTGGTCACCATACTTTGCTCTGAATTTCTTCCTGAGGGGCCTGAAGGGAGTCTGAGCTGACATTCTTTTCTGCTGACCCCAAATTTTAAACAAAGCTTCTCTTGCTTAACCAATTGCAAATCAGAAAATCTTTGAATCTATTATACCTATGACCTATATGCCCCCACTTCAAGAGATCCTGCCCTTTTGAGCCAAAACCAATGTCTAACATCCATGTACTGATTTACGAGTTTACCTGTTAACTTTCACTTTCCTGAAATTTACCCCTGCTTTTAAAAACTCTTACCTGCAAGTCATCAGGGAGCTGAAGATTTACATGTTAGCTACCTGGTCCTCCTTACTTGGTGCAAATAAGTACCTCCTTTCTACCACTGCAAAATCCTGGTGTAGGTACCTTGTTTTACTGTGCTGGGTGAGCAGTCCCCAGTTTGGTTCTATAACAACATTAAAAAGTTGGGAGATTTTATGTAAGACTTCAGATTTTGAGTATCTCTTGAAAAACGAACCTTAGCCAGGCTCGGTGGCTCACGCCTGTAATCTCAGCACTTTGGGAGGCCAAGGTGGGTGGATCACCTGAGGTCAGGAGTTCGAGACCAGCCTGACCAACTTGGGGAAACCCTGTCTGTACTAAAAATACAAAAGATTGCTGGGTGTGGTGGCGTGCACCTGTAATCCCAGCTACTCAGGAGGCTGAGACAGGAGAATTGCTTCAACAGCTGGCTGAGCTATGGCTGTTCTTTCAGAGGGCCAGGAGCCCATTATTGTCCTGCAGTCCCCAACAGTCGTCAGTGTCTCCTGACACTGAAGCTGAGGGTCAGTTGCTATTTATCATGGCATGAGCATTGTTGTTTTTCTTATGGCAGAGTTAAGAGGAAATAATGACCTGTCCCCACTAACACCCCCACATTCTCAATAGTGGAGAAAAGAGAGACTGAGAAAGTCTGTTTTTCTCCTTTCCATTGTCTTCCTAACTCCTTTGGTATTTGACTTTGTCTCTTAATCTAGACTAATTAAAAAAAAATTTAGAAACAGGGGCTCACTCAGGCTGGAGTG
Organism: Homo sapiens; assembly: GCF_000001405.40. Classification (NCBI taxonomy): domain Eukaryota; kingdom Metazoa; phylum Chordata; class Mammalia; order Primates; family Hominidae; genus Homo; species Homo sapiens. The sequence continues at coordinate 61,337,352 of NC_000003.12, read as the reverse complement.
CAGTGGTGTGATCATAGCTCACTCTAACCTCGAGCTCCTGGGCTAAGCGGTCCTCTCACCTCATCCTCCCAAGTAGCTAGGACTACAGGTGTGTAACACCCCATACCTGGGAAATTTATTATTTTAAATATTACATAAAATTCTTTTTCAAATGAAATTTTAACTGGAACCCCATGTGGAACTCTTCTGGTGAGAGTGAGCGGGACGGTCTTCATGGGTACGGGAACTACACAGTTTGGCACAGACTCCCACGTTCAGAAGGGCCCCATGCTGGGTTTAAGGTCTGCTGTCACCATCCTAAACTTCTTAATAATTTTGTTTTTGAACTTATGTTTTATAAATGAGGTCTGAGGGGGACAATGGAGCATGCACATGAGCAGAGAAACTAGGCACAGTATCTGAGTTGTCTGTTCCCTGCTGTCTTATTTGCATATAGGATGAGATGATGCCCCATAAGCATGGCATTCTAGTTGTCCCACCTTGTGTGGGAGCCCAGAGAGACTCAAAGCCATTACAAGATATCTTACCTCTACAACTGAGTAAGCAGGGGCTGAGAAGCCACACTTTTCATTCAAACCAGAACTGGCTTCTAACCCACAAAGAAGGCAATAGAATGCTAAAAAAACACAAATAGCCGAGGAGTCCTATCATATTCTTCCTTACTCTTGTTACTTGTCTGTATCAGCCAACTGTTTATGCTGAAAATGATGGAAAAAAGGAAAGAGAAAGAATACATCAACCTGGAGCTCCTTTTCCTTGCAGTCCTTCCTTACTCATCTGTTAGCCAGTGGTGGAAAGTATTGGTAGAATATGTGCATATCAAAAAGTAAAAATTAAAAAAAAACAGTTGTATTAGTTTTGTGTAGCATTCACATTGTTCTTGTAAAAACAAAATACATATGCATGTACGAGCTACAAAATATAAATTGCCCAATTTCAGTGATTTTGTCAAGGAGTGAAGTGCTTTTATATTTGCATTTAAACCTGCATTCATTGCATGGTATAAAGATAAATGGTACAATTCATACTATTAATTTAAATTGTTAATTTTTCTTTACCTAGAATAACATTAAAAAACCAAATAAAAAACATCATGACAAGTTGAGAGAGGAACCACAGAACAAAGGAAAGAGTTTTTTGTTTTAATACTATCAGTAAGGAAAACCTTTTCCTCTACCCTCTTATGTTCATTGTTTGGGATCCTGCAAATTAAAATGGCAAAAGATTCATAAGCAAGAAAAAAGAGATTTGTATTTACCTAAGTAGATAAAGTATGACTTAAGTGGCTTAATCTGGGGCCTCAATACCATCTTACAAGGGAACGGGGTAGAATTTCAAGTGACAATCAATGGTGGGAAATGACTGAGACATATATGAGGGAAATTAATGGAAAGTGAGTTTTGTTTTAGTAAAGTCTGTTTATGCAGTTTTCCATCCCTACATACACTTCTCATCTCTGATGAGAGGAGTCACCCTTTTCCTCTGGTACAGGAAGCCTCTCCTAAAGGGTGGGATTTATGGCAGCTTTTGGGAGGCTCGGTTTTTAGGCAGAAAAGGTAAGTTTAAACAATGATTCTTCTTGTGTCTGCTGATTTTGAAATGTCTTCAGCTCAAAATAATTTTTATGCCACAGTAGTGTAATCTGGAGCCCTTCAAATATCTTGCATATTTTCCTTGCTTTTATGACAAGGGACCCCACATTTTATTTTGTGCTGGACCCTGCAAATCATGTAGCTGGCCATGGAAATTGGATGGGAAAGACTAAAAAAGTCCAGAATCCCATGTCTTATGCCTGCCTCTATTAGATGTCCCTAGGGCATGCTGGTAAAATCCAAAATAATCCTTCTCCTTGTCCTTCTTCCTTTCTTGCAAGAACCATAAGTTCCATAAGGAAAAGAACGTTGCCTACAAGCTACAGGTTATACAACTCCCGGGGGCACCATTTACAAGGATGATGCCTCCTAAATGTGGTGCAGCATGGTGGCCCCAGGTGTTTACTTCTATACTAAGGCCACACAGATGAATGGTCAAAAATTTGGTGACAGAAATCAATGTTAGATTCTTTAGCTTCTGTTTCCTTCCTCCTTTATTGCCACTGCCTCCAATTCTGTTACCCAAAAAAACTGGAGCTCTATCACCTGGCAAGTAACGAACAATGCTCAACTAGAAAGTAGGTTTTGATCAATAGGAATTTACTTGTCACAAGTAAGGAGAGCACTGGGAGGATTCTCCAAAGCAGTGTCTCCCCAAGGAAGCGTGATAGAAAGCTTTTATGGGGCAATAGAAAGGGAAGAGGATGTGTCATTGCATGGAGAGGAGGGGTCCCATGCATACAGTGAATCATTATGTCAGCACAGAAGTCACATGTTATGATAATGAGGCTATAGCTCCTCCTGGGGTGGGGAGTTTAGCATGGTAATGAGGAAAGCCCACTTGGGTTCATAGATAAGTTGCCAAGGTCTGTCAAGAACTCATTCCAACCCACTAGGTGACCACATTCCACATACGGTTTGGGAAAAAATAGGCTGCAAGGCAGAAGGCTGTAAAATAGGCTAATTGCTCAAATTGATTAAATTTCTATAGTCCCTGGAGACCCTCCCTATCTGCTTGCAATTTCACTCCTTGATTTCCATATCCATTTTAACTGACATTCTTTTTCTCTTCTAAATTTCTTTGTGTTATATTTCTATCCTCTTTTAAAACCTCATTTTAATTTTTTTTTGGTTATAAACAATAATGCATGTTTATTGGAGGAAATATAGACTTGCAAAAATATATAAAAATAGTAAATAAAACAAACATTTATAATTATATCACCAGAAGATAAGCATTGTTACTATTTTGTTACATATTTTTCTTCTCTCGTTTATACAAGCAAACCAATGTAGAAACATTTTTTCTTTCAAAAATGGAACACACTGTAGATAATATTTAGTTAACTGCTTTTTTACTTAATAATATTTCATCAATAGTTTTCCAAGTTCTTAAATATTTTCTCCAAATCCTTTTTAATGGTTGCAAATGATTCCATCATTAATGCTTAAAAATTATCATTCATAACTATTCCCTATTTAGGACTTTTTTTTTGCTACAATACTACTTTCATAAAATCTCCACATGCAACTTTTTTCACACCTCTGTGATTATCTTCTGATGTCTTTCTTGTTTAATCTTGTAGGTCCACAGATCGTTTCTTTTATTAACCAAACTTTGAGCTTCTTGAGGCTCAAATTCAGGTTGATTCACCTTTGTTTCTCTCAGAATACTTTAAAATTAGGGAACCTTCCAATATGTTTGTTTAATGAAAGAGTTTTATTGTTATGCAGTCTTCCTTAAATGGAATAAAAAGATGGTAAGATATGAAAAGAAGTAGAGTTAACTAACTACAGCTGACTTTCTAAAACTTCTGCCAGTCTGCTTTGTGGGCTATCTGTGGATTTTTTTCCCCTCTCATCCTGTGTCTTTTTATTTTCAGAGTCAAAAACATCTGGCTGCATTTTAAATTGATTCACACAATTTATTTCACCAGCCTCTAGGCCCCAAACTGTTTCTAGATATGCATCAGTGTCTGTGGTAGAAGTCAATGGGGGCTCTGCCTCTGCATCTGAGAATGTAATCTGCTCCTGAGTCATTATGTAAAAATGATTCCCTTACGTAGAATTGTTTAGTGTGAAATAGGATTGTTTGCTTTCCATTTACTTTTCACTTCCTTAATTAGAGTGACCTCCAGTTTGAATCTACCAACTGTTGGATTCTATTATATCTTTCCAGGAGTTCCTCCTATAATAAGGTTAACTTTAAGTACTGCATTTCCTCGAGGATGACATAAAATTCACTCTGCTTTAGAGAAAATAAATCCAAGTTCTCAATAAATGATGCCAGACAGAATTCTAGGAATATTGTAGTCAGGCAATTTTGAATGCTCCTCCCTTCATTGCTGCATATAAATATTGCTTTTTTTTTTTTTTTCTCAACAGTCTCGCTCTGTCACCCAGGCTAGAATGCAGTGGCGTGATCTCAGTTCACTGCAACCTTTGCCTCCCTGGTGCAAGCGATTCTCCTGCCTTAGCCTCCCCAGTAGCTGGGATTACAGACATGCACCACCATACCCGACTAATTTTTGTATTTTTAGCAGAAATGGGGTTTTGGCACGTTGGCCAGGGTGGTCTCAAACTCCTGACCTCAAGTGATCCACCCGCTTCGACCTCTCAAAGTGCTGGGATTACAGGCATGAGCCACTATGCCTGGTCAAATATTGCTTTAAAGCAGCCTCCCCTACCTTTTAGGAACTGGTAGCTGCTGGGGTCTATCTTCAGAGCATATATCAGGACATCCTTTGCTTGGTGGGGGCTAACAACACCTTTCTAATATTACTTCTCTTGGGTCCAGAAGTTAATGTGTGACTCTGTCTTTGTATACTCTTTCTATAAAAGAAAGCTGAAACACACAGGAGGATTGGATCTGTTTGGGGAGCATATTACATGAGTTGATAAATACACTTGATTTTTCTCTTTTTGCTTCTCAATTCAGCTTCATCCACACCCTCCCCAGTATTCAAATCTAATGTGTGACAAAATGGTAAGACTCTGGGATGAAGTGGCCAAAACAATGATCAGGATTACCCCTCCACCAAGTCTCTGAAGGGTTACATAGCTTCGTATTTTCTAAGTGATGTCCGTAACCACGAGGTTCTTGCTCTTCAAAGGCTTGTCTAATACTTACTGGATCTCCTGACCTGAGATGTCCCATGTCTCTTGTAACTTGTAGGATATAAAAATAAAACCCTAAGTTTCCTACCTGACCCCAGAGAAACCAAGTTCCCAACCATGACGGATGGGAGCTTGGACATGCCTCATTGTACCCCATCCCTTGCTGACCATGATTAGGTTTTCTTTCCTAGGGATTAAACAGAAACCAGCCCTTTTGAAAGTCTCCACCACTGATTTCATCAGACTCCCCTCTCTTTTGTGGTTTAAACATAACAATGGACCAGCATTCCTTCCTGATGAGAGACCACCCACCATGGGATGGTTCTGGTTAGTTTATGGAGGCTGTGCATGGAGCAGCTTTGTGTCCTCTGCTTCACCTTTTGATGTACAGGGCCTAATTGTAATACATCTAAATGTTAAGTCTCCACCCCAAAGTGACCATGGGACATATGTAACACAAATGTTAGCTTACTATGCATATCATGTGCACACCCTCATTCATGAATATTCATAGCTTCTCCTATAACCTGTTGAATATGTATACTTAGCCAATGGATTCTGCATAAGTTGCTGTCTCATCCTTCCCTCTTCGAAGTGCCTACTTCTGGTCTCTGCTCGAGGCTATGATTCCCAGCCTTCACGATGGCCAGCCTGCAGGCTACAACCCTTTATAAGAAATAGAGCTCACTTCTCCGAATTAATGAACCCTGTGATTCTTCAGTGGACACTCGAAATCTCCTTTTGCTTGTCTGGAAGCACTAGTTTCTTTCCCATGTCCATTGTGGAAGACAATGCTTCCAGTGGAACCCTTGCAAGTTCTGAAATCCTGAACAGAGGTGTTGCTGTGTCCTGTGTGACAAGATCTTACCAATCCTGCCACATTGCCTGCCTCTGCTGTACGCACACTTGAGCATTTTAAGCTCAGATGTGCAGGAGCAATTTGTATGTGCTCCTCTTTCTGCCTGGAATGTTCTTTCCTACTTGTCCCAGTGCTGGTTGTTTCTTATCCTTTTGGACTCAGCCTTAAGTGTTACCTCTTTGAAGAGGCCTTCCTAGACCACCAGAAGTGATGCTGTACATATTTAACTGTCCTCAGACATAGGCACCATGCAATAAGGACAGACTCAAATATTAACAAACAGCATCCTTGAACTGGGGCTAAATGGGTGAATACCAGCTCCTGCTGATCCATCTGGTTCTTTGATTTATGGCAATAATAACAATCTGTAAATATTTATTTATTTGTTTATTCACTCTTTCTGAATATTTTCCCCAGTAGTTTCCATGAGAGTAAGACTTTTGTGTCTTGGTCACTGTTGAGGAAGACAAACATTTCCTCTGTCCTCTTATGTTTAGTGTTCGGGAGTCTGTGAATTAAACTGACAAAAGACAGAATAGCAAGAGGAAAAACAGATTTTTATTCATGGATGTGCACTGGAGTTCATAGAAAAAGATGACTCTCCAAGCAGCCAAAGATATGGGGTTTATAACCACTTAATAAGGTGAAAGGCATGAGGGGAGGAAAGACTTCTATGGGAAGACATTTCGTTAGGAAAGGTTAATGGGCTTTTAGGAGAACAAAATGGGAGATAGGAAAGTTTGTGACAATGTCTGTTTATGCAGGTGCAAGTGGTCTTCTCCTTCTTCTTTCTGGTCGGTATAAACTCCTCTGGAGAGAGGACTTACAGTAGTTTCTTCTTTTTTAACTTTTCAGTTCAGGGGTACATGTGCTGGTTTGCTATATAGGTAAACTTGTGTCATGGGGCTTTGTTGCATGGATTCTTTTGTCACCCAGGTATTGAGCCTAGTACCCGTTAGTTATTTCTCCTGTTCCTCTTTCTCCTCCCACCTTCTTCCCTCAAATAGACCCCAGTGTCTGTTGTTCCCCTTTTTGTGTCCATGTGTTCTTATCATTTAGCTCCTACTTATAAGTGAGAACATGCAGTACTTGGTTTTCTGTTTCTGTGGTAGTTTGCTAAGTATGATGGCCTCCAGCTCCATCCATGTCCCTGCAAAGGACATGATCTCATTCTTTTTTATGGCTGCATAGTATTCCATGTACCACATTTTCTTTATCCAGTCTGTTACTGATGGGCATTTAGATAGATTCCATGTCTTTCCTATTGTGAATAATGCTGCAATGAACATACACATGCATATGTCTTTATGATAGAATGATTTATATTCCTTTGAGTATATACCCAGTAGTGAGATTGCTGTGTCCAATGGTATTTCTGTTTTTAAGTCTTTGAGAAATTGCCACACTGTCTTCCACAATAGTTGAACTAATTTTCACTCCACCAACAGTATATAAGCATCCCTTTTTCTTGACAACCTTGCCAGCATGTGTTATTTTTTGACGTTTTAGTAATAGCCATCTGACTGGTGTGAGACATTCTGTTGTTGATGGTGGTTTCACAGTCTCCTTTATGAAGTGAAGCTGCCCCAAAAGAGGAGATCTACAGTAGCCTAATTTCCAGATGTTTCTGCCTTTAGTCAGATAAGAGAAGCTCCAAAAAGTCTTCTTTCTACATCTGTCAAATCTCAAATGTCTTTAGTTAAAAATAATCTTCATATCAACTCTGGGGGTTTGAGTACATCTTCATATCACAGCACCAAGTACTATGCCTGATGCATAGTAAGTACTCAACAAGTATTCATTGGAATATGAATTAATGAAACAATAGAGAGATTACTTAGGTAACCAATAATCCACTGTGGTTGCTTGTCCCAGGTAGAAGAGTGTGCATGTGTAGCGGTTGACATGAAGGGGAGGTTATTGTCGTCTATGTCAAAACCCCGACAAAAGTATTCACAATGCTCTGGAGAAAAAGGATACCTTAACTTTATAATTTAAAATACATGTTTCTTTTGTTGGAGAGTTGGTAAGTCCCATGACTTGATGCAAATGTAGTTCAGCGGTAAGATGCTTGAATATGTGGGCCTTCTCTGGCATTTTTCTTTCTGTCTTACAGGAAAAAGCCCAGTTTTCTGTGCGTAGTAGTCCAGAAAGAGCTACTTTTCATTTCTCCCAGCCCTTGAGATCACCACAGATGGGCAGCTGCTAGTAGTAAGGACCTGGTGTGTGCTCAGAATGCTACAGTGGGCGGTGGGATGCAGGAAGGAGGGGTGTGTTCAGGAACTTCACGGAATGGGCAGAGCGGGCAGCTTCTTTCCATGGCCCTGTGTCTATCTGAAGGGTTAATAAATATGAGGGCAACTGCTGTCTTATTGTCTACTGGGATGAGATATTTTAAAACTCTTTTTCTTTAATGAGAACCTTCAAGCATACACAAAGGAGGGAGAATCGTGTCATGCCCTCCAGTGTACCATCACCCAGCTTCAACAATTATCTGCATTTGAACCATCTTGTTTCATCTCCAACCCTGCTCCACAATTATCCTTACACTCCCCAACCCCTCCCCCCACTAGATTATTATTTTAAAAACTTTTTAAGTTATTTTTATTTTTAAAAATTTTATTTTTAATCTACAAATAGCAATTGTTTTCACCAGATTATTTTAAAGCAAATCTCAGATTGCATATTCTGTCATTGATGAATATTTCAGATCTTATTTATAACAGATGAACACACATTTACAAATTATTACATTTACTTATTTATTTTTGGTGGGTTGGTTTGCTGTTTATTTATTTATTGTGGCAAAATATACATAACAAAGTTTGCTATTTTAACCATTTTTAAGTGCACAATCCAGTGGCATTAGAAACATTCACATTGTTGTACAACCATTGCTCCCCTTCTATCTCCAGAACTTTTCTGTCTTCCAAAACTGAAATTCTGTACCCATTAAACAATAACTTCAATTCCCTCCATCCGCCAGCCACCCTACCTTCGGTCTCTATGAATTTCAGTACTCTAGGTACCTCATATAAGTGGAATCACACAAGATTTGTCCTTTTGTGACTGGCTTATTTAACTCAGCATAATGTGTTCATGGTTAATCCATGTTGTAGCATGTGTCCAAATATCCTTTCTTTTTAAGGCTGAATAATATTTCACTATATACGTATACCACATTTTGTTTATCCATTCATCCATCAATGGACACTTGGGTTTCTTTCATGTTTTGGTGATTGTGAAGTATACTGCTGATATGGACAGGAGACAGGGAAACACTGGGTAGAAGAGGACGGTTCCCCGGCAAAGGGCCCCCATCCTGAACTCATGTAAACCCTGAATCCCAGGCTCCAGAAGCAGAAGAGTAGGCAAGGAAACAAGGAGACAAGCAGATGGACAATGGAACAATGTGGCAGAGAAAGAGAGAAGTGGAGGAACGTCTGAACACTGACAGGAGTCCAGCTGGAGGTGGTTGAAGAAGAATTCAGCTGCTGGAAGGCCAAACTCCAGGGGAAGATGGGATCATTTTCCCACTCCATCCCCCACTTCTGACTTCCTATCCATTCCACTGAGAGCCATCTCCACCACTCAATAAAACTCCACATCCATCCTTGAGTGACCTAATTCTTTCAAGATGCTGGGCAAGAGCTTAGGAAACAGAAAGCTGTCACACTGGCCCTCTGCCCTTGTAGAAAGGCAGAGGGTCCATTGTGCTGGTTAACACTCAAGCTGTCTGTGGACAGCAGGGCTAAAAGGGGATACTGCAACTCATGCCCACTTGGGCTCCTGCACCTGTCTGTCTGTGTGCCCCCACTCGCCTCAGGAGTTTGAGCAGCAGTGGCCACTGAACAGGTGAGGGAGACCAGGGAACTCTCCCGTTTCACTGCTATGAACATAGGTGTACAAGTATCTGCTTGAGTTCCTGCTTTTAATTATTAGGGGTATATACCCAGAAGTGGATCATATGGTAATTCTATGTTTAATTTTTGGAGGAGAGCACATATTTTTAAAAATAACCAGTTTTGTTGTACATATGAAACTTTAATAGTAATTTTTTTTATCCCTGTAGTGTTTACAATTACCCAAGAGATAGTACTGTAGTGGTTAACAGCTGAACCATTGCACCTGCTTATCTGGGCAGATCACTGAAATATCCCGTGTCTCAGTATCCTCATCTATAAAACAGGGAAATGGATTGAGTGTGATGGTTAATTTTATGTGTCAACATGACTAGACTGAGAAATGACTATGTAGCTGGAAAACCTTATTTCTGGGTGTGTCTATAAGGGTGTGTGTTTCTGGGTGTTTTTCCGGAAGAGATTCATATTTTTCGTGAATCAGTGGATTGAGTGAGAAGACCTACCCTCACCAATGTTGGTGGGCATTATCTAAGTTGTTGAGGGCCAGAATAGGACAAAAAGATGAAGGACAGGCAAATTCTCTCCTTCTTAAGCTGCACCACCCATCTCCTGTTCTTGGACATCAGCTTTCCTGGGTCTCAGGCCTTTGGGGTCTGAGTGTGCTTCCCACCCTCCATCAGGTTCTGAGGCTTTTGGTCCTTGACTGAATTACACCACCAGCTTTCTGCTTCTCCACCTTGCAGACAGCAGATCATGGAGCTTCACAGCCTCCAAAATTGTATGAGCCAGATTCCATAATAAATGGTTCTGTTTCTCTGGAGAATGCTGACTGATACAGTGAGCTAATATACATGAAGCACTGTAAGCAGTGTCTGCGGATTCTGAGTACTGTCTATATACTTGGTTCTATTATATGCTTGCCAAATATCAGTGTTGCTAATGAGAATTCTCATATAGGTCCGATTTTTGTTCTATGTAGGTAGCCCAGGACTGAATCCAAGATTTGGAGGCCTAAAACTTTTATAGAAAAGATCACAAAACTAGACACACACACACACACACACTCACAGACACACACAAACTCATCAAAAATTTGATATGAAATTTATTTAGAGTCAGAGAGAAAAATCACAACAAATAATTGGCGTCTTAGAGATTCAAGTCTCTTTTTTCAGAGACCTCTTTAACTGGTTGACCTCACATGCTAATGAGAGTGTCCTTGTTGATTTCAGCCTAGCCCCTCCCCTCACCAAGGGCTGTTGTTAAGTTTAAATGAGTTATTATGTGTAATGTGCTTAGATCAATGCCTGGCATAGAGTAAGTGCTCTATAAATTTTAATTATGATGGTTGGTATGATATTGGAAAAGGAGCAGTTTAGGGAGGAAGTTGTGAGAGAATGTGATGAGCCCAGTGTGGGGCAAAAGTTTGCAATGCCTTTAAGAGATTCAAGAAGTGATGTCAGATAGTGCTCAATGAGTGTTTGATGATGATCATGACAATGGCAACAACAGGGATGACAACACCAGTCCACGTAGGCCTCTGTACCATCAGCCTGTGAATGGGAAGGCTGTCTGGGGGCTCTGAGGATTCAAGCTCTGACTGCTCAGCTGGTTTCACTGCAGGGTGAGCAGTCAGGGAGCCACTTTCTAGACTGGAGCCTCTCAAATGCCAGAAAGTTGGCGCCTGTACTGTGGCAGAGCCTACCTCCTCCCTAGCCTTTCCTCCTCTCCAGGAAGTTGCTTCAGCTTTTTAAGACAAGATTTATCTGGGTTTTCAGCCTGGAGGTAAAATGCTGGGGAGGGAAGGTGGTGGCAGTAGGGTGAGATGTAGCTTTGCTTACTTGGGGTTGGGGAGCTGCAAGGGGAGTGTGGGAGCCACAGCAGCCCCATCAACCAAGTGCTGCACTGCTTGAAACAGAGAATGGGGGAGTCAAGAGAGGAAGGGAGCTAGTGGAAAAAGACCTTCTAAAGGTAAATTCAATTAGCCTCTTTTTTATTGCTACCCTTTACTGACTGTGCCCATCCTGACTCTATAGCTTCTCTAGGGCTTTCCTAGCAATTGTCTCCTTCTGTCTTTGTAATCACCACCCACTTCCTTACTCCCTCTCTTTCATCCACCAACTGGCTTCCACTCTCTACGCATTTATTAGAAATTGGGTGATGGTATTCATTGACGGTCCTCTATCTGTGCTTGTCTTTGTTATGGGTTTGTTCTCTTACTACCATTTATTGGGTCTTGACAGGGAGAGATGATAAATGCTTGTGTCAGTCCTCTTTTCCTAGTGGATGCTTTTCTACAGATGTCTAAAAATACCTTTCACTTGAATATTCCATTTCTAAGAAAACTATCTATTCTCTGATGTCAGAAGTGAAGGGCAAAGCTGTACTGCTAGCAAAGAATTATCTAAATCAAATATGAGCAGTGACGGTTGTCCAGGGCATGTTTTTGTTATCATTAAATTCACCTCGCTGCTGCTTTTGTTTATGGCTCTAGCAAACGTGGGCTGTAATCCCAGCATTGCTTGGCCCACTGGAGATATTTCAGTTTGCTCTCTGCCTAGTGATCTCTGTCAGCCTGAGACAAAGTTTTCTATCTTTTAAGTAAGTTAATTAAAAATGCTTGTATTTTCCAAATACGTGATCACCAGTTTTGCTTTCTATTTTTATCACTCCATTTTAGAATGGTCAAGAACCTGAGATAGACTCAAATAATTTATGGCAAACACAGCAACACTATAGAGAAGTCATACAACTGTCCTGGAAATTGTGGGAATACCACAAAAAGCTAGAAAACCGTGGTCCCCAAAGCCATACATGTATTTATTTATTTGGAAGCCAGTATGGACTGTGAACAGAAAATCTGCAGGAGAAAAACATAGACTGAAGCCCAGGATTAACTGGAAATCATTGCTTTGGTGGAATCATTTTCTCAGCTTTCTCTTAGCTTTAGTTAAACATACTTGGGACTGTTTCTTTCTGGGTTATTTTCGCATGTGTATTAAAAAGCAGAAAAAAAGTGGTGGTGGTGATGGTGGGGAGACTAATGAGGAATAAATAATGGAAAAATGCTGAAAAAAACCCTCTTTGTTTATAAGTGTATTAGACCTTATAAACTTAAATAATCCACGGATCATTTCCATAGTAGACTATTATGGCTCAGAAGAGCCATTGTGGTAATGTAGCAGCTGATGAGCTTATGCACAGAGTCTGCATACTAAATGCCCTTATGTAGTTGGGAATGAAATATGGGAGCTGAATATGGCCAATCATCATTTTTAAAAATAATGAAGTACCCTACCACCTCACTCTTCCACCAGCGTCCGCCAAAATTGTGAAGAGCTGAGTCAACCTAATGAACAATTTGCCTGAAAATGTAATTGAAAAAAAAAAAAAAAAAAAAACCTCTGTAATTGTAGCGGGAAAAAAAAAACCCAAACTGAATGAAAATAGGGCTCATATTTTGAAGCAAAAACATATTTTTGCATTTGGGGAAAATGGGTAAGCCTGTGCCACATCTCGTTTCAGCAAGTAATGTTAAAGCCTTGGAAATTAAATCATAGACACCCTGGGTTTTAGAGAAGGGATAGAGGTGGGGACCTGGCTTTGCCAAAGCCCTTTGGGCCTAAATAGCAACACCCTGCTTGGCCATGCTGGAGAATAGACTGCCAATTGTGCCAAATTATATGATGCTTTTGAGATGTGCACAAATAGCCCATTACACTTTTCACAGCATTCCTTCATTAAGCCCGCAGAATTGTTTATGTTTTGCTGATAATCGCTTCTGAAAGGTCAAGAATTGCTTACTTGACTTTTTGGTGCCCTTCGGGGAATAATGCTGTTAACCATTTGCAGCTTCTGCTCCTCAGAGCTGACATTTGCTCCAAGGTCTGCCATTGGCCATCAAGACTGGGTCCCCCTCCCCAACGCGCGCACACACACACACACACACACACACACACACACACACCCCTTGGTTGGGGTTAGGGAACATAAGGAGGATCCTGGAATTTCCGCCAGTTGAGATTTTGTCGAACTTTCTGTTACAGTTGATGTTTAGCCCTGATGGCAGTAGGCTCTGGTGGCATTAGGAAAGCAGCAAAGGGCAGTTGTTTTATTATTATTATTTTAATTTCAATAGTTTTTAGGGTACAGGTGGTTTTTGGTTACATGGATAAGTTCTTTAGTGATGATTTCTGAGGTTTTAGTGTACCTGTCACCCAAGCAGTGTACACTGTATCCAATATGTAGTATTTTATTCCTCACCCCCTCCCAATCTTCCCCCCAACCAAGTCCCCAAAGTCCATCATATCATTCTTATGCTTTTGCCTCCTCACAGGTTAACTCCCACTTATAAGTGAGAACATCCAATATTTGGATTTCCATTCCTGAGTTACTTTGCTTAGAAGAGGGTGGTGGTTTTGAGAGGGGGCCCTGGAACAGACAACTTGAGCTCAAACCCAGACCTACTCCTTAGGAGGTAGGTGACCTGCGGTCATCTCAAATCTCAAGGGCTCAGTTTCCATATGCATAAAATGGAAATAATAGTATCACCACTTCAGAAGGTGCTTTCCTGGCGTAGAGTGAGCATTAAAATGTTAACTCAAAACAAAACAAGTAGCCTTGGAAACCTGCCAAGGGTGGGCCTTGACCGGCAACATTGCATTATATACACTTTTCCATTGTGTGTGTGGCTCCAGTGAGCCAGCCCAGTGGCTCACTCCCAGCCCTCACTCAGGTTTGTAAGGAACCAGTAACACTTATCAAACATCTCTTATGTGCCAAGGGCTTGCATATATTTCTCACTTAATTCTTTACACATTTCTGTAAAATATGTTGTTTCTGTATTATACATGAAGAAATTGATGCTCAGGACTAACGATAATGTCTACTCTCTTAGTTCATTTTCTGTTTCTTATAACAGAATATCAGAAACTAGGTAATTTATGAAGAAGACATTTATGTTTTACAGTTATGGAGGCTGCAAAGTCCAAGATCAAGGGGCCCCATCTAGTAGGGACTCTATGAAAAGTCCAAAGGTAGCTCAAGGCATTACATGGTGAGGGGCTGAGTGTGCTTGCTCAGGTCTCTCTTCCTCTTCTTGCAAAGCACCAGTCCCACTCCCATGATAACCCATTAATCCATTAATCTCTCAATACTGCCACACTGGGGGTTAAATTTCAACATGAGTTTTGGAGGGAACGAATATTCAAACCATAGCAGCTACCATTTGCTGAGTGTTTATTGTGTACCAGGCACTATCTTAGGCAATATGATTTATTTTCTTGTCAGTCAGCATTTCAGTTGTTTCCAGTTTTTTGCTATTATGGGGAGTACTCCATAGACCTTCTTGAACATTGTCTTCATGGGCACGTGAACAAGATTTTCTCTTGGGAATATGCTCAGGAGTAAAACTGCTGAGTAGAAGGTATGTGAATGTTCAACTTTACCAGCAATGCAAAATTATTTTCCAAAGTGACTGTAATAATTTATCCTCCCGCCAGAACATATAAGCCTACTCATTGAGCCACATCCTATCCTACATTTGGTTCTTATTTTTACTAAGCTCATGGATACAAAATAGCATTTTGGCTTGATGTGTATTTCTCTGATTACTAACAAGGTGAATAATCTCTTTTTATATTAATTGGCCACATGTGTCTCTTTTTCTGTGAGATGTCTGTTCATGTCTTTTACCCAATTTCCTATCGAATTGTTTACTTTATCTTGTCGGTTTGTAGGAGTCCTCATATTTTGTATACTAATCTGTAGGTTGTTATATAATTGCAAATATCTTCTTCCTGCATGTGACTTGGTTTTTTTTTACTTTCTTTAAAGTATTCTTAGCATAAGTTCTTGGTTTTAATTGCGTTGACTTATCAATCTCCTCTTTAACAATTAGCACTCTTTGTATCTTGTTTAACAAATTTCTCTCAATCTCCTTTAATTTCTTTTGAAAGTTTAAATTTAAAGTTTTGTTTGTGACACTTAAGTCCTTTATATATCTATAATTGACTTTTGAATATGATTTGAGGTAGGGGTCCAATATAATATTTTTCTGTGTAATATTTTTCTATGATGGAAGGCTGTTTTTGCCAGATCATCTATTGAATTTCCTCTCCCTGTCCTCCACCTAACCCTGCCCCAGCACACACTGCTGCTATTACCTGTCATGTATCAAATATTCATATGTATTTCTGGGTTCTCCCTTCTGTTCCATTGGTCAGTTTGTCTGTCCTTAAACCAATACACACGACTACTATGGTTTTATAATGTTTCCTTATCTTGTAGCACAATTCCCACTCTTTTCCTTCTGCTTATAAAAGTAACAAATATCCATTTTAGAGAATTGAAAAAGTCGGCCAGGCGTGGTGGCTCACGCCTGTAATCCCAGCACTTTGGGAGGCTGAGGCAGGTGGATCACCTGAGGTCAGGAGTTCGACACCAGCCTGGCCAACATGGCAAAACCCCATCTCTACTAAAAATACAAAAATTAGCCGGGTGTGGTGGCATGCACCTGTAGTCCCAGCTACTTGGGAGGCTGAAGCAGGACAATCACTTGAACCTGAGAGGTGGAGGTTGCAGTGAGCTGAGATCGTGCCACTGTACTCCAGCCTGGGTGACAGAGCGATACTCCGTCTCAGAAAAAAAAATAAAATAAAATAAGAAAGAGAATTGAAAAAGTCTACAAAATTCCACAGCAATAAAATTTCTTCTAATCTCATCATTTGAGTACAACAACAGTTAAAATTTGGATGTATATTTTTCTAGAATGTACAAATACATAGTCACATGAAAACACACACACACACACACACACACACACACACACACACACATGCATTTAAGTATAGACATATTCATGCTTTAACAAATTTAAAATAAGTATTGATTGTTTTCTCTATGCAAGGCTGTATGTCTAAGGCTTTATTGTTGCCAAAGATGAGAGATAATATTTAGGAAATATGATCATGCTTAAGATACTAATAATAGAAGGAAATTTGTTTTCAATTTGGCAGCTAATATAATTCCTATTTGGATACCTTATTCCAGAAAGGCATTTATTTTGTATCCCTAAGCTTTATTACTGACCTAAACTAAGAAAATAAATATCTCTGTATTCCTAAAGTAACACACTTATCTTCCAAGCAAACCGCTATCAGCTTGTTTAATAAAACAAAACACTGTGTATTACATTTTAAAGGAGCTATACCTTAGCCTTCAAATAAGATTTGTGTTTCGGTCCTCAGTTGGCTGCTTATTAACTTTATGACCTTGGACAAGTCCTAGAACTTCTCGGAGTCTCAGTTTCTTCATCTTTAAAAATGAAGAGAATATCTACCTTGCGGAGTTGCCAGGAGTGTTAATGTATTTTTTAAAAGCCTCATGAAATGCTTGCCAATATTTGCTTTTGCATTTTTAATTAGCTTTTGTTTTATTGTAAAAGTAATATGAGCTTTTCTTGTAAACTTTTTGGATCAGTACAGAAGGGTACACAGTAAAAAGTGAAAATTCCCTTCCCTCCACATGTACCCCATCCTTCCCCCGAAATCAGTCTCACTCTCCTGAAGAAAATACATCAAATTCTCAGGATATGTTATTACTAAGGACATTCTAAAATTCTATGACAGGCAAAACTCCTTGAGATATAAACATAACCTAACAAGTAAGCTAAAATGCCAGAACATTTTATTTCTTTGATGGCTTTTATTTTTAAGTTTCTCTATTTGCAGGCATTTTAGGAAAAAAAAATTGAAAATAGAAACTTACAAATTAAGACATGGGAGAAGGTGTCAGGAATCGCCTCTAATTTAAAATCACAGTTCATATCTCCTTGCAGCGGCAGTGGGAGAGCAGAGCAGGAGCCACGATGGCGGGGGCCATGGCAGGACAAGCATTTAGAACGTTTCTCTGCTCCTTGACTGAGTATTGGTTGAAAGGCATGCACCCGAAACCCTGCACTCAAAGCCATGACATGAGGTTGGTGCAAAAGTAATTGCTGTTTTTGCTATTGAAAGTAATACTTCCAGAAAAATCTTGGCCGGGTGCGGTGGCTCATGCCTGTAAACCCAACACTTTGGGAGGCTGAGGTGGGTGGATCACCTGAGGTCACGAGTTTGAGACCAGCCTGACCAACATGGAGAAACCCTGTCTCTACTAAAAATACAAAATTAGCCGGGCATGGTGGCGCATGCCTGTAATCCCAGCTACTCGGGAGGCTGAGGCAGAAGAATTGCTTGAACCCAGGAGGCGGAGGTTGTGGTGAGCCGAGATCGCGCCATTGCCCTCCAGCCTGGGCAACAAGAGTGAAACTCCGTCTCAAAAAAAAAATTATTATAATGGTAATTCATACTTATGGAAATGTCTAACACTTGTTAGGTGTATAAAGTAAAAAAATGAAATTCCTTTCTTTCACTCCCTCAATTTTACTCCCCAGAAATTATCGCTGTGAACAGTTTTGATTGATGTCTTTCTTATTTCTTACCCACAAGACTTCAAGATGCCTCAGCTTAATTGCTTGGTTTCATTCCTTTTGTGATATAATATTTATTTTGCTTTGGTTTGCTTGGTGTTGCATCCATCCATCCACTTATTTCTTGATTAGGCACTTACTAGATCATCTGCTCTGGGCCAGGGGCTAAGCAAGGTGCTGGAGACTCTTGACATGTCAGACTTGGTCCTTGCCTTCACCCCTAACCATAAATATAATATTAAGTGCTTTCAGTATAGTCAGTTGTACAGGATGCTATGGGACAGTTAAGGAGGGACACCTAACTTAGGGAATCTGGGAAAGCTTCCTGGATGAAGTTTCCTAAGTTGAGAACTGAAAGCTGAGCAGGCATTAGGCTGGTGCAACAGCCAGAGCTGTGAGACAATAGTGCACTGGGGAATGATGAGAAACTGGAATGAAGAGGACAGCTGTATAGGAGCTGGGCCTGAGGATGTTGGAGAGAGAACAAGTTGAACATAGAAAGGGGTTCAGTCATGAAGGACTTTGTAAGGTGTGCTAAGAAGTACACACAATGAAGGAAGATGGACCTCATGAAAGGATTGCAAGTAGGAGAGTGACATTGCTATTTTGGCATTTGAGAAGATCCCATCTGGCTATAGTGGGGAGGAAGAATTGGAGAAGGTAAATGAGGAGACAGGGGCAATAGGAGCCCTTGTAGTAGTAATCTAAGTGAGTAAGGATGGTGGTCTGAATTACGGCAGTGACAGAGCTGGTGGGAGAAATAGATGGATTCAGGAGTAGAAGTCTTCTTTATGCAAAGGTCACTGAGAGTGAAGCCATTTAATACAGGGGCCACTTGTTCAAGTAAATAGTGGGACAAAAGACTTGATTAGAACTCAGCTTAAAAAATTAAACTAAATTAGTTTTTAACCCCTATTTTAATATTATCAATAATTATATAGGTTATAATTACAATTATTAACTAATGTTGAAGATGAAGAATGAATAGGAGTTTGGGAGGTATAATCTTTCAACACAAATTTTATGGTAGTATGATAATGGCATCTTTCACTTAATGTTTAAGTTTAGCAGCAAGTTCATAATAAAGGTCATTTTGAGAAAAAAATCAGTATTGGTCAATTTTCCCGTGTTTCTTCCTTCAGTATACACATCATTTTCTTGCTAAGCGCTATTATGTCATCCCCTTTATGAGTTTTTTTTTTTCTTTTTCAGCTGTTAACTAGTTTAACTAGGCAGTACTGTCATTTGTCAAAAGCTTTGCTTGTATTTAGAGCATTTCTCCCAGATCACTTCGATTGGCTTTATGAAACTCTGTATCCTTTAAAAGATTTGCACTTGTCTTAGCAGTTGATTTGCTTTAGATTTGTAGTGTAATATAGGTAATTTGTAATTATAATTTGTAATTGGCAAGGAATTTTAAAGTCAGGGGTAATATTGTAAGTGGTAAGTTCATTGGTAAATATTTTGCTGTTATGATGACTTTTGCTTCTCTTTGTAACCTGTTGTCTACAGGGACTTGGATAACAAATACTTGGATAATGAAAACATCCAATAATTAATGTGCCACCTACTCACCAGGATCATGGCCCAACAGGGAAATGTGGAACAAAGCTCTCCTCAAGGGGAAAGAAAATGGGTAAGGTCTTCGTCTTCTAGGACTAAATCCTTTGTGTACATCAAAGATACAACAGAGGAGAACATGAAATGCCTTCTTCAAATTTCTCTTCCGTGCTTGCATAGCTGAAGATATTTTCTCAGTAGTGCTCACATCAAAGGCTATGGATTTGCTGGAAAAATCTCTGTCACTTTCTGGAAGGAAGCCCATATCTCATTACTAATAAGAGAGCATCCTCTTACCTACTGATGTTTTCTAATGAAAGGAAAAAAAAGAAAACCTTTTCCCACTTCCTCCATGGCAACATAGTGTTCTCTCCACCCACTCCCCAGTCCTCTATAACCATCCCTAACCCAAAGGATCTAGGAAGATTCTGATTTATGTTATTGTTTTCATCCTCATGAAGATTTAATGTACTGGGTTCAGTGCACTGATCTTGAATTTACATCATTGTTAAAATCTTTTGATTAATGACTCATTGATTGAATAGCCAGCTATCTAATTCCCTCCCTTCTTTTCTTTCTTCCCGGTTTTCTTTAATAAGTATGTACCGTGTGCCACTGCATGGCAGGCACTAGGCTGGGGGCTGGGGCTGTAACCCAAACATCATCCCAATACAGTGGGAAGCATCACAGGAGAGTGACTGGATCTGATTTATGATGATTGAGAATATTTTCCTCATTATGAATCTGTATTCCTGCCCTGTAAGGCATGACTTGTAAATAAGTACTGGTTTTCATAGAAAAGCCTAAGGAATGCTAACCCTAGCTAGACATTTTATTACATCTTTGCTGTTTGGCTTCTCACTCACTGTCCTTTGTTTGGTGGGAATCTTTGTGAGCAGCAGCAGTTCCCAGGAGTAGAAGCTCAGATTGAAGTCACAGAACTGACTCTGAAGCCATCTCCTTTGTGTATGGTCCCAAGAGCTTCAAGGTACACAGGGCCTAGTGTAAGCCTGGGGAAAGCTCAGGGGATTTTAGATCACACCTCCCCAGCATTCCATTTTCCAAAAGCAACACTCAGATCTTTTCGACTCAGATCCCCAACACTCAGATCTTTTCCACCCTCTCTCCTGCCCACCATTTCTTCTCTTAGGTGTGCCAGCTTGGCTTTTTCTGCTCCTGAATGTTTTCCTTCTTCCCACACATATATTTATATTTCTTTAGAGAAGCAATTCAGCTCTAACCTGGAAACTCCACTCCTGCATTCCCACACCCAACATTTAACAACGTGATCTTCAAGTAGGTAAAACAAAAACAACCATTGCACTATACACAATGACCCTGTAGATAGCCAACAAAAGAGACTCCAGTTTGCAACTGTGGCTCCAGTGCCTTCTCTGCATTAATTCATTTACTGATATTGTGTATTGGTGTGACTTCCTCTACAAGCAGAACCTGACACAGGGTTTAGGAGTAGGAAGTTTCTTTGGGCAGAGGTGATTTTAGGAAGCAGGAGTGAGGAAGTGGAGAAGAGAGAGACTGGGAAGGAGAAAAAGCCTCTAAAGTTACATTAGTGAGCTGGTTCTTTTTGTGGACACTGGGGCTCAATCGTGAGGGGATCCTCTCAGGAACCATGTAGAATGCCTCTTGAATGGTTCTTCTGAATGATGGAAGGATGGAATATTTATCTACCTACTCACGTCCCCTTCTGATTGAAGGTTGCTCTCAGGGATGGTCACACCACTCTTTTGTGCTGCTTGGCCAGAGTCTGAGCAAACTCCCCCAAGGGCAATCTCTGGGCAGGAGGGAAGCTGTCAGCAGGCACAGGAGCTGTCCACCACAGCTGCAGCTGAAATCAGAGGCAAGCAGAGGAAATGCAGCGTTGGGCACCAAGAGTGGTGGCCTCAAATAGCATTCGCCACAGTTGTATTGTATTTATTCATTCTTCCTTGGTCTCCTTCATCAACTAATAAATTCCACAAGGACAAGGGCAGTGTCTCCATCTTTGTTTCCCCAGTGACCAACACAGTGCCAGATTCATGGGGGCCATTCAGGTTTTATTTGTTGAATGAATGAACTAACAAAAGATCAGTGGACTGAAACTAGAAGTCTGAGTTTTGGTCCTAGGTGGGTCACAAATTTTGGTGTGACCTTGGATATGTCAAAACCTTGCTTGCAGGGGGGCTGGTTACTTATTAACTTACAAATTCCTATTAAAAATATAAACATCCAAGCATCATGGGAGAAAATTCCCTGTCAGTGATTGACCTTAGAATAAGATAATATTCTCTAACTTCATGGCTTTCTCTAATTCTAGGCTTAGGTCCTTCTGAGGTGTAAAGATGAACACTGTTGAGATAGAAAGAGTGTGCTACAAACTTGGTTACCTGAAAAATGTTTCATTTTATGCAGGATACACGGCTTGGAAAACCTTCACTAACACTCCCATATGAAGAGTGATAGAATGCTAATTTCCCACAGATTCATTATCACCATGAAATGAAATTTTGGAACACATCACAGGTAAATGTAATGTGCAAATGTAGAATTCAACAATTCAAGTTTTAGCTGCCTCATGTTTTTACACCTCTGTCAACAGGACCCTCATTAAATTTTTTTTTCCTATGATTGTAGTTGAAAGGAAAACTGAAGAAAATATTATTCTGGATAGAAAGATGTCCTTTCCATCTAACCTTTTATGAAGGGAGCCCAACTGTGTATGTGTGTATATATATATATATACTCCTAGTTTTTTTTTTATCTGATTACAAATATTTACTGTACCTAGGGACTGTGCTACATCCTGGAGATACAATTGTGAAGTACTCATACTCAGTCCCTTTTCTGGTGGAGCTTGTAATCTAGTGGAGGAGGACTACACTAACTTTTTTTTAAATGAGTATAAAATTACATTCTAAAATAAGTGCTTCTGGGAAGAAAATTGGTTTTATTAGAGCCAAATACTATGAAAATATTATGTTCTGGGAGGTAAAAGAAGGTTTACCTCCCAAAGTGGGATTTGAGTAGAAAACTATAGAATAAGTAGCTAGGGTAAGTAAAAGCAAGGGCAGCATGTGCAAAGGCTCAGTGGCAAAAACAAGAGGAAGTCTTGCAAGAGCTGAAAGAAGGGCAGAGGAGCTGGCTTGCCCAGGGCAAGGAGGGGTGTGGTGCCAGTGATGCTGCAGAGAAGAGCACAGACAGACTAGGCAGGCCTTGAGAGGAGGCTGAGGGTTCTGGCCTAAGAACCCTGGGAAGTCATTGAACAGTTTCAGCAGAGCCTGGTGACCCGGTCAGGTCTTTGTATTTTATAAGAGGGCCTTTGTTTTCACATCTTCTTATATTTTCCATAATTATATGATCAATTCGAGCAATAGTATTTGTTTTCCTTGAATTATCCTGATAATTGCAGACATACACA
This sequence comes from Homo sapiens, assembly GCF_000001405.40. Classification (NCBI taxonomy): domain Eukaryota; kingdom Metazoa; phylum Chordata; class Mammalia; order Primates; family Hominidae; genus Homo; species Homo sapiens. The sequence continues at coordinate 61,314,476 of NC_000003.12, read as the reverse complement.
TACACATATATATATTGTTTTTTCTGAAAGATGTTAGTCCAGTTTGCTCCAGAATTATCATTATCTTTCACTCTCATTTGGATAACAGAATTATCAATATATTTCATTCTCATTTGGATACTTCTGGGCACTGACTCTATTTAGCTAAGAACTAAATTAACTCTGTCCTGGGCTATGATGGGGAATGAACAGAGAACCCTATCCCTGTGTATTAAATGTGCAGGTGAAATTGCCCTTCTCTGTTGGAAACAGTGAGAGTAACAGCCATTCCATCACCAAGATGGGTTCAAATTGAGTTGTCTGGTGGCATCTGCAGGGCCTCTGTAAACTATGTCTATAATCCAAATTTCTTAGCATTTCCAAAAAATGGATTAAGTTGCTTTGACAGGCTCTGTTTTTTATGAACCTCTTTGGCTATGACTTACTATGTTATTTTTCTGAAGATGCTCATGGACTGATTTATGATTTCATTTAGAGTTTTGACTGGTAGTTTGGATGCGCTAACTAGCCCACCTTTTCCTGTATCTGCTTTTGGCTGCTTTAGCTCCAACACTAAATCAGCCTGCTTAAATTTCCCTGGTACATAACTCTCTATGACAAACACTAGTATTGCAGGTATGTCCTGCCTTAGCTGGTTCTTTGAATTTGTTCAAATGAATCTCACCCAGCTGTACTGATTTATAAATATTTAAATTGTATAAGTATTCTTTTACCTGCCTCTTATTAATTCTGTTTCTTGATATTCCCAGAGACTCATTAATATTTATCTTACTGAGCTCCTGCTTCCTTCGTTCTTTGTGCTAAAGGCTGAGACAAAATAGTAGCTCCATAGTCATTCTTCTTTGCATCTTTCATTATTTTCTCTCACCCCTGACTTAGCAAAAGTAGCCTTTGTTTTCTTGGGCGTATCATCCTATTTTATTTTTGGAAGCCTTTGCGGTAACTTCTTGCTTCTTCTGCTTCTCTAATTCTGCCCTTTCAGCCACTATCTCTTGGAGCTATATTTTCTTCATATAATATTCTTGTCCTAAAACTCTACACAATTGGATTTTTGCTTTTTTTCCCCTTCAAAAAGGAAATATTCATGATTTAAGCCTTGTATGTGTGTGATTATATAACAGCACCCAGCAACCACTTATGTGTTCTTTTTTTAGAGGCTATACTTGAATGCCCACACCCATGTTCTTTCTTTCGGTAGAAGACCCAGGGTAGTAACCATTCAGTTCTTGAAAGATGGTCTGGATGCAGAACATCACCAGAACATTGATCTGAAACAAACAACAAATGAATGTAAAAGCAAGACAAAGGACTTCCAATAACAACAAAATATTAGTAATAAAAAGATTCCTGGAAGAGTCCAGGAATCTGCCTCATCAGAAACACACTGGGATTTTTTCTGCTTGTTTGTTTGTTTGTTTTTTGTAGAGATGGAGGTTTCACTCTGTTGCCTAGGCTGGTCTTGAACTCCTGGCCTCAAGCAATCCTCCCACTTCTGCCTCCCAATACACTGGGATTACAGGCTTGAGCCACCGTGCCCAGCTCACACTGGAAATTCTAATGTGTTTTCAAAAGAAAACATACTGTATACTATACACAAACACACACACACACACACACACTGAGAGAGAGAGAAAGAAAGAAAAGAGTGTGTACAGTATCATTGCATTTATTCAAAGTTCAAGAATAGGCAAAACGAAATTATAGTGACAGAGGTCAGAAGAGTGGTTCCCTCCGGGGATGAGTATTTACTGCAAGCAGCCTGAAGATGCTGGAAATGCTTTACATCTTAGTCAAGGTGGTGGGTACATGGGAGTGTACATATGTGTATATATACAGGTTCATCAAGCTGTGCCTTGTGATTAGTGCACTTTAAAAATGTAACACTTGGGAGGCTGAGGCAGGTGGATTGCCTGAGCTCAGGAGTTTGAGACCAGCCTGGGCAACATGGTGAAACCCCATCTCTACTAAAATACAGAAAATTAGTTGGGCGTGGCAATGTGCGCCTGTAATCCCAGCTACTTGGGAGGCTAAGACAGGAGAATCGCTTGAACCCGGGAGGTTGCAGTGAACTGAAATCGCGCCATTGCACTCCAGCCTGGGTGACAGTGTGAGATTCTGTCTCAAAAAAAAAAAAAAAGTAACTCATTTACTGCATGTATTATACCTCAGTTAAAAAGTAAACCAAAGGAAAATGCAATCAATGTGTCTACAAAGTCAGTTGCTAGAAGTGGTAAACATTTCAATAGCTATGGACTATGTCTGAAGCTATCTGAAATGTTATCATTTTTAAAATTTGGTACCTACCTGCATACATTTACGTTATTGGACAAACTTACCTGCTCAGTAGGCTGGTGGCATGAGAATGATTGTGACTTCCATTTCTTGAGTAGCTACAGTGTGGTAGGCATTGTACCCACACTTTGTCATCTCCATGCAGAGATGTTATTATTTCCATTTTCCAGATGAGGGCATGAACCAGAAAGATCTCAAGTATCTCAAAGAATATACAGCTAAAGAGAAGAAATTAGAGATGTAAACTCAGGTTTTGAAAACACCGAAGTCTATTATATACTTTCTTCCTCTCTATGGGGTTCCCAGGAACCCTACATGATTATGTGTTAGTATTTTTACTAGTCTTTTTACTGTAGGCAAGGTATTGTGCTGTGTGTAGCTCTCAAATATTCCTATCTCTTTTTTTAAAGAAATAAATGGATATAGATACATTGAAATGAGTTACAAATAATATTGTCTGGCTCGATCTCAAAAGCATACCTAATTTGACCAGCACAGGAAATCTGTGAGCTAAAAAAGATGTTTATTTGCCCCATTTTACAGATAAGGACTCTGAGACTCCAAAAGGTTAAGAGTGGATAGCTAGTAAATTTCAACCTCCGGCAAGCTGACTTCACAGCTCACACACTTTACTAGTCCATATACTGTGTGTTAATGATTTTTGAAGGATGTAACTGAAAGAAGAATTAGATTGATCAGTTTTTTAAAATACGAAAAGAGTTTACAAAAAAAATAGACCTGAATAAAGGGAATATTTGTCAGATTTATATCCATTACTAAGATGAATTTGAGAAACTATACTAGTTTATTGGATCTTTTCTGCTGTTTTGAAAGCTTATGAGTTGATGAGTTCAGTGACTGTGTGGTTTTAGACATTTTGAAAGAGGCCATGCAATGGCTGCAATGCTTACACATGTGGTTGAAAGCTGAGGTTCTGGGCTCTGTCCGTCATCTGTCTATAGACTTGTCATCTGAGATGACAGGTCTAAGATATCTAGTCCTCTTTCTTGCTTGCTTGCTTTCATGACTATTTCTGGCACTTCTGTAGCTGTCTTGGATAATTTCACTCTAGTTCTGTTATTTTAAAGGTATTTTCTTATGTGTAATAAAATCTATCTATGTATTTCGGGTCAAATATTATCTCTATGGAGATGACTCTTATTTGGATGCTTTTGATCCTAAAAGAATTTTTGTAAAATTTCATACACTATCAGATTATCATATTTCCTTGTTACCCGAATCTTTATTTTTTTCCGTTTCCCTCCCATCAGATTTGAATCCTTTAATCAAAAAAGACTTCCCATCCCCACTTTTTATTACTAAGAATAGCACGATGATCAATCTTATATTTTTCACCTGGATTTGTCAATTGTTAACATTTACCACATTTGCTTTTTTAATCTATTTATAGTGTGTGTATGTGTATGTATGAATGTATATGTATGTTTTAAACCATTTGAAAATTAATTGCAGACATTGTAGCAAATATTTCAGCAATCACCTTCTAAGAACAAGGAAATTACCCTGCATAATCACAGTACACTGATTATATTTGAGCGTCTAACCTTAAGATCATTATCTAATATACTGCTCATATTCAAATTTCTCCAATTGTCCCAATAATATCCTTAGACTGCTTTTTTATTCACTCCAGAATTCAGTTGAGGATACCACATTTTATTTAGTTATCGTGTCTTTTTAGTTTCCTTTAATCTAGAACAGTTTCTCAGAATTGTTAATGTTTCATGAATAAAGATCTTTGTTTTAAACACTTTCATTGAGTTCCAAGGATGGTTCTAGTTATGACCACTCATCAAATACCTGATTTGTTTCATAAATTATTCCAGTTTAGTCCTGCAAAAGTAAAATACTAAAATAATTCTTATGCACTTTGGAAAATATGTAAATAACTTTAAAATACATGTTAGGACTTCAGTGATTCTCTACTGTTCATCCAGTAGACATGTTAGTTAGACTCGAAGGACACAGAGATGAGAGAGCTTCCATCTGAAAATCTCTCTCAGTTTTTGATGATTTTGGAGTTTTGTACCATCCTGCGATTTAGAAAGAAAGCAAAGTTTCCACCAGTCTCTTTATTGTGACAGTCTGCTAAACTAACAGAAATCAGAGACACCACAAATGGCATGCTGAGGAGGAAAACAAGTTGAAATGCAAAGCGTGACTAATAATAAAATGTTATTTTCCCAAAAGTGACCGTTGTGAATGCTTCTATCTCCATCATATACAATTTCTTTTGATACCAGGCTGAGCCTTCTGAGGAAGCAACTGGGGCTTCCTTGCAAAGCAAGAAAATTAGCAATTGTTCAATGACTAAAAGGACAGTTTTGTGAGAAGTTGCCATAACGACATGATGAGGCTGTGTGTCTTAATTTCAGTCACTTTGAATTGGGCTCGATGTTGTGTTTTAAAATATGAGTCAATATTTTAGGGGCTTTGAAGAAAAGATGTAAATGTGAATTGTATGGACTGAGTCTTCTTCTGAATGCAAGTCTATCAGTAGGAGAGTTTCCAATTGACTCTCCTAATTTCTGCAGCAAACAAATATTTTTCTCTCAAGTGGAGCTTAAATGCTGTTTCTGGAAATCTACTTGTTCTGCACAGAGAATTTGATAAGCTATCAGGTTACACATTGCCATTAAACAACTCAATATTAAGTCTTTCATTCACTAACATATTAGTAGGAAATCCGAGCGTATATTCCCCAAATGTCAAAGGCAATGTCAGCCATGAGCATTTTGAAGATGCATAATTTTATTGGCTAAAATAGAAAACCACCTATATGATATTTTTATTCTTGCTGTTTTGAGGAAAATATTGTAATAGGTAATATTTATTGAGTGCTTTGTGTTACACTATATGATTGACATCTTTTATGTGCATTCTTTAATTGAATCTCCATGGAAAACCTAGGAGGTAGGAATTTACATTATCATCTTCATTTACAGATGAGAACCCTGAAACTCAGAAAGGTTAAATAACACATTCAGTAAGTGTTGGCGTTGGGATCCAGTCTCAGAGCCTCTTGTGCTGGAATCCAGTGCAGATTCTGATTCAGTGGATGTAGATGGAGCCTGAGATTATACTGTTCTAATAATCTCCCGAGAGATGCTGCTGTTGCTGATCCAGCGACCATACTTTTGAGTAGCAAGGGTCCAATTCACTATATAATGGTTCTCAAACTTGAGTATTATATGGGCTGTTTGTACAGGAAAAACTGGGTGAACTGCTTGAAATACATCTGAAGACTTTAATTGCAGAAACAACAGTGATGATGTAGTTTAACATAATTAGACTCTTTTTCAACTAGAAAATATCAGCAGAAGTTTTCTTGTTATGACCGTTAAATTTTTTTTAAGATTATAATTTAAGTGACAATAATAAAACACTTGTACAACTCATGAAAGGCAATGCACAGTCTATAAAGTCTTGGGGGGTCTATGAAACCCAAACTGAGGAACAGTATACTACCCTATGTTACATAGCAGTTTGTAAATCAGTTGCATTGAATCATCACACTTATGAAATAGCTATTCTCCAAGTTTTGCTGGTTGTTGCTGCGTTGATGAAAAGAAAGGCTATTACTTGGAAATTTTTCCATTAATCATGATTCTTTCCAAGCAGTTATTTTGGATTACTTGCAAAACAAATTTATACAGTCGTTATTATGTATACTTCCTTTCATGAAAATATAAATAGATACCACTACAGACTGGACTAGAAGGCAAGCTTTTCTATTTTGGATAGTCTCTGTAGAATGCACTATTCCCATAAAATTCTAAGAAGGAAATAATCCTGCCCTCAATTGATCTTTTAGGTTAGTGGTGTTGAAGCTCTCTAAATGAAGGAAATAGATTTGTCACTGACAGAATGATTGTTATGCAAACATGTCGTTGATATTTAAACCTAAGTGATTGGTTCATTCAGTGAAAATGTTTACTTGAGCAAAATAAGCCAGAGAAGGCAAGAGGAAGGGGCCTTGAGCTGTTGTAGAAGTGTAGGTGTTACAAGTTTTTTCACCAATGCCCATCTTGAAGCAGTGTAGTATTTTGGTTAAAAGATTGGTTCTGAAGTCAGACAGATCTAGATTTGAATTTTGATTCTGACAATGATCAGCTGTGTGGCCTTGGGCAAGTCACACTGGCCTCACTGACCTCTTTGGAAAAGAAAGAGTAAGAGTTCCCTAGCAGACACAGTCAGTGCCTCTCCAGACCATGTGGATCTCTTAAAATTGTCATAAATGCCAGCTGCTGATGCACTTTCTCTCCCACTAGCACTTAACCAATGATAGGTGTGGGTTAAATACTCTGGCTCCCTTTCCTGATCACGACAACTTGGAGGTGTGCTACATGCACACTCTTATGTGCATCAGAGTCCTAGCGGGACTTGTTAAAATACAGGGTGCTGGGCTCCACCCCAGAGTTTCTCATTCATTAAGTCTGGGGTAGGCACCTGAGAATTTGCCCTTCTGGCAAATTCCCAGGTAATGCTGATGCTGCTGGTCTGGGGACCACACTTTGAGAATCACTGCCTACACTGTCTCCAGAGTTCCCTGAGGGACTGAGCAGTTTCCCTAGGTAAGACTTTGCTTGTAAGGCACCCTTTCTTGGCTTCCTTTCCTTCCCTTCCCCAGCGTACTTTCTTGCTTCCTTCCCCACCACCACCAGTCATGGGAACACTTCCTAACACTTGCAACCGAATTCTTAGTTTGGGAACCCAAACTAAAATAAGGGCTCCCCTCAGAGAGGTGTTCTGAAGATAAAATAAGTTAGCTCCCAGTATCAAAACTTACTCCCCTCATCTTTGAAAATCATCAATCTTTTTGACCTCCCCACTATCCAAGATGATTTTACTATATTTCACATAGTAAAATATGAATAAAAAACCAAATTTGGTTTATATATGGTTTATAAACCATATATGAATATAGTTTATATGGTTTATAAACCATATATGAATATGGTTGTTTATATTATAGAATAATATGTAATTTATACTCCTCCAAATAAAAACATTATATATAGTATATGTACAGATACGTGTATATATATATGCATATACATATATACACATAAGTGTGTGCATGTGTGTGTGCATGTTTATTTCAAACTATTGCTCCTGTAGATGTAATATCTCTTCCCTGGAGTCTCCAATCCCAGCCCCTTGGAAATCAGTAAGGCAGAGTTCTTTGGGTCTAGCAGGAAGAATGCTGCCTTCATAATTATGTTGGGGAGTATGCCTGGACAGGGAATAATGTTTAGCTGGAAGGGTGTTTGCTGGAAGGGTGTTTACCTGAATGCTGGAATACAAGGTAGGTCATTGTTGCTGTTTCTCCAGTGGTAGGAAAACTGGGACATTAAAAGACATAGTGAGGTTGGGAACTTCTGGATCTTTGTAGCTTGGACAGTATATTATGTGGAACCATCTTTGAACACTTAGTACTTATTTGTTTGTTAATAACTGCATATTGAGGCAATATTTTGTAATAGGTAAAAGCATGGGTTCTTCACTATGACTCAATAGCAAAAAACCCCCCAAAAAACAGATTTAAAAATGGCCAAAGGACTTGAGTAGATATTTCTCCAAAGAAGACCTGCAAAAGTTATGTGAAAATACGTTCAATGCCATGAATCATCAGAAAAATGGAAATCAAAACCACAATGAGATATCACCTCACACCACTTAGGATGGTTATTATGAAAAAGCCAAAAGACATGCATTGGTGAGAATGTGAAGAAATTGGAATCCTTGCACACTGTTGGTGGGAATGCAAAATGGTGTAGCTGCTCTGGAAAACACTATGAAACTTCCTCAAAAATGTAAAAATAAAATTACCATATGATCCAGCAATCCCACTTCTGGGTGTTGAAATCAGGATCTCAAAGATATATCAGTACTTGATGTTCATTGCAGCACTATTCACAATAGCTACAATATGGCAACAACCTAACTGTCCATCAACAGACAAATAGATTTTTTTAAATGTGGTATATATACATATAGTGGAATATTATTCAGCCTTCAAAAAGAAAGAAATCCTGCCATGTGTGATAACATGGATAACCTTGGAGGACATTATGCTAAGTGAAATAATCTAGTCACAGAAGGATAAATAATGCATGATTTTACTCATAGGAGGTATGTAAAATAGTCAAATTTGTGGAAGTAGAGTGGAATTGTGATTGCCAGAGAGCTGGGGAGAAGTAGAAACAGTGAGTTGCTAATCAACGGGTATAAAGTTTTACTTATGCAAGATGAATAAGTTCTGGAGATTTGCTGTACAATACTACCTATAGATAGTAATATTGCATTGTGCACTTTAAAATCTGTCTTACCATAATAAAATTTTATTTAAAAATCATGGGCTCTGGAGTCAGATTGCCTGAGTTTCAATCCTGCCTTTACCATAAACATGAGCAAGTTAAAAACCATTCTAAGTCTCTATTTCCTCTTCTGTAAAATGAAGATAACACCAATCCTCTTATCTGTAAAATGACAAAATAAGAAGTTGTTTTTTTTCCTGTTTTTCACCTCACTGATCCACATAAAGAGGTCAGTGCATTCCCTGGCAGAGAGTGAGAACTCCATAACGATAGCACTATTTTCAGTTTTGTTATTTTCATCATTATTATTGTTGGTTAATAACACTAGTTAACAGCACTAGTTGAGTGCCAATCATTAGACAGTGTGATGGCCATAAAGATGAACCGTAAGTCCTAGTACTAGGATGAATTTATAAATCCTAGGGAATTGACATGTAATTTGAGTAGTCAGGCTAAAGAAACTGCTGGATAGGGCCACATGTGAATCCTGCCCTGAGGCTCCAAATTGGTGCCCCATGTTCGACAGGTGTGTGGATGTGATGTTGGCATCCACACACCCTAGCATAACTTTGCATGGATGTGCTCTATGCAAAACAATATTTGCTAACTCATCAGGCTTCACTGGATGATAAATCCATCACCAGTTGAGAGCTTTACACTTGTTTGCAATTTGTAAACTGCTGTAGCAGTTATGACTCTCTACCTATAATCTCACAGTCAGAAGAATAATTGCCTTTGTTAGTTTTCTTAAATCTTTCCTTAAGTTTTCTCATCCTGCAAGGGTGGGTTTAATTTCAACCTTGGCCATTATTGGGATACATTTCTTCTCTATGTTTCCTGCTCTTGCCCCCTACCCAGGGTGCCGTGCAAAAGTCTCTTGGGTCTCAAATGGTCTCAAGAAGTGCATGGAGGTAAAATGCAGACACCCATTTTGTCAGCCTGCAGACTTTCTTGAGCTTGAGGTGCTGGAATTGGGGCTGAGGTGGAAGTTGAGTGCCCCCAGAGTGCTGCCACAACGGGCCTTAAGTCTTAGCTATTTAGCAGGTCCCCCAATCTCTGTCTTCTTTCCCAACTTCCCTGAGACACGTTTCCCTCTTTCTTCCTCCAGCCCTTAAAGTTACCCTTCCCTCTCTCTGTCAGCTCCAGAAAATCCATAATAGTTGTTTCAGTGACTCTGGATTTCCATACAAGATAGCCATTGCAACTGACTTCAGACCTCTTCTGAAACAAAGAAAGCCAAAGCCTGCTTCTCTGTTTGAAATGAGCATCATAAAATTACAGAAGGAACCCATAGAAGGGAATACCATCCCCAAATTACCCTGCAGTTTTTCATCTGATTGTTAACTTCATTCATTTGCTTGTTTATTGGGCACCCACTATATGCCAGACAAGACATTGGGTGCTGAAGGAACAGGAGTGAGCCAGGCAGGCTTTGCCATTGTGGGACATCTAGAAACAGAGGCAGGATACCCCAGGCTGTGTTGAAATCCCACCTGTGCTGGAGACCAGAGGCAGCAGCTCCTGCCAACTGGACCATATTATTACTTAATGTTGTCGAAACTCATGGTTGCTTTTATTTCCTTGAGTGCAGCTTATGTAAGCAAAGCTTGTGAAGATGAAACATTTGGAAAGTCACAGCCAGTTGTTTTGAGGGCTTTATTGAGCTGAAAGTTCCTGGTTGAAGTATGCCACTTTTGAAAGGTGGCACTGACTGATTTTCGCTGCCTCTTGGCAGGTGTCTCAATTTTCTTTGAGTTTTCTTGGAGGAGCTGGAAGACAGAAGCCAATTATTTGCCAGCATTTTTTTTTCTTACCTCCCAGAGGTGCCTGAAACACTTATTGTTGGTGCTTAATTATGTTTGAATAATTTTTTTGCCCTTACTTTGGAATTTTGTTTTTCCAACGAGTCTGAGCTTCTTGAGGATACAGACTGCATTGTATCCTTACATGAATACTCAATGCATAGAATTATTTGCATTTGTTTGCAGGGTAGACTTTGGGTGATGGCAATTTTTTAATACCCTTTCATGTATAGTATCCCACGTTGTACTTGTTACATTTAGCTCCCTTGCCTGTTTTGGCTGTTGATACTTAAATTGCCTTTCTGTGCCTCAATGATGATTTCATTTTATTTTTCAGTAACCCTTCAAGGAAATACATAAGGAAGCGATTCCCACTATTGGCATGCAGTAGGTGGCATGGCTTGGTTCCTTAAGTGGGAAGGCAAAAGAGAAAGGCAGGGAGCAGACCAACAACCATCCTCAGCTTATCTTTTCCTATTTATTTGTAGCCCAAACAGCACACAATTTATTTGTAGCACACAGTTGATATGTACTGGAGCGTTAATAAAAGAAAACAAGGATGCAGTTTAATATGTTGTGTAAGAACATGGGCTTTGGGATTCTATGGACATTTGAGTCACTATTCTGACTTTTCATTGCTGGGTGATCTTAGCTGGTCACTTTAGCTTTCTAGTCATCAGTTTCCTCATGTATGAAATGATAACATATTGGTACCTACTTCAGAGGGTTGTTATGAGGATAAAATAAACGAATGCATAGAAAATATCTAGTACTCAATTGTTATTCCCTATTGTTATCCATTATGGTGTCTTTCTACTACCTCAGACACTTCACAAGTTTCCTGGAGCAAAGCTATGGAACATTAGAACAATTAATGTGGACCCTGACACTTTGAGAACATAAGTAGATATTTAAACCAGCTAGTGATTAAAAGAAAAAAATACCTTGACTAATAGGAATAAAATCAACCTTTCTGCCCTTCCCTTCTCTTGCTTTGACCTATCAGGGTAAAGCAGATGAACTTGCCCTCTGATTCTAGTCCACGTATTTTTCATGCTTGTTGAAGATTTTCTTCAACAATGCCTTCTTCAACAATGCCTCACCCCACCTGGGATGGTTAATTTTATGTGACAATTTGACTAGGCTGCAGTACCCAGATATGTGGTCAAATAATAGTCTAAATGTTGCTGGGAAGGTATTCTTTTAGATAAGATTTGACATTCAAATCAGTAGAGCTTGAGAAAAGCAGATTACCTTCCGTAATGTGGGTTGGCCTCACCCAATCAATTGAAGGTCTTAAGAGAAAAAGAGATTGACATCCCCAAGAGAATTCTGCCTCCAGATTGCCCTTGGACTCTGCAACATCACCTCTTCCCTGGGTCTCCAGTCTGTAGGCTTACCTTGCAGATTTTGAACTTTCCAGTCCCTGCAATTACATGAGCCGATTCCTTAGAATAAATCTCTCTCTGTACACACCCCATGGCTCTGTTTCTCTGGAGAACCCTGACTAATAAGCCATCCTATCCCCCAATTTTAAAAGCCTGATCCCGACTAAGTTAGGTAGGCTTTGATATCTCAATAGGGCAAGGGAGAAGAAGGATATGAGTATGGCCTATATTTCCTCCTATGCCTTCAAATAGGGCCTTATTTCTGTACCAATGCAACCAAACCTTCGCTTCATTTTCAGAAGCAAAAGGTTATGATGCTCAATCATCCAGCATGTTAGATTCTCAAGGGAAGATGAAGTCCAGTACATGCTCCCTAAAAAGGCAATCTAGGAAGAATTTCAGCAGTAAGGGCTGGTGTATAGGGATTTCTGGTTAATTAAATTAACCAGAAAGTGTCATTCCTGGAGCAATCTGGTTAATCTATCTCTGAATATATTTTGAAAAATATTCCTAAGGGACCTTGAGACTGTTGAAAGGAAATTCAACTTTTGAAAGCATAAGAGCTAAGTAACAGACACAAGTTATACATTATGACTCTGTTTATATAATTTTGTAAAAATCTGGCCAATTTCTTCCATTGCAGATTTTATTCTACTAGCACTAATTTATCACTTGTTTTTAAGACTAATTTTCCAACTGCTTTTTTTTCCCACAACTAACTTAAACTACACTGGAATGGCTTGCATTTCAAGGTGTGTAGAATGGTTGAATATATTCTTCTGGGGCAACATTTATGCTTGGGTAAGCTTGTTGAACTTTTAGGCATTTTAACTACCCAACATCCTCTTACTTGGGTGTTACATGGTGTGGTTAGCACTTTGGCTAAGATATTTCCTAGCTCCTTAGGAAAAAGTATGTATTTTTAATGTCTAATTTAGATTAAAATAGGATTCATTTTACATTAAGCTAATGTAGCTTAATAGGATATAGTATTTGCTGAGGGGAAAAAAAGAAATCTTGCTCATCTTTTAATTTCTTATTGAGCTGTGCATGTAGTTTCAATAAAATATGTTGAAATATATTTGAAGAAAAAACACCCCCTTACAGCCTGCATTTATTTCCAGGAAGGTTACCAGAGTGCTGCTGAATTTAGTGGGCTGTCACTACTACTCTTACTTATTATTGACTTTCATCAGTATTTTCTGCATGGGCTCTTCTGGGAATGGGTCTCTAGATTTTAGATGCAAATAGGATGAAGCTAATGCCTGCTTGTCTGGTAGCTATGTGCAGAGGTGAAAAAAAATGCTGGCTGGTATATGTTATAATCACAGAGGCAGCAATGGTGAAAATCAAGAGGCAGGAGGAAGATTATGTTCCATGTTGAACAGAAGCAGCTCAGTGAGATACTACTCAAGAGAATATAGGTTCCTCTAGGAAATAGCACAAAATCAAAAAGGAAGGGAAGATGTACTTCTGACAGAGCAAAGACATGTGTTTCATGTTCCCAACCTTCCAGGATTATTTGTTTTAGGGTAACGTGCTTCTTATGGAAGCCTTGGAGCTAAATACAAAACAAACTACAGTTCCCATGCACCTCTGTTCCAGACAGCCTCTCCAATCCCCCTTGGCAGCAAATATTCATTTTCTTGAGCACTTGGCTCAGTGAAGCAGTGAGGTAAAACTGGCAAAGACAAGAGATTTTAAAATCTTGTGCCGCTGTGAGATTATGGAGAGAAAAATCTTATGTTTAGGTTTACTACATTGTAGGGTATTGAGTATAAACAGGAAAGAGAGCTCTTCCAACAGACACTGAACTAGACATACATACCATACATGCTCTTCACAGACTCTACTTGGCTTTCTTCTAAAAACGAGGTTGATGGGAGAAACAAATTAATTAAAACACGCGTATAGACCCTTTCTTTGCTTCACGTATTTGGATTTGTTTTCCTCTCTTAACAAGAAAGTAAAAAGTGGTTTTTGGCTAAAGGGAAAAAAAATGTGTTTGGGGCCAAATGTGTTTGTCAATGTTTGTCTCATTGTCTGCTTTGCAAAAAACATCGTAGCTATAAATTTCATATGTAATAAATAATCTGTTGTTAGGGGAAAGTGTTATGATGTTGAAAATGGAAAATGAAGAGAGTCCCTGGCAAGTTGAAAGTTTCTGTTCATTTGAACATTAGACAGGACTCTTCCTCTCATTATCTCTCCCTACCCTTTTCTTCTGTTAATTTCGAAGACTCTTATGTTTCTAGCCTTAGTCTCAGATAGAGATGAAATGACGTGCAGCATAAGACCTTCCTCAAATCAAACCATCATAATTTCTAATGATTGGGGCAGAAAAAACTTTTCCTCTACCTTCTGAGATTCATTACCCGTGGGCGTGTGAGTTAAACTGACAAAAGACAGAATAACAGAAGAAAGAAGAGTTTATTCATATGCACACATGATCTTAAAAAAGAAGTAGCTGGATAAATGATTAATGGTTAAGGTTAGAGATTTACAGATCTAACTTAGTAGGGAAAAGGGAGGAGGGAGAAAAGGCCTCTATGGGAGGACCAGATGAAGGTCTTTAGGAAAGACAAATGGATTTCTAGAAAAATAAATGCGAGAGAAGAAAGTTTGTAGTATACTTGTTTATGCAAGTTTGAGTGGTCTTTTCATTTTCTTCATTGTCATAAAACTCCCTCAAGAAGGGATTTGTCATAGGTTTACTCTTGGTCTCCTTCCTGGGAGTAAAAGCTGCCCTGAAGAGGGAATTTATGGCAGCCTCATTTCCCAGGAGTCTGTGCTTTTAGTCAGATAAGGGAAGCCCCAAGAAGGCTTCTTTCTGCATCTGTTGAATCTCAAATGTCTTCAACTTAAAACAATCTGTATACCAACTCTGGGGTTCAAAGCGGATCTTCACATTATTTTTAAGCTTGATGGCTCATTATTTATGAACATATTGCATTAAAACACTATATGTTTTGTGACTTAGGTTTTGGCACCTCCTTGAATTTTGCCCCAGAGGTAAGCATCTTGCTTGCCTCATCCTAGTCCCGGTATTTCCCTGCTTGTCAGCAGCCTTTTAGAAGAAAGCTTCATATGTTGAATGAGGGTATTGATTAACCAACTACTGTCCTCTGTGGTTGAGGGTTCCCCCTGGAGGCATTAAATTCCTGGCATTTTTGAAGAAGAGAAAGAGAGAGGCTGGGTATATGAGGTTGGAAGCATGCATGGGCACTGTGCACTCAGCTGAGGGGGTCCAAGAGGATATGGAGTGAGGAGACACCAAGGGGCCAAGATCTGGATGCACTGTTTCATCGAATCTTTCCAGTAATGCCAGGTGCTCATCAGAGTCAGGGCTAGAGTGAGGTAGGTGAGCACCAAAAGACTCAGTCATGGAGATAAATAATATTTTCACACAACACTTTAAAAACTCAAAATTAATCCAAAAACGATTAATGCTAAACAAAATGTCAACATTTTAACTAAAGACAGGATCCAACCTTGTACTTGCATGACTCTACTTCATTTGCATCACCCTAAAACTGGCCCTGGCTCCAGTGAAGCTTTCTTTATGAAAATAGATTGCTGTAGATGACCAATTTGACTTTAAAAGAAATATTGCATGACAATATTATTAATCTTGACTACTGAGTTTTTGGCACTCTCGTATATTTTGCTACTGAGGCAAGTGCCCCACTTGCCTCACCCTAGCCCTGGCCCTGGCCTTAGTATTATCTCTATCTTCCAGACAAAGAAGCTGAGTCTGAGACACATGAGGCAGATTGCTGTAAATCACATAGGTGACCCCAGACACTCCAGAGTGAATGACATCAACCACCAATGTGGACCTCTCTCCCAGTCACTGGCCTTTTAGTGGCTATGTCAAGAAAATGTGTGCATTAGTTAGAACTCTCCAGAGAAACAGAACTAATAGGATAAAGGTAGGTAGGTTGGTAGATAGATAAATGAGAGGGCATTTATTAGGGGAATTGGCTCACATGATTATGAAGACTGAGAAGTCCCACGATATGCTGTCTGCACACTGGAAAGCCAGGGAAGCCAGTAGTGTGGCTCAGCAGATGGTGTAATTCTGAGTCCAAGGCTGAAAGGCCTGAGAATCTGGGGGGCCGCTGATGTCAGTCCCAGACTCCAAAGACCCAAGAATCTGGAGTTCTGAGGTACAAGGGCAAGAGAAGAAGGGTGTCTTAGTGAGAGAGAGAGAGGGAGTGCACTCCAGTTCACCTTTCCTTTGCTTTTTTGTTCTATACAAGCCCCTCAACACTGGATAGTGCCCACCCACATTGGATGAAAGTGGTTCTTATTTATTCAGTCCACTGATTTAAATGCCAGTCTCTTCTGGAAACACCGTCACAGACATGGCCTAAAATAATGCTTTATCAGCTATCAGGGTATTCCCTAACCCATCAAGTTGACACCTGAAATTAACCATCAGAGTGTAGAAGTGATACAGAGTTCCCCACCTCTGCCCACCCTCCTAAGCTTTCACCTAGTTCGAGTACAATTGTGAGAACTAGGCATATAGCTTTGCAGGAAAAAGTACAGCAGAGTTAAATTGATGAAGAAGTTCTAATCCCTGGCTGCTTTTCATGCTACAAGTAGATGCAGCAAACTGAAAACTTGCCAATTATCTGAAGGTCTATTGAGATGTTGCAGCTGCATGTGTTTATTTCATAACTGTAGAGTACAACTTGGGAGTGTGTGTGCTGTAAAAAGAGAAGTTGGACATTTTATAATTTTTCAATATCTAATAATTGCACATGAATGTACCTGATTTTCCATTAGCTAAATGGGGTTGCCAAGAAGAACTAATGAATATTGAATGGTTGATTTCTGTCACTTTTTAAAGGTGGGACTGGACATGAAATTATTTCTTTTAATACAGAGACAAAGACAAGTGACTTTAGAATTTAATGAAAGGTGCCAGATTGGAAAGCTCGCTGGTACAGCCTTGCTTCCTCTCCACATGCACTTACAGAAGGTTCTCAATATGGGTTTTACTGACTAATTGATAGCTTAACTGATGACCTGTTAGACACAAAGCTTTAGGATACAAAGCAGGTAAATTATACAGGTTGGCACCAAAGCACCTTATAACATACCCAGCTCTTTCGTTTTGGGTCCTCACAAATGGTAAAAGTGTGAGCTGGGTGTTTTCCTAGTGAAAACGTCATTGATGCACTGTGAAATTCCGATAGTCTTGGAGAGAAGTATTCTGAAATTTCTGGTTTGGCTGTTTTCATGGTAAGACTTAAATATCGGTGTTCACCAACTCTCTTCTTCATTATTGACCATGCCATGCTTTTGTTTTCCTGAAGATGGATTTCTTCCTTAAAATGCATGCAGTGACATTTTTATGTTACCTATACAGACAGGCATTTATTTGCTCCTTTACTTAAAATGATTCTAGAGGCACAGAAGACAATGGGTTTGACACATCTCTACTGGCGATCCCAAGGTGGACAGATGTCCACTGATGACCACAGGTTGAGTTTAAGACCTAGCTTCTTAAAAATGGGACAGCCTACAGTCATTATCTATTGAGTTTCTAAAATTAATTTGAAATGTTGGCTATTAAAGGGACAGAGAATAAATGACTCCTAATGCATTTTAGAGCATAAAATTAGAATGGTGTTGCTTGATTGACAGCAGTCTAATGTTACTAGCAATTATCTGGTTAAAAAAGGGAGGGGGGCATGTTTCTTCGAAGGCACAATCTTCATTTTTGTACTTGGTAAATTATTAACCATTCTATTAGAAAAATAATGAGCTGCAGATTAAATGGCAAAGGCACAGTTAAGGAAAAAATGCCTTTTGATAATTTTGACCTTGGAAATGTGATGGGTTTGGATTAGAAATAGACTAGTTGGTTCCTCATCTTAGGCCTTTTTATTGCAACATAAGGTAGGCCTGGCTGTAAACTCAATACAAGAACAGTAAGTCTATTCTATTGCCTAGAATAAAGGACATTATAAATATACGGGAAATGTCAGAATAAATTTAAGTACCTTCGAGAAGCATCTGCTAAAGGGCTACTGTGGGTAAAATACTGTGCTATGACCTTGAGAACAAAAAGAATATAAGAGCTGGTCATTGCCAATGATGAGTTTACTGTGTGGCTGGGGAAATAAACACAAGTATGTGAATAAGTGCAGTTCTCATGGCTGTAATCCATATGGGTCAAATGAAGTGCTACATTGTATATTAAAGATATTATAATTTGGTAATAATGGTATTTTTAAGGGTATGAATTATGATGATTATTAGTTAAAGGAGTTTAAATGAAAGGAGTAATTGTAGCCAATTAAGAAATATGATAGGAGTGCTTGCAATGAGTACGGCATGTGCTAGCTATTGTTGGAGGGGCAGATGGAGGATACAAAAGTTCTTGCCCCAGTTAGTTTGCAATCTACTATCTTCTGGCAACTCTGTCTCCACCCTCTTTTCAGCTATTTTTTTTTCTCTTGTCATTAAATATTGGAGTTTCTCGAGATTCAGTCCAGAGCCATCTCCTTTTCTGAGTCTTTACTTTCTCCATCTGGAAAATCTCATCCATTCCCATGGCTTCAATAAACAGATGTTTCACAAATTTGCACTTTCAGCCCAGATAGCTCCTCTAGCTCCAGAACTATACACCCAACTGCCTCATTGACATTGCTTCTTGAATGTCTCAAAGGATTAAACACACACACACACACACACACACACACACACACACACACACACACACATGTGCATGCACAAAACTGGGATTGTGATTTAATTTCCTTCCCCTCTTAGTCTCTTTCCAAAGTTTCCTAGCTCAGAAAATCGTCCTAACAATTAGTTGACTGATTCAAGGCAGATGCAAGCCAGAAAAATGGAAGTCATTTCCGATGCTGCCATCCTTCTCACCGTGCTATCCACTTCACTGTTAAGGCCTGGAAGCTTAACCTCCTAAATATCTGGCATAGGTGACCACTTCTCTCCATTGTACACCAGTCTGTGTCCTTTGTTATGTAAGTCCCTTTGTACTTACTCTCATGAGATCACATTTCTTCCCCTTATTGCCCCTACTTGGTTGTTAGGTAGTTGCATCAGGCACAGCTAGTTGCCTGCTCATCATACATCCCCACCTTTTCCTGTAATAACCAAATCTGAATTTTGCTCCAGTATCTGCTCCTTCCTGCACGACTCAGGGGCGGATCACCTTATTTCCATCTCCTTGTAAATCCCATTGACAATGATTGGTTAAGAGGTGGGCACATAACCCACTTTGGGCCAATGAAACAAAAGGGAATACGTGCTAGGTGACTTTAGAGATGCTATTTCTTGCTGTTAAGAAGAGGATTTAGGCCGGGCGCGGTGGCTCACGCCTGTAATCCCAGCACTGTGGGAGGCCGAGGCGGGGGGATCACGAGGTTAGGAGATCGAGACTATCCTGGCTAACACGGTGAAACCCCGTCTCTACTAAAAAAAAAAAAAAAAAAAAAAAAAAATTAGCCGGACGTGCTGGCGCGCGCCTGTAGTCCCAGCTACTCGGTAGGCTGAGGCGGGAGAATGGCGTGAACCCGGGAGGCGGAGCTTGCAGTGAGCCGAGATCGCGCCACTGCACTCCAGCCTGGGCGACAGTGCGAGACTCGGAAAAAGAAGAGGATTCAGAAGGCAACAGTCCATTTCTGCGTCTGCTGACCAGGATGAGCTGCTTGGAACAGCTGCAGTCATGCTGATGCCAGCCTGAAGATGGAGCCCACAGAAAGAGGAGGGCAGCTCTGAGACACCAGCAAGCAGGTGGAGTCACCTTACCACCAAATTTTCCTCGAGAGGTGGCAAATGTTCATATTGTTTTTGCCAATTTCAGGTGAAGCTTTTCTATTACTTAAAGCGGGAGTTATCTCACTGGACACCAACAATTTCATTCTCAACTGAATGATTATTTGAATAA
The DNA here is from genome assembly GCF_000001405.40 of Homo sapiens. NCBI lineage: Eukaryota > Metazoa > Chordata > Mammalia > Primates > Hominidae > Homo > Homo sapiens. The sequence continues at coordinate 61,294,720 of NC_000003.12, read as the reverse complement.
TAATTAAAAAAACAGTCTCTCAACTAGACTATATCTATGTCTACTTTGCTTGTAGTTGGATTCTCTGTTCGGAGGACCATGTCTGCATTTAGCAGGAATTCAGGGAATATTTGATGGATGAATGAATGTCCTAGCCATGGAAATAGTAATGAACATGATAACAAGAAAAGTCATGATACTAGATGATGTTTGATGATTGCCAGTGACTGGTAAGGATGTAAGTTTAGAAGGAAATTGGAAGAGGAATAAACCAGAGTGGTCTGCGTGGCTGCAGTGATCTTCACAGAGGAGATAAAAGTGGAGGTGATCTTTAAGCACTGGCTGGATTTGGACAGACAGACAGAAATGGTGGCAGTGGGGAAAGAATACATCAGGAAGGGATCTAAGGGCAAGAAATTGAGCATATTTTTGTCAGTGCCTCAGGTTGAAATTGGAAAGGATGACAGATGTCCTTGAAAGCTACATATCAGTGTGTACCTGTCCTGACAGAAATGGAAAACCCTTAAAGATTGTTGAGCAGGAGTGTGACCTGACCTTCTGTATCTAGCTGGTATTTAACTCCTGGGTCAGGGTGGCCTTCACTGTAAAATCTCCAATTATTAGAGAAAGAGAAGGGCCCTGTCTGTGTCCATGATTGTACAATTATACATACAATGGGAAATGTAATTAAAAAAAAACCCCTTTCATTTTAAGCTTTTAAAAGCATATCTCCCTAGTTGAAATTGAAAGAATAATTGCAGACATGGTGTCTTACCTATGGGCAGATTCCATAGTCATTCATTTTCAAATATCTGATGTCAGTAATTTAAATGAGACTTCCAGAACATTATTCCTCTGTGTTACAATGTCGGCCACTCAATAATTTTAAATTGATTCATTGCTATACCTAATGGAAAAAATTATTTTAAGTACTCTACCCATTTTCCCTGAGGGGAAATGCCTGGGGAGCCTACTGTTCAATAGTTCTCTTGATGTCATGACTTTATTTTAGTGCCTCTTCAATAAGTTTTTAAGGGATTTGGAGTAGAGCTTTAAACATCTTCTAATACTAACTGGGGAAACCCATTATTTTGGAAAGTAAAATTACTTGTGTCTTAAAAACATAAATTTTACAGTTAAACTTAAAAAAGATTGATTTGAAGTACAGTTGACCCTCAGACAACACGGGTTTGAACTGCACGGGTCCACTTATACATGAATTTTCTTCTACCTCTGTTACCCCTGAGATAGCAAGACCAGCCCCTCCCCTCCATCCTCCTCTCCAGCCTCAATGTGAAGACAATGAGATGAAGACCTTTATGATGATCCACTTTGACTTAATGAATAGTAAGTAGGTTTTCTCTTCTGTAAGATTTTCTTAATAACATTTTCTTTTTTCTAGTTTATTTTATTGTAAGAATACATTATATAACATATATAATGTGTATTCATGCTTTATGTTACTGGTAAGGCTTCTGGTCAACAGTAGGACATTAGTAGTTAAGTTTTGGAGGAATCAAAAGTTATAAGTGGATGTTTGACTGTGCAGGAGTCTGCGCTCCTAACCCCCATGTTGTTCAAGGGTCAACTGTAGTTATAAATGCTTGCTCTTTTTTTTTTTTTTTTTTTTTTTGCCAGTTTCAGGACTTTTAAATATTTGTAATTTGGTACATACTGCCTTAGAAAAACTTGTATGTGTGAATATGATTGTATTCCTAGCCATACTTACCTAAAAATAGTTCAACATATAGAAACAATTTTATTTTATATATTTTTAATAAGTATGTAGTTATTTTGTGTATAGAAACTTATTAAATCTCCTAAGGATTACTCAGTCCTTTATTAGTTTGACTTCTGTAGTTGCAAGTAACAGAATGGGATTTGGCTAACTTAAGCAAAAAAAAAAAAAAAGTGAGGGGGCAGGAGAGGGTCTCAGAATCCAAGGAAAAAGCTGAGGCCTCAGGAAGGGCAAGAAGGGTTATAGAAGGACAAGAAGGGGGTTCAGGGAATGTTGGTGACAGACAATAGTGAGGTCTCCTAAGGACACTGCCATAGTGGTAAAGTAGCTTCATTGCTTTCCGTCTGTTAGTTTTTGGGCACATGATTTAAGTTCCAGGGAGAGAGAAAGGATGATACGATTATAATTAGCCTAGCTTGGGTCTCCTGCCTATTTCTTTCTAAACCAAGGATGCAGCCAGTGCAGTGTAGACCCTGCAGAAAGGGTCTTCCCCAAGGCCAATGCAGAGTGCTCTTTCCGTAGAAATGAGGCCGCCTGTGGATGCAGCCCAGGCAAAAAAGCCAGATGTCACTTACAGCATTGCTCACCTGGACTCTTAGGTGCCATTTCTTTCCAAACTTGTTCTTTCAAATTCAGCCTCCAAACTGGCTGCCAGAGTGATCCTTATAAAACCTCAAATTGACTCTCACCCTTCCTGACTTAACACTTGTCAGTGACTCTTTAAGGACCCAGTGATTTTTTTTTTTTTTTAAATTTTGGTGTCACTTCTCACCTTTCTCAGCCTGAACCTCCAGCCTCTAAAACTGCTTAGAGCATCTCCCATCTCTGCTCTGCACTGCTCTCCCCGCCGCTTGGGGTTAGAGCTTACACTTTCTGGGTTCCTGCTGTGTGTTTGTCCATCGCTGTATTTTCCATACCAGGTTATAATGATCTACTGAAGGGCCTGTTTCATGCAGGAGAATTATATCTCACTCATTTTTGTGTCTCTAGACATTACACACCACCTGCCTTTATTATTTACATTTTGCTCAATAAATTTTTTCTTAATGAGTAATTTAATGAATGCAATGTGTTTATCCTTGATGTTCCTTTACAGATAACTATGGCAAAACCTGATGTCTATAATAACTCATCTTTTGGGAAGCTAACTAGCTTCCAACAATGTGTTATTGTTCATCCAAATTCCTTAAAGGAATTCCTCACTTGGGAGCCTATTTCTGCTGTGAAAAAACAAAAAACAAAAAACAAAAAAAAAACCCAGTTTATGTTTTCCCAGGCTTATTTTTTATGTTTCCTTGCTATTTCAGAAGTATAGAGATGAAGATGTACATTTTCATAGAGAGGGAAATATTGCTAGGTACTTTTATTTCTTTTTTTAACTTTTATTTTAGGATCAGAGGTACATGTGCAGGTTTGTTATATAGGTAAACCAGTGTCATGAGGGTTTGTTATACAGATTATTTTGTCACCTGAGTACTAAACTTAGTACCCGATAGTTATTTTTTCTGATCCTCTCCCTCCACCCACTCTCCACTCTCAAGTAGACCTCCGTGTCTGTTGTTCCCCTTTTTGTGTCCATGCGGCCTCATCATTTAGCTCCCACTTGTAAGTGAGAACATGTGGTATTTGGTTTTCTGTTCCTGCGTTAGTTTGCTAAGGATGATGGCCTCTGGCTCCATCCATGTTCCTGCAAAGGACACGATCTCATTCTTTTTATGGCTGCATAGTATTCCATGGTATATGTGTACCACATTTTCTTTATCCAGTCTACCATTGATGGGCATTTAGGTTTATTCCATATCTTTACTATAGTGAATAGTGCTGCAATTAACATAACATGTGCATATGTCTTTATGGTAGAATGGCTTATATTCCTTTGGTTATATACCCAGTAATGGGATTGCTGGTTCGAATGGTATTTCTGTTTTTACCTCTTTGAAGAATGGCCACACTGCTTTCATTAGGTACTTCTCTAAAGCAGAAATGGGAAAATCATAAGGTGACTTGGAATAACTGCCATTACTACATGTAGTATTCAGCTCTCTCAGTACCAGTAATTTCGTATTGCTCCTCTTCTAGAATATTTACCTCCCTGCCTTCTTTTTCTACTAGCAGCACATTGGAAGCTCTCATGAATTTGTTGTAGACTATCACCCCAAATCCTCTTAAGCCTTTTTGCTTTTTAGAAGAATTCTCAGTTTATGTCTGTGCCTCGTAGTATTTTTCCCAAAGTGTATTGTTTTATGTTCTTGTAAATTGAACTCATCACATTTAAACTGGTGTGCCTCTCCAAGGTCTCTGGATTATTCTGTACTGTTGATCTATTTTTCACTGTTTATGATTTTTTGCAAATAAGAATAATGTACAATTTATTTTGTGCTTCAGACCATTAATAAGGATATTAAATAGCATGTGCTTCAGATTTTGCCTTCTGGCATCCTGCTTTTCCCAATTTGATTCTGGCCTGTTAACAGTTATTTTTTATTCTGTCAGGGTTTTTTTGCGGGGTGGGGGGGTTCTTTTTAAAATATTGTTGTAATATTTTTTAACAGAAAGTAGCTTGTAACTTTTCTCCATTTCAGCACCAAGAAGCAAATAACCCAGATAAGTTATGTCAAAAGATCCTTTTATTTTCCCCTGGAATATATGTTTTCTGGGGGAGTGTTAGTTGAATGTTATAATATTTATTGAGACTATACCATCAACCACTTATATAGCTCTTGCTATTCTCCAGAACTATTCTGGGTATTATGCATGGAATAGCTCATTTAATGTTCACAACAACCCAATGAAGTAGGTCTAATCATTTCCTTCATCTTGCCAATTAGGAAACTGAGGCACAAATGAACCAGATAAATTGCTTAAGTCATACAGCTAGTAAGTGTCAGAGCCAGGACTCAAACTCAGGCTGTTTGGCTTTGGAATCTGAGCTCTTAACCATCACACTAGGTTGGATTCAACCAAGGCATCCTTAAGTGAGAGATACTAGAATGAACCAGAAATGGGTTCTATCCCCTAGATGTTTGCGACAGAACACAAGATTTGCAAATAAGCAACCTATGTCTCCCTTGTCCTTCCCTTTACTTATCTCTCCAGTCAATCTGCAATAACTTTAACCTTCGTCCTATTTCTTCTCCTCATCTTCATTACTACAACTTTGGTTCAGGACATAATTGTCACATGCTGGGATTTCTACAACAATCTCCTCAACTGATATTCCTGATTCCATCTTGGGGCCCCTAAAGCTCATTCTCCACAATGTAGATCAACTTACTTTATAAAAATACAAAAATGATCTTATATCTTCCTTGCCTAAAGCCCTCACAAAATGTAGGGCTCGAGGGTGAGGAAAAGGTAAGTTTCCTCAAGGAAAATAAGGGTTCAGTTTCCAGAATAAGAGGGAGTGGATGCTGGTCAAAAAAACACAGTGAATGCCCATCTTATATCAACCATTTGGAGGGTATGGGGCATGCAGTTGATATCATACAGGGCTCTTTATTTAAATGCCTCCAATTACTAAAACTAATTTATAATTTTGATTAAATTTCTTCTTTTGAATAATTTTGAATAATTGCTTATAAGCAATAACTTGAATTTCACCTGATATATAGAGAAAGTGATCTAGAACGAGGTTAGGTGATTGAAAATCATTAAAATGTCTGTAAGGAAGAAATTTGAATTTTCTTTGCAGCAGAACATCACATTATTCATATAGAATATTACAACTCAGGAAAGAGTTTTAAAATCACTCCTTAGATGAGGTACAGGTATGGCTCCCCTGCTTATCTGCTTGAGAATTTGTCATTATGATGAGACAAGTGTCATGAGTGAACTGGACCCAGAACTGCAAAATTCAGTCAGTCTGTTTTGCTTGAGTTCATCCTAACGCCACATGGAGGTTATCTAAATGGATGTGGTCAAGGTGCTCTGTCATTTATCATTTGAAAACGCTCACCCATCTCAGGAAGTTCTTGGCTTCATTGGCAAATCAAGTGAGAACTGAAGCTCAGTGAATCTATTGAATCATCCCATTTTTATGTAGAATAAATTTAGGTTTGGGGCTTTAACTGTCCTGCAACAATCAGTTATGTGGATGAATTGTGGACCATTCACTAAGTTTTATCATGAACTCTGCCATCTTTAGATGTGTCCTGTGTTACTAGCCTTAGAAATGGCTGTGCTTTGGTGACAATATAAAAAAACAAAACTTTATCTTGCGCTTGAATAATACAGAGAAAGAAAAATGTTTAGGGATAAGAAAAGACATGAGTGTAATGTTTGTGCTCAAGGAAAGTGTTTCTATGTAGACAATGGTCTCAGACCCTTCAGCATGTCCTGAACAACGGCTTCCTCTGTGCCGATTTTCTGCTATGGTAGCATTTGTTCAGCTTTCATGAATGATCCATTGTATGTGATGGTAAATGAGACCAACAATTGTTCTTGAAGTTATTGGCGTCTCAGGCCAATTTTTATTAGCTTAGTCTAAAATCTAGATTTGACTATCAACGTAATATTGAGAACCTGGAAGTATCAGAGTAGGTTGGAAAGATGCTACTTTTTAAGGAATAAAGGTTGGTTGTGATCTTAGATTTTAGAGACATTAAAAGGCTAAAACATTATCTATCTCTTTTATGATTATTATTATTGATTGCTGCTATGTAAAAATTACCCAAATTGAGTAGCTTAAAATAAACATTTTATTTTGCTCACCATTTAGACGGTCAGGAATTAGGAAAGGGCTTAGCTAACCTGCTCTCATTTGGGATCACTCATGGGGTCAGGTGTCATCCAGGGCTGCAGTCATTTGGAAGCTTGACTAGGCAGGGGATCCTTATATGAGGATGGCTTACCCACATGGTTGCAGCGGATGTGACTACCACGGCATTTCCAGCGTGTTGGTCTCAGGGTAATCAGATGTGTTATATGGCGCTTGGCCATCCCCCTATGCGAGCATGCCAAGAAAACAAAGAAGCTGCATGGACTTTTCTCACTTAGCCTTAGAATTATGCAGCATCACTTCCACTGCATTTTCTTGGTTACTGGTCACTAAGACCAGTCCAGATTCAAGGGAGGGGACATAGGCCCCACTTCTCATGGGAGAAGTGTTAAAGGAATTGCACTCATATTTTAAAATTGTCAAAGGGGTCAGCAGTGGGTACTTGGGAATACCTTCCTCCTGTTGCCCAAGGCAATTTCTGGGAGTATCCACCATTGAGATACTTTAATATTTTTCATAATGATGAAAATTATGGAGACATGATTTTACTTCAGTGTTCCTCTTGAAGGCCCATCATAAAATACCAATGTATTATTTCTCTTTTGAAGCAGAGCCAAGAATTTTATCCCAACTGCTATATGGGGAGAAGAATAAAAACTGAGAAGGGTTTGGATCTGACTCAAAAAATTGAGATGTTAAATCTACCTGTAATGCAAAACCATTCTTACCCAATGCTTTTAAATTCTCTAATGAGTTTGACAAGATTTTATTTTTAAACCAGCAAATGAAAAACCCATTTGAACTACCTCATTCTGGAATAGCCACATATTAAAGATAAATATGGGGCTATGAATGATATGTTGTCTGCTTTGTAAAATCAAGAAAATACAAATTGTGCAGCCTTTTTTATAAGCAATTTCTTTCCATAGACCTTTAATACTAGCAAATCTGTACAGGTCTATTGCTGACCCAGATTATCCTATAGAAAAATGAAATCTTTTCAAAGTCAACATTAAAATTCACATTATTCAGGGCTCTCTTTTTCATGTTATCTTCGAGCATGCCTATGGGAGTGGTTTTGCTCCACATACAATAGTATCATTGCTGTCTTTAGCTCAGTTAGCCCTATGGTGTTATCCATTATACACAGGAGTTTGCTAGTTCATTAATAAACTGATAAGGGCTCAAATACTTGTCCTCAATTTTATTTATCTCCTCTGAGAGACAGTCTTTCAGATATAATGTAGTTAATGATAGTCTACATATGAAGGTAAGGCACCTGATTCTTCACAATTATAGTGGTGGACTATTACTGAAGACTGAATCTCAGAGTAGACACATGTAGGCTTTATTTTAATGGCATCCCAATGAATGATGAGTTTTATATTTCAAGCTAGTGAATTAAAATAGGCTGTTGCATTCGCATCTGTTGAAATAAAGTAATTCTTCTTGACTTAGTATGTGGAAGTTAAGATAACCATGAAAATTACTTAATATTGCTTTTATTTTCTGGTTCTCAGCTGGAAGCTTCTCTCTAAGGTCCTTCTATTAATGTACTTCCTACCATGTTGATTAAAAAGCAAAGCAAAACAAGACAATTCTCTTTATTGCCTCTATGTTCCTATCCTTAAATGGTATATAATATGTTTAAAAGTGTAGTGGTTTTTCTAATTGCAGAGGTAATACTTTAAGCAAAAAGGAGATAAGAATAAAAAATAACCTCTATCTTACTGCCCTAAGATTATATGTTTATATTCTTTTAGTTAATTTCTCTACTATATGTATATACATATCCACATAAACACAAATTATTCTTGAATAAGTAATGCAGTCTTATGGTTCAAAATTCAAAAAGTAAAAAGGTTATAAAGTGAAAAATCTTCCTTCTTCAGAACCTTAGCTGTCCAGTTCTCTTCAGAGATTTCAATGTTCTGTGATCTTGCAGAGATATTCTAAGTAGATTCAAATAATTATGTGTGTATATTTTTCTTCCTCTGCCACCTAAATGTTGGCATAATATTCAAATTGTTCTTTCTAGAGTGCAGTGGCACGATCTCAGCTCACTGCAGGCTCCGGCTCCCGGGTTCTAGCTATTCCCTTGCCTCAGCCTCCTGAGTACCTGGGACTACAGGCACCCACCACCATGCCTGGCTAATTTCACCATGCTAGCGAGGGTGATCTTGAACTCCTGACCTCAAGTGATCTACCCGCTTCAGCCTCCAAAGTGCTAGGATTACAGGAGTGAGCCACCAACTGGGCCTTCATATTGTTCTGTGTCTTGTTTTTTCATTTAACTATCCATCTTGGAGCTATTTCTATATTAATTCAAAAAGCATTTTCTTTTTAAAATGATGTATGGTATTCAATAAATGAATATATATGTACACACACACACACACACACACACACACAAACACATACATATATAAATTCATTATACCTTTAATTTACTTAACCAGTTCCCCATTAATGGTTATTTAGGTTGTTTCCAATCTTTTCTTTTCACAATTCTGTGATGAGAGAATTGTGTATTAGTTGGATAGGGCTGTCCCAATGAAATTCCTTAGTCTAGGTGGCTGTAACCACAGACATTTATTGTATCATAGTTCTGAGGCTAGAAGTCTCAGAACTAGAAGGATCTAGCTCCAGGCCTCTCTCATTGGCTTCTAGATGACCATCTTTCTGCTCTGTCTTCTCACATCGTCTTCTTTCTCTGACTATGTTTCTGTGTCCAAATTTCCTGTATTTACAAGGATACCAGTCACAATGGATTAGGGTCCACCCTAATGACCTCATTTTACCTTGACTACCTCTGTAAAGATGTTATCTCCAAATAAGTTCACATTCTGAGGTACCATAGCTTAGGATTTCAACATATAATTTTGAGGGGATGCAGTGCAACCTAGAACACCTTGTATTTTGCACATAATAAGTGCAAATATTTTGGGATATATTTGTAGAATTCGAAATTTGAAATTCTAGAATTTGAATTTAGAATTGCTGATTCAAAAATACGCGTATGCAATTTTGATAGCTATTGCCCTATCATTCTCCATACAAGTTATACGAATTTACATTTCTCATGAGCAATGGATGAGCATGTCTTTTTCCTCAGCATCTCACCCAACGATGTTATGAAACTCTGGGTCTGTCACAATCTAATACATGAAAATGGTTCTTGATGTGGTTTCAATTTGCATTTCCATTAAATAAGTGTGGTTGAATATCTTTTCACATTGTTAAATACATATTTTCTTTAAAAAAGATGGGATCAAACTGCAAATATCATTTTGTAACTCTATTTTTTCCATTTAAGCAACATATAGTGGACATCTTTCCCTATTATTTAATATTTTTCTATAACAGGAAAGTAATATGGCTCCATACTATCCCATTGTATATCTGCATCAAAATTTACTTGATTTCCTACTGTGCATTTATGTTGTTTCCAACATTTTTACTTCCAAAGTAATGCTGAGATAGCTATAGAGATAAGCCTTTGTGCACAGCTAGGACAGAAATTAACTCTTTGGTTTTTGTAGATAGACTTTTGAAGCCAGATTAATAATTAAATAGAGTCATATTAACGGTCTACCTTTTAACCTTCCTGTTTCCCCTACAGAATGTGCTTGCCTGTGATTTCAAGAAATCTACTTCTCAGCAGTTGAGGTTGGACTCAGATTTTTTTATGTACTAGAAACCAATTTTCCTGTAATGAAATTCATTTGTCTCTGAAATCAACTGTGCCATGTACTGTACCATAGTGTAAGTATGAGTGGATGGCACTACTATGACAGAGTAGGGGGCAGCATGGTTTTGGACATTTGGGGTCTTGTATCTCTCAATTTATAGCCTATATTCATAAGACAGCAGAATAACAACAACCAACACTTACCAAGTGCCCGAAATGTCTTAACTCATTTAAGTTATTCAACAAAGATAGGAGAACTAATGGGGTAAGGGACATGGGCACTTTAATAGACAGCCATTACTGCAATAATGCTGTGTAACGAACTACCCCCAAACATCAATGTCTTACAATAACAAGCATTTAATTTTGTTTTGCTCATAAATCTACATTTGGCTAAGGTTCTGTTGTGCTTGGCTAGTACCAGCTGAACTTGAATCAACCCTACATGTTGGATCCAAATTTATTCCACATTTCTCTCATTCCCATTTGAACTAACAGCTATCTGCAGCATGCTCATCTCATGTGAACAGCAGGAATGTTAGAGGCAAATCAAACTGTGCAAGTACATTTAAGGCCTCCATTAACATTTCATTGGCCAAAGCAAGCATGTCAGAAAACAAGTTTTATATCAACAAGGCAGAGAAAATGTGTTTCACTTATACTGAGAGAGAATCATAAAATTGCTTGTATTCTAGCCTAGGAGAGAGAAGAATTGGAACCAATGAATATGATCTATCATAGATGCCTTTGGAGAATGGATAAGGGACAAATTTCAGTTTTCATGTGGAGACCAAAGCCATTTTTTTTTTTGTTAACACTGTGTCTGAAGTCTTAGGGGGCTAAAAGTCCCATAAAAGGCCTTTTTAATTTGAGAGATATTTACATTAAGAGATTCAGTTAGGACCTAAAGAAGAGTCAAACATTTGATGAAACACATCTGCTTATCACTGGTTATAATCTACTGGGGAAGAAAATAAGGCATTTATACAAACAATTCCATAGCAAGATGTAGGATAAAAAGTGTCCTTCAAAGACCAATTGTAAGTAAAAGGGTAGAGAAAACTATGTAATAATTGGATTTTCTTTGCTTGATCTCCCAGTTACTAAGTTCTTTTGTAATGAAAAGTATAGAAAAAGATTTCCTAATAGCTAAATTGGGAAATATTTTTATTTCTCAGAAATACTACAGTTGTACTTTTTATTATGCAAATGTTAAAAGAAGCCTGTAGGAGCTCCACAGTTTTGGAAAAACAGATTAATGTGTTTCTTAGGCCTTCTGTCTTTCAACAAATTGAACAGTCTGGAGTGTCAAATGGAAAATGAGAAAGGAAAAAAATCTGCTTCTATGAAAAATCATACCAATGAAAATTTAAGACAATGAGACCTATTGTTAAGAAATTTTAAGATCCTTTTAGTCTTTGAATTAAGAACATTGTGTAGTTAGAGAAACAAACACAATATAATATAGTGCTCTGGAAATAATTCATTTGAGGTCATTTATTTTAGAAATTGGAGAAAATCATTCACCTGTGAATGCAGGAAACCATTGTTAGTTGTTACTTTTGATATGAAAAAATTATAACAGTTTGAGAAAAAATTTTTTAACAATTATCTCACTTGTATTGCATGAGTTTGACCTAAATTATCTGAAAGATCATTTTGATGGTGAAAAAAACATCTATTGAGACTGAGATTAAGTGTGTTTCCATATAGCTTATTTCAAAAATTGAGACAGATTTTTATAGAAACATTGTCTTAACTTTAATGATAGAGATGTTTGAATTAATTTTTCCCAACAACTTGCTAAGATTTTTATAGCCTATGTGAGAGTAATAGAGAATGAGATTGGTAAGCAGTGGTACCAGTAAACTCATTACAATGTAAAAGAATTTCACCACAGGAGGAAAATTTGGGGTGCAGCTGAGTTAAGAGTTTCCACATCAATTTGATATGTTCTAATGTGTTAAAAAGGATGCAAAAACAATCTAAATGGATGAAGACAATAATATAATAATTTAGGATCTTGATTACTATGGGAAGATTGTGAGATACTTTGTCTGATAAGACACAATTTAAGTCAAAGTCACACATGTTTATTGGATGATTTTCCGGTGGAAAGTTTTTTAAAAATGAATCTTTTGTGGTCACAGAAAGAGCAGAAAATAGTCTTCTAAGACGTGGTTTTGAGTTCTAACTTTGCCACTTATTAATGAGTTACTCATCTTCTCTGTGACTTACTTTTCTACTCCATAAAATTGTGATAATAATATCAACTGCAAAAGTTGTGATAAGGTTGAAATGAGATTTTACAATTTAATATGATTATAGATTATGTAATATACAAACATAATATAATTTATGTTATATATGAATGTAATATAATCATTGTCCCACATACAAGAGTATTCAATAAATGATATTATTATAACAATTTTCCATCAGAAACATGACACTTTAAAAAACTTGTTCTTTTTTTTGAGACAGGGTTTCACTCTGTTGCCCATGCTGGAGTGCAGTGGTGTGATCATAGCTTACTGCAGCCTTGACCTCCTGATCTCAAGCAGTCCTTCTACCTCAGCCTCCGGAGTAGCTGGGACAACAGGCATGCACCACCACCCGCCACTGATTTTTAAAATTTTTATAGAGATGGGGTCTCCCTATGTTGCCCAGGCTGATTTTGAACTCCTGGGCTCAAGTGATCCTCCCACATCAGCCTCCAAAAGTATTGGGATTATAGGTGTCAGCCACTGTACCTGGCAGAAACTTTTTTTTACTTAAAAAATACACAGACTACCTTTTGAGTCAATTAAGTGTTGCACATGTTTTCTGTGTAATAACCAACTGCCCTGATTACAGGGGCTTACAAAAAATATAAGTGTAAGATACAGTTACCAAATAGAGAAAAGGTTAATACATCTGTGAAGCAATCACTGTATTAGTTATCTATTGCTGCGTAATAATTTTTTTTTTTGAGACAGAGTCTCATTCTGTTGCCTAGGCTGGAGTGCAGTGGCGCGATCTCGGCGCACTGCAGCCTGTGCCTCCCGGGTTCCCGCAATTCTCCTGCCTCAGCCTCTTGAGCAGCTGGGACTACAGGCATGTAACACCACGCCCGTCTAATTTTTGTAGTTTTATTAGAGACAGAGTTTCACCATGTTGGCCAGGCTGGTCTTGAACTCCTGACCACATAATAAATTATCCCAAAATTTACCAGCTTAAAACAACAAACATTTGTTATCTCAGTTTCTGTGGATGCAAGATTATGGAGAAGCTTAACTGGGTGGCTCTGGTTTATGGTCCCTCATGATATTGTGATCAAGACATTGGCCAGGGTTGCAGTCATTTAAAATCTTGACTGGGGCTGGAAGATCCACTTCCAAGATGGTTTGTTTACATGGTTTTTGGCAGAAGGCCTCAGTTCCTCATCATGTGGACCTCTCCAATGGGCTGCTTGAGTGTCTTCATAACATGATAGCTTGTTCTTTTGTGGGGGAAAATAATAATACCCATAGGTTCATAACTGGAATGGACCTCTGTTACAAAAGACAGATTAACAAGAAAAAAACAAAGAAAAGTTTCTTAATGTATATATTTCACAAATGCATGGGAGACATCCAGGAATGAATAGTTCTCAAAGAGGTGGCTTTGAATTCCAGCTTCTATAGCATCATCAACAAAACAGTACATTTGTAGAGAAGTAACAAGGCAGAGGACTCTGAGTCTTAACAGGCAGCAACTTGGGAGGAAGGCAATCAAATGGCAGATAAAATTTTGTTAATAATGCTTGTTAATATTAACTCCTCTGGTATCACCTGGCTGTTCTCTTCCTCTGGTATCATCTGGCTATCTGGTATTATCTGGCTGTTGTCTTCCTCTGGTATCATCTGGCTATCTAGTATCATCTAGCTTTTGGGTGTCTAAAGCTGATGTCAGTGGTTAACCTTTGTTCTCCCTGGTAGAGAGCAGGGAAATCTATGTAAATGTATGTCCTGCTTTCAGACAAACAGAGGGAGGGTAGATAGCTCTCCTGCATCTATTTCTTCCTAATAGTCTTCAGCTCAACAGTCTTTCAAATTTTAGGGAGGCATTTCTGGTCTCCCACACCCCAGAGGAAGTGTTCCACGAGAGAGCAAAGGGGAGACTGCAATGAATTTTATGACCTGATCCTGAAAGTCACATGCAGGTACTTCTGCATATTTTATCTGCAGAAGAACCAAGTCACTAAGTCCAGTCTACATGCAAAGGAGGAATATAAAAAATATAAAAATTGTGGGACATTTTAAAACCACAACAATCAGTCTGCAGAAAGTGTGATTTGATGTTGTGTGTTTTTTCCTTCAGTTTACTGTTATTTTGACATGCAATTGATAAATAAAGTGAGACTTAGGGTCTAAAAGACTGTGAGAGTTTAGTAGAGTTAGTAAGAGGTACTTCTTAGGTATCAGGAAAGTAAGAAGAGAGTGAGGACTAGAGTCTCAATTTGTTAAAATAACCAAGTCTTTAGTCTCTAAGATTAGAGAATCAGCAAGTTGTTTACTCACTCCAAAATATACAATAAATCCATTTTAATAAGATAAAGTGTACCTTCATTGATGACTTAAAAATAAAACCAGAAACAGTTAAATGAAGCCTAGCGAAGCCCTAGAAAAAAGGCTTAGAGCATCACATCTAGGAGAAAGTCCTGGGATTATCTGTCACACATGGGATGGTTTTACAAAATTGTGTTTGACAGGTCGTTAAGGTAGGAAAGAAAATCTGTAGGTTAAATGTCTCAAAGAAATATAAGTCAAATACTGATCAGCTGTACTAATCAAGGGTGTTTGAGTTATGCAAAATATTTTTCCAGTTGGCTCTGGATATTATTATTTAGAGAATTCACCATTCTTTTTTTGCTCTAAATGTGTTCTGGAATTATTCCCAGGAGATTGCTTTCCCAGGTTATACATGAGTTAAGGAGTTTGGGGTGGAGGTGAGTGGGCACAGTGTGATACAAAGGGAAGCCAGCCTGT
Organism: Homo sapiens; assembly: GCF_000001405.40. Classification (NCBI taxonomy): domain Eukaryota; kingdom Metazoa; phylum Chordata; class Mammalia; order Primates; family Hominidae; genus Homo; species Homo sapiens. Next base: position 61,279,586 of record NC_000003.12, on the reverse strand, counting down.
CCTTAATATTCACTTTGGATTTGCACTTTCCATGGTTTTGTTTTCTATCTGTTGGGGTTGGTGGAGAAGGATAGTTACATGTGTAGGCTCTAAGTTGGAAAATATTTTGATATCAAGAAAAAGCATTCCATAACTATACTGAAGAACTACACCCTAGGGGAAAATCCAGAAAGTGAAAAATAGACCTAAAGAGGAAAAGTTCAATTGTATGACTTTGGAAAAGGATGTAATTTCAAACCTTTTTTCTCAATTTGACTTGAATATGAAACATAAGGTGATGGGAGAAAGAGAGAGAGCAAAAATTGGAAGAAGACTGCCCTTCTGAATGAATTGAGATTTGAAAAGAAATGTGTATGTGTGTGTGTGTGTGTGGCGTTAGGCCATTCTTGCATTGCTATAATGAAATATCTGAGGGTGGGTAATTTATAAAGAAAAGAGGTTTAATTGGCTCACGGTTCTGCAGAATATACAAGCATGGTGCCAGCATCTACTCAGCTTCTTGGGAGGCCTCAGGAGCCTTTACTCATGGTGGATATCGAAGTAGGAGCAGGTACTTCACACGGCAAAAGCATGAGTGAGAGAGAGTTGAGGGGGAGGTGCCACACACTTTAAATGACCAGATCTCATGAGAATGGCCTCACCATTGGGAAGACCTCACCACTGAGTTAACCTCATGACTCAAATGCCTCCTACCAGGTATTTGAAAGACCTGCCCCCATGACTCAAATACCTCCTACCAGGCCCCACCTCCAACACCTCCAATTCACCATGAGATGTGGCAGGGACATATATTCAAACTATATTATATACATACATATATATATATGTGTGTGTGTGTGTGTGTGTATATAAAGGCTATAATGCAAGCTGATCATAAATATGTGTGTGTGTGTGCGTGTGTGTGTGTGTGTGTGTATATATATATATATATGAAGGTTACAATACAATGGTGAGGAAGAAGCAAGCAGGTGGACTAAAGTTGCTGAGAAAGAGGATGTCAACTCCATCCTTCACTGGTAGGGCTGACTCCAGTCTAGACTTTTCTTACAACTGTCTACATCTGCAGGCAGGGGAACCCTGCCTGGAACTTTGTTAGTGGGTCTGTTAGCCATAAATTTAGTGCATAAAGGCATCCAGTGGTAGATGAGATCTAATTTTGTGGTGGTAAACCACTGGGTTTGGTGTGTCCTAATTGTGTTTGCAGTAAAATTGAAGACTATTAACAAGAGTGGGAAATCAGCTGAATGATCATAAATAATTGGTCAAACGAGTGGCAGTGCTGCCCAGTCAACAACATCATTTTTGTGGTTAATGGTGTTTAGGGAGTGCCCACTGGGTGCCTAGCATAAAAAGGCAAAAGCTGTGATTCTGAGGGAATTATCAGGCCTGATTTCCTCAGGACTCCATTGTGCTTTGCTCTGGGAGTACCTGATTCCCTTGTGCCACTGCTACTGCAAAAATAACCTTCAACACTTCTGCTTCCCACCCACCTGCTTCCTTCCTCTCTCCTCACCTGAGAAACTTAATCCTCCCCTGCCAGCTAAACTTCAGTGCATAGGGCCAGTTCTGCCCTTGGACTGTGGGGAGGGGAGGAGCTCAAGGTCACTGCTAGAGTGTCTCAGTCTTTATGCTTTGACCCTGAGTCTCTGTCAAGGGATATGAACCACTGTACCATATTGCCTCTAGCTTTGGGGTGCTAAGGAAACTTCCAATGCAAACCAGATCCTCAAGCCTAACAGTCATCCTCCATGCCCCTCTTTCTTTCACACTATACATCCAATCTATCAGCAGGTCCTGTTGATCCTACCTTTCAAACAGATTCCAGATCTGGCCACTTCCTCCCATCTCCAGGGTTACTCTCCTATTTGAGTTATTGTTACCTTTTGCCTGGATAGGGGAATAACCTCTACTTTCATTCTTACCCTCTTACACAATCTGTTTTCCACATGGTGACCAGAATGAACATATATATATGCTTCATCACTTTCACTGCTTTAAAAATTCCTTGAAAAAAAAATCAAGACTCATTATCTTGGTCTAATGTTTCTGTGAGTAGGCTCTGACTCGCCTACAGAATCTTTCTACTCCAGTCACATTTTTGTTTGTTTGTTTTTTTGAGACAGGGTTTTGCTCTGTCACTCAAACTGGAGTGTAGTGGCATGATTTCGGCTCACTACAACCTCCACCTCTCGGGTTCAAGCAGTTCTCTTGCCTCAGCCATCCGAGTAGCTGGGAGTAGAGGCACCCACCACCATGCCTGGCTGATTTTTGTATTTTTAGTAGAGATGGGGTTTCACCATGTTCCAGGCTGGTCTCCAGCTCCTGACCTCAGGTGATCCGCCTGCCTGGGTCTCCCAAAGTGCTGGGATTACAGGAGTGAGCCATGGCACCTGTCCTCGGTCATATGTGTTTTATTGCTGTGCTGTGAACAACCCAAGCCTATTCCATCTCAAATCTTTACTTAAGCAGTTCCCTCTGCCTATCATGCTCTTCTTTCAGTTCCTGCATGGCTGGTTCATGTAACTTCTGAGGTCTCTGTTCCTATGTCATCTCCTTAGAAAAGTCTTTTTTGTTTGTTTGTTTGTTTTACCATGCTATCTAAATAACATCTACACTGTGTCATTTTCTGCACCCTTACTCTGCCTGAATTTCTTCACAGCACTCATCGCTATCCAGTGGTGTATGTAACATCTATTTATTATCTGTCTCCCCTACTAGAATACAACTATGATGAGGGCAGGGACTTTGTTTTCCCCACTACTGTATCCCTAGAGCCTAGAATGGTGCCTAGCATATAATAACACTCAAAAAATATCTGTTCCAACCATGACTGAACAAATAACTCCTACAACGAAGTTGCTATATCAGTCACAGGTGAAATTCGCACAGATTGTACTTTCCAGAAATAACCCCTACAATCTTCCATACCACATGATTTTTTTTACACTGTGACTTTGCCACTCCACCTATTGAGAGGTGAGGTTTATGACCCTTCTGGATTTGGGCAGGTTTGTGAGCAGTAGAGGGACCCTGTTTGACTTCTGAGGCTATGTCATAAAAAGGTGCTGAAGCTTTCACTTGGTTCTCTTTAGGTGGCTCTCTCTTAGAACCTAGACATCATTCAGTTAGGAAGCCCAAGTAGCCACATGGAGAGGCCACAGGTAGGTGTTCTGGCTAACAACCCCAGCTGAAGTCAAAGATGGTAGCCAGCATCAACCATCAGACATGTGAGTTAAGGAAGCTTACAGATGGCAATAGCCCTCAGCCATTGATTCACCTCCAACTTTCAAATCTTCCCAGACGAGACCCCTGACATTGTGAAGCAGAGACAAGCCTTCCTAGGAGTGCCCTTTCCAAATTCCTGTTCCACAGAAACCATGAGAGATGATTAATTGTTTTAGGTCACTAAATTTTTTGATTTATTACACAAAAATAGATAGCCAGAAAAGAATGAATGAATAACTACCCTCCCTGTTTCCACCTGCCCATTGCCGAGGTGTGAATAAGATGGCAGAAGCTGGAGCAGCCATCTTAGAGTCACAGGAAGCTACCAGTAGATTATGGCAAAGTAACAAGAGGAGCTTGAGTGTCTAACACCATAGAGCTTCCGTATCAGTTCTGAGTGAGAAGAAATGACATTCTGTTTTGTTTATGCCTTTTAAATATTTGGGTGTTTGTTATTCACTGCAGCAGCTAGAGCCTATATCCTGTCTCACACAAGAATCATCAATATTTTGGCCAGGCGTGATGGCTCATGCCTATAATCCCAGCACTTTGGGAGGCCAAGGCAAGAGGATCACTTGAAGCCAGGAGTTGAAGACCAGCTTGGGCAACATAGTAAGACTCTGTTTCTGCTAAAAGTTTTAAAAATAATAATTTGCCAGGTGTGATGTTGTGCACCTGGCCCCAACACTTTGGGAGGCCAAGGTGGGAAGATCGCTTCAGAGCAGCATGGGTGACAAAGTGAGACCCCATCTCTAAAAAAAAAAAAAAAAGAAAGAAAGAAAAAAAAACTAACCAGTCATGGTGGCGTGTACCAGCTACTTGTGAGGCTGAGGTGGGAGGATTGTGTGAGCCCAGGAGTTTGAAGCTGCAGTGACCTGTGATTGTGCCACTGCACTCCAGCCTGGGTGACAGCATGAAATTTCAACTCTTAAAAAAAAAAAAAACACCAACAACATTTTAAGTGCCTACTATGTGCTAGGCTCTGTGCTTTACATATGTTATCTCATTCGATCCTCATTACAACAGGTGCTCTCAAGATTCCTATTTTGCCAGAAGGTAAACTGACCTTAGAGATGGCAACTTAGCCATGGTTTAGTTTGGATTTGAAGGCAAGTCAAAGAGGTTTGAGAGCCTGAACTCTTTGAGTTCCTTTTTCTGCCTACATGAATACAGCTCAAACTTTCTTTCAGGGAAGTAGGAAGTAAGCCTGTAAGGAGAGGAGACAGAGGAATAACTTCCAGCAATAACTGCTTTGGCACTGAAGGGCAGCTCACGGGTCCTAAGATGCACAATGTTTTTTTCTTAGCCATGGTTTGCATATATGAATAATCATGTCTTTTTCAAACCAGAACAACAAAATACATAAATTTACAAGTAATCTGCCTCAATGTAAATATCTTTGCCTTTCTTTATCACATACTGTTGCTGGTATTTTCCATATATATAGATGTGGATATCAAAATATATATATTCACATGTGTGCATACACGTGTATGCCTGTACATCACCTCTCATGGTGTTGCCTGTTGCATCTAGGAATACTGCAACTCAGTAACTGCTTATAATTCAAAATCTAAAAACAATTCACTCCACAGGAAAACTATTAGAACTGATAAACACATTCAGTAAAGTTGCAGGATACAAAATCAACATACAAAAATCAGTAGCATTTCTATAAGTCAACAGTGAACAATCTGAAAAATATATTTAAAAATTACTCTAATTTATAATAGCCACGCATAAAATGAAATACCCAGGAATTAACTTAACCAAAGAAGTGAAAGATCATTATAATGAAAACTATTAAACAGTAATGAAAGAAATTGAAGAGGACACCAAAAAATGAAAAAATATTCCATGTTCATGGATTGGAAGAATCAATATTGTTAAAATGTCCACACTACCCAAAGCAATCTACAGATTCAGTGCAATTCCTATCAAAATACCAATGATATTCTTTACGGAAATAGAAAAAACAACCTTAAAATTTTTTGGAGCCACAAAAGGCTCAGAGTAGCCAAAGGTATCAAAAAGAACAAAACTGGAGGAATCACATTACCTGACTTCAAATTACACTGCAGAGTTATAGTAGCTGAAACAGCATGGTACTAGCATAAAAACAGACATATACGCCAATGGAACAGAATAGAGAACCCGGAAACAAATCCACATGCCTACAGTGAACTTACTTTTGACAAAGATGCCAAGAACATACACTGGAGAAAAGACAGTTTCTTCGATAAATGGTGGTAGGGAAACTCGATATCCATATGCAGAAGAATGAAACTATACCCCTATTTCTCACCATATACAAAAATCAAATCAAAGTAGATAAAAGACTTAAATCCGAGACCTCAAACTATGAAACTACTACAAGAAAACACTGGGGAATATCTCCAGGACATTGGTGTGGACAAAAATTTCTTGAGCAATACCCCACAAGGACAGGCCACCAAAGCAAACATGGACAAATGGAATCACATCAAGTTAAAAAGCTTCTGCACCGCAAATCAACAATCAACAAAGTGAAGAGACAACCCACAGAATGAGAGAAAATATTTGCAAACTATCCATCTGACAAGGGATTAATAACCAGGATATATAAGAAGCTCAAACAACTCTATAGGAAAAAAATCTAATAATCTGATCAAAAAATGGGCAAAATTTTGAATAGACATTTCTCAAAAGAAGACATATAAATGGGAAACAGGCATATGAAAAAGAGATAAACATTATTGATCATCAGAGAAATGCAAGTCAAATCTACAATTAGGTATCATCTCACCCCAATTAAAATTACTTATATCCAAAAGACAGGCAATAACAAGTGCTGGCAAGGATGTGGAAAAAAGGGAACCTGTATATACTGTTGGTGGGAATGTAAAGTAGCACAGACACTATGGAGAACAGTTTGGAGGTTCCTCAAAACACTAAAAATTGAGCTTCCATATGATCCAGCAATCCCACTGGTGGGTATATGCCCCAAATAATGGAAATCAGTATATTGTAAAGATATCTGCACTCCTGTGTTTGTTGCAGCACTGTTTACAATAGCCAAGATTTGGAAGCAAACTAAGTGTCCATCAACAGATAAATGGAAAAAGAAAATGTGGTACATATACAGAATGGACTACTATTTAGCCATTAAAAAAAAAAGAGACTCAGTCATTTGCAACAACACAGATGGAACTGGAGATCATCATGTTAAGTGAAATAAACCAGACACAGAAAGACAAATACTTCATATTCTCACTTATTTGTGGAATCTAAAAATCAGAACAATTGAACTCATGGAGACAAAGAGTAGAAGGATGGTTACCAGAGGCTGGGAAGGGCAGTGGGGGGCTGAGAGGGGAAGAGGGAATGGTTAATGGGTACAAAAATTGTTAGAAAGAATGAATAAGACCTGCTATTTGATAGCACAACAGGGCGACTATAGTCAATAAAAACTTAATTGCACATTTTAAAATAACTTAAAGAGTGTAATTGATTGTTTGTAACTCAAAGGAGAGAAGCTTTAGGACATGGATACCCCATTCTCCATGACTTGCTTATTTCACATTGCATGCCTATATCAAAACATACTATGTACCCCATAAATATATACATCTACTGTGTACCCACAAAAGTTAAAAATGTTTTAAAAAGTAAACATAAACAAAGAATAAAAATATTTATAAAGAACAATTCAACACAACCCTTTTATAATTCTTTTTTTGTGATTAGGCACAAATGAAATAAGAAATATGAAATCTTTTTGAAAAAGGAAATCAAAATGATTCTATTCATGCCTGGGAAATATTACAAAATAATGTCACCTATGTTTTCATGAGAGAGTCAGATAATCTCAGTTAATCTTAAACTAATCCCAGTTAATCCTAAAGGTAGGAACTATTATCCTATTGTAGATTAGGAAAACAAGGCACAGAAAAGTTCAATGTTTTTCTAAAGGTCACACAGCAAGGAGTCCTTCTATGTAACTGCAACAGAAAGATGAGGAATAGCCTGTTAATTGCTTTTCAGTGTGAATAACTGTGTTGCATAAATTCATATTTTATTTATTGCATTTTCTACAGTAAAATATTGGAGATGATATCTTAATTACAGTTAAGATATAACATCAAAGATTTTCTTGCTGCTTCTTTTTAAAGGAGGTAAAACGATCTGAATATGATTTAGTTAAATGAAATCTACATGGCAAAGCTAACTAGCTTCCAATGTTTGAAAGTTGCAAATTACACAGAAGCAGTCTGAAGAGTATCAAAGTGAATTATGAAATGATATAAAGTAAGGAAAAACCACTCACCTTCTGGGAGGGAAACTCTTATTTGCTGTATCTAATTAGGAGAATCTGAAGCAAGAGTTATGAGAGTTGGGTGGCTGAGGGCATATCAAGGAAACTAGACTCTACAGCAAATGAGAAAGAGTTGCAAGGTCCAATCTCTTCTCAGATGTGCAATGGATTAGCTCCTTAGCCTTCCTGCCTCTTCTTGAGCTTTTGTGGTTCTATCTGAAGACATAAATGTTTCATGTGAACTTTGCTTACATTTGGCAAAAATGCAAGATTTTCCTTTATTGCTTTTAGTAAGAACTCTGAAGAGCACCCCAGACTTTTCTGATTTCATTCTCACCAGGTATACACTGTTTCCAGAGTCTCATGAATTCCCTCTAATTTTCATTGAGTCCATTAGGATATAAAGGCTATGAGTTGCTTTTGTGAAACCTGAAGTGGTGTGTGTGCGTGTATGTATTTATGGGAGTATTTCAGCAACAAACTACATCATAGAGACCAGGCATCATTATCAGTACACTCAAGTTTAAGTGGACTGATGCTTTTTTATTACATGTTCTACTTCTCCTCGGTTCTAACATGTGTCCAAGCATTAATGGCATCAATCAGTTGTTTATAGAACAATAAAGAACAGTTATGGATGAAGCTCAGAAGACAGAATTTTCTTGGATTGACTATTGCATTATATAATTGATAAAATGTACTGTAAAAGTTTAAATTTCGTCAACTCTAGGCTTTAAATCTGGGTCAGCAATAGTCCAAAATAAAAAGGAAAGCTGGTACAAAATTGCTAGCTACAAATTATCTAAGATATGAAAATGAATTTAGAAACAAAAATCTTGCTAAACCTTTCTGTAGTTAAAAATGTTGAAGACTATAATCCCAGCACTTTGGGAGGCCAAGGTGGGTGGATCTCCTGAGGTCAGGAGTTTGAGACCAGCCTGGCCAACATGGTGAAACCCCATCTCTACTAAAAATACAAAAATTAGCTGGGTGTGGTGGTGGGCACCTGTAATCCTAGCTACTCGGGAGGCTGAGGCAAGAGAATCGCTTCAACCCGGGAGGCAGAGGTTGCAGTGAGCCAAGATTGTGCCACTGCACTCTAGCCTGGGCGACAAAGTGAGAATTTGTCCGGAAAAAAAAAAAAAAGTTAAAGACCACACTTTTCCAAAGTTTGTTTTATAAAAGAAAATAAGTTGCAGGTTTAGAACTCTACAATTTGGAGTATTTTGGGATATATGGGCTTCTAAAGCATATAAGATTATTAAAGTACATTTACAAGCAATACAAGTCCTTGAAGAAGTGTCAAGTACAAAAATCATTCACCACATTTCTTTTCAAACAAATCTTTATCCTGAACAACCTTATGAGCCATTAGTGGGTCCCCACCAGAAAGTGTCCAAACTACTTTGCTAGGGTTTACAGTCTCCTTTTCTACCTTTCCAGACTGTAATACATATTCATTGAATATAGATCATGTGCCACATACAGCAAGAGGCCTTAAATATTAAGACATGATTTCTGCCTTCAGGAATATTCAACTCTTCAGATAAGCAAATTAATCAAAACCGGTTGTATTGCAGTTGGTCCTCCATGTCTGTGGGTTCTGCATCCATAGATTCAACCAACTACAGATACAAAATATTTGGAAAAAAAAGGCTGGGCGCGGTGTCTCATGCCTGTAATCCCAACACTTTGGAAAGCCGAGGTGGGTGGATTGATTGAGCCCAGTTCAGGACCAGCCTGGGCAACATAGTGAGACCTTCTCTCTACAAAAAATTAAAAACTTAGCTGGGCATGGTAGCACATGCTGTGGTCCTAGCTACTCAGGAGGCTGAGGCAGGAGGGTCACTTGGACCTGGGAGGTCGAGGCTGCAATGAGCCATGATTGTGCAACTGCACTCCAGCCTGGGCAATGGGGTGAGACCTTGTATCAAAAAAAAAAAAAAAAAAAAAAAAATTCCACCAAGTTCCAGAAAACAAACCTTGAATTTGCTCTGTGCCAAATACTGTGCTGAATCCATGTGAATGAAGTGATGCATAGGCATTGCATTAGGTATTATAAGTAATCTAGAAGTGATTTAAAGTATACAGAAGGATGTGTGTAGGTTATATGCAAATACTACACCATTTTATATAAGAGTCTTGAGTATTCATGGAGTTTGGTATCTGCAGGGGGTCCCGGAACCAATCTCCCATGGTTACCGAGAGACAAGTGAAGTTATCTAATTATCTGTAACAAATTACCTCCCGAAATAGTGGCTTAAAACAAACATTTATTATCTCATAGCTGTTATGAGACAGAAGTCTGGGCGCAGCTTAGCCTCATCACGTGGCTCAGCGTCTCTCATGAGGTTGCTGTCAAGGTGTCAGCAACTGAAAGGCTTGACTGGGGCTGCAGGATCTGCTTCCAATCTCTCTCATGAGGTTGTTGTCAGACCTCAGTTCCTTGCTGGCTGTTGGCTGGATATCTCAGTTCCTCAACACATAGGCCTGTCCATAGGCTTTAAGTGTCCGAACACAGCAGTTGGCTTTTTTCCCAGGGTGAATGTTCATCTCTGTAGCAGTGAGACATAACTTCGGCAGTATTATAAATGAGGCAGAATACTGACCACCTGTAGACCAGGAAGGGGAGTATTCAAGGCTGCGAATGCCAGGAGGTGGGGATTATTGAGGCCATCTCAGAGGCTAGCTACCAAACAGATTTTTCTGATTATCCCTTGTCTTGACTAGTACCTCTACCATCCCTCGATTTCTTAGTGTAAAAACTTTGGATTCATGTTTTAGATGCTGTTCCTTATTCACCAGTACTGTTTTATCAATCCTATCCATCACCAAGTTACAGAATCTACCAACTTAATGTCATTTGCATCTTTGTTATTCTTATCTTATTACTGTTGCTTTGGTTCTGGCTCTTAGCATCTATTGTCAGGGCATTTTCAATGACTGTTGCTTTTTATTTTATTTCACTTTTATGTAGGCTGATTCATATGGAATTGTCATTTTTGAAGTCAATTTTGGCAGTGTATTAGTCAGCTTGGGCTGCCATAACAAAATATCATAGACTGGCTTAAACAACAGAGATTTATTTTCTCAAGGCTCTGGAGACTGGAAGTCCAAGATCAGGGCATCAGCATGGTCAAGTTCTGGTGAGGGCTCTCTTCCCCGTGTGTAGATGGCTGCTATCTCCCTGTGTGCTCACATGACCTCTTCCTCTTTTTATAAGAACACTAATCCCATCATGAATGCTCCACCCTCATGACCTCATCTACACCTACTTATTTCCCAAGGTCTCATCTTTAAATACCATCACACTGGGAGTTACGGTTTCAACATACACATTTTGGGGAGAAGGTGGGAACACAATTCAGTCTGCAGCAGGCAATTTCAAATGGTTCAACCTAACAGTTGTCTGCAAAAGTAGTACATGTTCATGACAGTGAATGAAAAAATAAAAAAAGCTTAAAAAGATGAAAATCAAAATCACTCAATTTCACCACCTAGAGATAAGCTCTGATTATATATATATATATTTTTGTATTTTCCAGTTTTTAAATGCATACACCTTTCTGAAGAAGGCAGTTTTACCATATATTTAATTTTGTATTCTGCTTTTTCAATTAACATTAATCCTTGGGCAATTTTCCATGTCAGTGAATATTTAAAAAAAAATTTTAAATAGCAGTGACATATTTCATTTATTTGTTGCTTTTTTGATTGGACATGAAAGTGGTTTCTAGTTTTTCAGAAATAAGACTGAAAGAAGGAACATCACTGAACATACACTTTTGTCTGCATCTCTGTACTTTTACTGTAGATTCCTACACATAGAATTACTGGATCAAAGGGCGTAAACTTTTTCAGTATTATTTCTAAATTTCTTACTTGACTTACATTATTGCAAGTAGCTTTTTACAAATTTACCAATTTATAGCTTACCACCAGGATATTCTTTTTCTTTTTTTAAAAAAATGGTAATTTAATAGGCCAAAAAAAAATGTGTCTGATTGCTAACAATGACCTCCTCACTGATCTTTCTGGAGTCATATCCCACTCCAGTCAAGCCTCCATAGTGCTTCCAGATTTTTCTCTAAAATTCGAACTTGATCACATTGCTTGCCCTGTTAAAGCCAATTATTTGCTCCCCACTGCTTGTCACATTAAGTCCTAGGTCTAGAGAAGGTTTCATCAGCTCTTTCATAACATGGCTTTTGTCTACAGTTCCAGTCTCGTTGTTAACCTCTCTCCTGTATTCTCTCCTCCAGTAATGTTAAACCACTTACAGTTTCTAAACTGCCATGTTTTACAATTTTTCTTTTCACATGCTGTTCCCTCTCTCTTGACTGTCTTTCCCCACTTGGTTTGAGCACTCACAAAGTCTGTTGAGAGAGAAGGCAGGAGATGGATGAAGTGCTCCATTCCTGGAAATGGGGGTGCTGCTGTGATCAGCATTATACTGGGTCTTCCTATCACTGTCCCCATGGAGAAGTGTTCCAGTCCTTCACATGGCAACCACACAACTGTCTTCTTCCAAACTCCTTACATCATGATGTGTCTTCTTATAGTCATTTCTTCCAAACAGCTTTCTAACAATTTTTGTTTATTTTCCCTGCCTGCAGTGGTATTTATGCTGCTCTTCATAATGCCAAAAATTATCTTTCAGTCCCTATTTACCTGATTCTGTCTTCTCAAACATTTCCTGAAGGCACCCTGAACCTCTATAGGACTTGCATTTTGATGTCTAATGTAGTGCTGTCACTTTGCTATGGGTAGATCTAGTATGGATGTATCATTTTCATAACTGTGGTTAAGCATTTCATGTCAAAACTGCTTTTGAGGACACAAAATAAATTGCCAGTACACAAAATAATGGCAGAAAGATAAGCAAAAACATGTATTGTAGAACACTCTCAACTCAGAGTGTAGTGAATGGTAGAATGCAGTAATAGGGGACTCCCATTCATTGGCTGAGAGCAGCTGGTATACAGGTATACAGGGCTGGTTACAGGTACACTACACCAAACTGTTAATGTTTATTAGCTATATGCCTACAAAACACTCAAGAATTTGGAAAATTTTAATTTATAATACACTGAAATAGATCATTATTACATATGTATTTGCATATTTTTAAAGAAACTATGGTAGAGATAAATAGCTTCTTGAAGAATCAGTGCTGAATAGAGCATTGTTCAACATGGTATGTGTGATAGAAACTAAGTCCTATTTGTATTTAAAACTGTGCAAGTTATCATCCCCTCTAGGAAATCTCTTCCGACACTTAATTTCCTCTGGGCCTCCTTATATATGATTGATTTATATTGATTTTTGATTTGCTGAATGGTTGAGGTGACTATAATAAATTACAGTCATGCACTGCATAATGACACTTTGTCAGCAACAGACCACATATCTGAGTGGTCCTATAAGCTTATTTAGTACTGTAGTTCTACCATACCTTTTCTATATTTAGATATGTTTAGATACACAAATACCTACTATGGTGTTACAGTTGCCTACAGTATTCAGGACAGTCATCTGCTGTACAGGTTTACAGCCTAGAAGCATTAGACTATACCACAAAACCTAGGTGTGCAGAAGGCATTGCCATCTAGATTTATGTAAGTGCACTCTATGATGTTTGCACAATGATGGAATCACATAAGGACACATTTCTCAGGATATATCCCCATTTTTAATCAATGCATGACTGTACAGATACGGTCACCATGACCAAACTTTGATTGAATCAAGTAATCACAGAGTTGGGTGGGATCTTAGATGTCATTTTGTCCAGCCTCTCACTCAATAAAGGAAGTGTTTGAGGGTCACATTATGTCAGCTAGGATGGCTTTCATTGTTAGAAAAGTTATCCTTCATGTTGTACAGAAAATTCCCCTCAGTGATAAGGACTTGTTGGTCTGACTTTTAACTCCAAAGAGTGAATCCAATCCCTTTCTCACAAAGTAGACCTTCACACGTTTGAGCCCAGCAAGCACATCTTGTCTTCTCGTTCTCAGGCTAACATCTCCAGTTCCTTAGATGACTACAGTGTGCCTCGTGCACAGTTTTGGTGCTGGTAGAGCAGAGGCTGATCTGGCTTTAGGTCCGGAGAATTTCCAAATTACAAGAGAATGGGAGAGTATTATCCCTTTCATTTCACCGTCGCATTCTGAGTAGCTTATCTGTCAGTTGAACTTTGTGGATTAGTCAGGACTCCTTTGGCTGCCAGTAGCAAAAACCTAATTCAAACCAACTTAAACAAGAAAAGGCTCATGTAACTGGCAAATCTAAGAGGTAGCTTCAGGCAAAATTGGATTCTGGGATGCAATGCCAGCTGGGCTCTGTTCCTCTCCTCATTTCTCCTCTCTGCTTGCCCTTTTGACTTAATTCCTGGGTGGGCAAAATAGCCTGCAGCCCCACACTTGTATCATCATTATGGCTTGTGATCACAGAGAAAGAGGGGCTTTTTAAAAAATCTCTCTGACAAAACATCTGAGGATACTGGCTCAGCTTGGGTCATGTGCCCATCCCCAACCAACCAGTGGCCAAGTAGTATGGAGTGCTTTGGTCAAGTTTGTTTTCTGTGACTACTCCTGCTCCATTACCGTCCTCCACACCCCATAGTCCTCCCCAATTTAAGCCAGAACAAATGTGTGGTCAGAGCCACCAAGATTGACAGAGATTACTATGGAATGGGGTCAGGGCTGGTTATCCAAAGGAAGTGATCCTGGGAAAAGAAGCATATGTCCATCAAGTTACTTAACAGGCTATTCTGGAAAGGCCATGGCTCAAACATTCAATGTCCAAAATGCAGAAATGATATGGCTTGACAAAAGTCAGATGCAATGGTCAGACAGAACACCTTTTTATGATATGTAGGCCATTTTCAACTCAAAGTTTACCTAATGGTAACTAACACAGTATCAGAACTTGAACTATATTTTATTGAGAAAATAACACAGGCTTATATTATTTTTTAAAAGTTGCTTTTCCTGAGGGGTGTGGTATGTTGGTTTATAGTCATAAAATTCATTTGCTTACATGTTTGAGTTATATACTTCATTGTTTGAAGCCAGGTCATACATTCTGTTCCATTTCTAAATCTATTCCGATTTGAAAGATTCCCTGTTGTGAGACTCTTCCTTATGATATTTTAAAAATACATGGAGAGACAGAGGCTGAGCTAGATTAACGCTGTACAAATCTGATTAACATCATCTGCTCTGTTTCAAAGGTCAGGTGCACTCAACGAATTTACTTTGAAATTATTTTGTTTATTTGGTGGGCATATACATCATGAGCTTCCTAAAGGTCAAAAGTAGAGTTTGTTCTTGGATTCTAAAGCAATCTGATTTCCATTTACAGTATGCTTTGGTGACCCTAAATGCAGAAGCAGGCCCAGTTAAGTCATACTTCAGTTTGTGTTTGGTTTAATTTTCCCATGAAGAAAATCCCTGCTAGATTAAGGCAGTGCTGAAATATCATTTTCCCTAAATTACTTCTATCTCCAACTAGGTTCATAAGAGAATGCTACTCATAAGTGACATCTGAACTCTGAATGTTGGTTTCATGCCCATTTTGTTTTCAAAGCTGTGGAAGCATCTTAGTCAGCTAGTTTCTTATCTGAAAATTGAGGCAAAGGTCAAAAAAGTTAGGACTCCTGGGTTTTATTAACATTTACCTGGTAGGGATCCTGAAGCTTTATTAATTAATGTTTGTAAAATCACTGTGCGCTTCGTAGAGAAGAGACTCCAGTAAATTATACAGTCTTATTTACTATTCAAAAAAATTAGGGAGGCGGGCAATTTGGCAGAATAGGAACAGCTCTGGTGTGCAGCTCCCAGCAAGATCAAGGAAAAAGGCAGGTAATTTCTGCATTTCCAACTGAGGTACCCATCTCATTGGGACTGGTTACACAGTGGATGCACCCCACGGAGGGTGAGATGAAGCAGGGTGGGGCGTCTCCTCACCCGGGAAGTGCAAGGGGTTGGGGAATTCCCTCCCCTAGTCAAGGGAAGCTGTGAGGGAATGTGCCTTGAGGAATAGTGCACTCTGGCCCAGATACTATGCTTTTCCCATGGTCTTTGCAACCTGCAGACCAGGAGATTCCCTCGGGTGCCTGTGCCAGCAGGGCCCTGGGTTTCAAGCACATAACTGGGCAGCCATTTGGGCAGACACTGAGCTAGCTGCAGGAGTTTTTTTATTTTTTTCATACCCCAGTGGTGCCTAGAACACCAGCGAGACAGAACCATTCACTCCCCTGGAAAGGGGGATGAAGCCAGGGAGCCAAGTGGTCTAGCTCAGTGGATCCCACCCTCATGGAGCCCAGCAAGCTAAGATCCACTGGCTTGAAATTCTCACTGCCAGCACAGCAGTCTCAAGTCGGCCTGGGACGCTTAAGCTTGGTGGGGGGAGGGGTGTCCGCCATTACTGAGGCTTGAGTGGGTGGTTTTCCCCTCACAGTGTAAACAAAGCCTTGGGAAAGTTTGAACTGGGTAGAGCACACCTGCCTCTTTAGATTCCTCCACTCTGGGTAGGGCATCTCTGAAAGAAAGGCAGCAGCTTCAGTCAGGGGCTTATAGATAAAACTCCCATCACCCTGGGACAGAGCACCTGGGGGAAGGCGTGGCTGTGAGTGCAGCTTCAGCAGACTTAAACATTCCTGCCTGCTGACCCTGAAGAGAGCAGCGGATCTCCCAGCACAGCGCTGGAGCTCTGCTAAGGGACAGACTGCCTCCTCAAGTGGGTCCCTGACCCCCATGCCTCCTGACTGGGAGACAACTCCCAGCAGGGGTCGACAGACACCTCATACAGGAGAGCTTCAGCTGGCATCTGGCGGGTGCCACTTTGGGATGAAGCTTCCAGAGGAAGGAACAGGCAGCAATTTTTGCTGTTCTGCAGCCTCCACTGGTGATACCCAGGCAAAGAGGGTCTGGAATGGACCTCCAGCAAACTCCAGCAGATTGGCAGCAGAGGGGGCTGACTGTTAGAAGGAAAACGAGTGAACAGAAAGGAATAGCATCAATATCAACAAAAAGGACGTCCACACAGAAACCCCATCCAAAGGTCACCAACATCAAACACCAAAGGTAGAAAAATCCATGAAGATGAGAGAAAACTAGTGCAAAAAGGCTGAAAATTCCAAAAACTGGAATGACTCTTCTCCTCCAAAGGATCACAACTCCTCGCTAGCAAGGGAACACAACTGGAAAGAGAATGAGTTTGACAAATTGAAAGAAGTAGGCTTCAGAAGGTGGGAAATAACAAGGTGGGTAATAACAAACTACTCTGAGCTAAAGGAGCATGTTCTAACCCAGTGCAAGGAAGCTAAGAACCTTGACAAAAGGTTAGAGGAATCGCTAACTAGAATAACCAGTTTAGAGAAGAACATAAATGACCTGAGGGAGCTGAAAAACACAGCACAAAAATTTTGTAAAGCATACACAAGTATCAATAGCTGGATCAATCAAGTGGAAAAAAGGATATCAGAGACTGAAGATCAAATTAATGAAATAAAGTGTGAAGACAAGATTAGAGAAAAAAGAATGAAAAGAAATGAACAAAGCCCCCAAGAAATATGGGACTATGTGAAAAGACCAAACCTACATTTGATTGGAGTACCTGAAAGTGACAGGGAGAATGGAACCAAGTTGGAAAACACTCTTCAGGATATTATCCAGGAGAACTTCCCCAACCTAGCAAGAGAGGCCAACATTCAAATTCAGGAAATACAGAGAACAACACAAAGATACTTCTCCAGAAGAGCAACCCCAAGACACATAATCATCAGATTCATCAAGGTTGAAATGAAGGAAAAAATGTTAAGGGCAGCCAGAGAGAAAGGTCGGGTTACCTACAAAGGGACTAACAGTGGATGTCTCTCCAGAAACCCTACAAGCCAGAAGAGAGTGGGGGCCAATATTCAACATTCTTAAAATAATTTTCAACCCAGAATTTAATATCCAGCCAAACAATGCTTCATGAGCGAAGGAGAAAAAAAAATCCTTTACAGACAAGCAAATGCTGAGAGATTCTGTCACTACCAGGCCTGCCTTACAAGAGCTCCTGAAGGAAGCACTAAATATGGAAAGGAAAAACTGATATCAGCCATTGCAAAAACATAACAAATTGTAAAGACCATTGACACTATGAAGAAACCACATCAACTAATGGGCAAAATAACCAGCTAGCATCGTAATGACAGGATCAAATTAATACATAACAATATTAACCTTAAATGTAAATGGGCTAAATGCTCCAGTTAAAAGACACAGACTGGCAAATTGCATAGGGTCAAGACCCATTGGTGTGCTGTATTCAGGAGACCCATCTCACGTGCAAAGACACATATAGGCTCACAATAAAGGGACGGAGTAATATTTACCAAGCAAATGGAAAGCACACACACACAAAAAAGCAGGGGTTGCAATCCTAGTCTCTGATAAAACAGACTTTAAACCAACAAAGATCAAAAAAGACAAAGAAGGGCATTACATAATGGTAAAGGGATCAACACAACAAGAAGAGCTAACTATCCTAAATATACATGCACCAAATACAGGAGGAACCAGATTCATAAAGCAAGTTCTTAGAGACCTACAAAGAGACTTAGACTCCCACACAATAATAGTGGGAGACTTTAATACCCCACTGTCAATATTAGACAAATCAACGAGACAGAAAATTAACAAGGATATTCAGGACTTGAACTCAGCTTGGACAAAGCAGACCTAATATGGATCTACATAACTCTCCACCCCAAATCAACAGAATATACATTCTTCTCAGCACCACATCACACTTATTCTAAAATTGACCACAAAATTGGAAGTAAAGCACTCCTCAGCAAGTGCAAAAGAACGGAAATCATAACAAACAGTCTCTCAGACTACAGTGCAATCAAATTAGAATGCAGGATTAAGAAACTCACTCAAAACTGCACAACTACTTGGAAACTGAACAACCTGCTCCTGAATGACTACTGGGTAAATAATGAAATTAAGGCAGAAATAAACAAGTTCTTTGAAACCAATGAGAACCAAGACACAACGTACCAGAATCTCTGGGACACAGTTAAAGCAGTATTTAGAGGGAAATTTATAGCACTAAATGCCCACAAAAGAAAGCAGGAAAGATCGAAAATTGACACTCTAACATCACGATTAAAAGAACTAGAGAAGCAAGAACAAACAAATTCAAAAGCTAGCGGAAAACAAGAAAGAACTAAGGTCAGAGCAGAAATGAAGGAGATAGACACACAGAAAACCCTTCAAAAAATCAATGAATCCAGGAGCTGGTTTTTTGAATAGATTAACAAAATAGATAGACTGCTAGCTAGACTAATAAAGAAGAAAAGAGAGAAGAATCAAATAGACACAATAAAAAATGATAAAGGGGATATCACCACTGATCCCACAGAAATACAAACTACCATCAGAGAATACCACAAATACCTCTACGCAAATAAACTGGATAATCTAGAAGAAATGGATAAATTCCTGGACACATACACCCTCCCAAGACTAAACCAGGAAGAAGTCAAATCCCTGAATAGACCAATAACAAGTTCTGAAATTGAGGCAGTAATTAATAGCCTACCAACCAAAAAAAGTCCAGGACCAGACAGATTCACAGCCGAATTCTACCAGAGGTACAAAGAAGAGCTGGTACCATTCCTTCTGAAATTATTCCAAACAATAAATACAAAAAGAGGGACTCCTCCCTAACTCATTTTATGAGACCAGCATCATTCTGATACCAAAACCTGGCAAAGACACAACAACAAAAAAAGAAAATTTCAGGCCAATATCCCTGATGAACATTGATAAGAAAATCCTCAATAAAATACTGGCAAACCGAATCCAGCAGCACATCAAAGAGCTTATCCACCACGATGAAGTCAGCTTCATCCCTGGGATGCAAGGCTGATTCAACATACGCAAATCAATAAACGTAATCCCTCACAGAAACAGAACCAATGTCAAAAACCACGATTATCTCAATAGATGCAGAAAAGGCCTTCGATAAAATTCAACACCGCTTCATGCTAAAAATTTTACTCTTAATAAACTCGGTGTTGACGGAATGTATCTCAAAATAATAAGAGCTATTTATGACAAACCCACAGCCAATATCATACTGAATGGGCAAAAGCTGGAAGCATTCCCTTGGAAAACCGGCACAAGACAAGGATGCCCTCTCTCACCACTCCTATTCCACATAGTATTGGAAGTTCTGGCCAGGGCAATCAGGCAAGAGATAGAAATAAAGGATATTCAAATAGGAAGACAGGAAGTCCAATTGTCTCTGTTTGCAGATGACATGATTGTATATTTAGAAAACCCCATTGTCTCAGCCCAAAATCTCCTTAAGTTGATAAGCAACTTCAGCAAATTCTCAGGATACAAAATCAATGTGCAAAAATCACAAGCTTTCCTATACACTAATAATGGACAAACAGAGAGCCAAATCATGTGTGAACTCCCATTCACAATTGCTACAGACAGAATAAAATACCTGGGAATACAACTTACAAGGGTTGTGAAGGACCTCTTCAAGGAGAACTACAAACCACTGCTCAAGGGAATAAGAGAGGACCCAAACAAATGGAAAAACATTCCATGCTCGTGGATAGGAAGAATCAATATCATGAAAATGGCCATAATGCCCAAGGTAATTTATAGATTCAATGCTATCCCCATCAAGCTACCATTGACTTTCTTCACAGAATTAGAAAAAACTACTTTAAAGTTCATATGGAACCAAAAAAGAGCTTGTATAGCCAAGACAATACTACATTTGATCTTAGCCAAAAGACTGAGAAGCAATAGCCAAGACAATCCTATTTAAAAAGAACAAAGCTGGAGGCATTAGGCTACCTGACTTCAAACTAGACTAGATGGCTGCAGTAACCAAAAACAGCATGGTACTGGTACCAAAACAGATATATAGACCAATGGAACAGAACACAGGCCTCAGAAATAATGCCACACATCTACAACCATTTGATCTTTGACAAACCTGACAAAAACAATCAATGGGGAAAGGATTCCCTATTTAATAAATGGTGTTGGGAAAGCACCATTTCTGCATATGCTAGCCATATGCAGAAAACATAAACTGGCCACTTCCTTACATCTTATACAAAAGACATAAAACCATAAAAACCCTAGAAGAAAACCTAGGTAATACCATTCAGGACATAGGCATGGGCAAATCCTGGGTATATACCCAAAGGATTATAAATCATTCTATTATTAAGTCACATGCATACATGTTTATTGCAGCTCTGTTCACAATAGCAAAGACTTGGAACCAACCCAAACACCCATCAATGATAGACTGGATAACGGAAATGTGGCATATATACACTATGGAATACTTTGCAGCCATAAAGAAGGATGAGTTCATGTCCTTTGGAGGGACATGGATGGTTTCCAGAAACCATCATTCTCAGCAAACTAACACAGGAACAGAACCAAACACCGCATGTTCTCACTCATAAGTGGGAGTTGAACAATCAGAACACATGCACACAGGGAGAGGAACATCACACACAGGGGCCTGTCAGGGGTTGGGGTCTGGGGAGGGATAGCATTAGGAGAACTACCTAATGTTGATGATGGGCTGATGGGTGCAGCAAACCACCATGGCACGTGTATACCTATGTAACAAACCTGCATGTTCTGCACATGTATCCCCGAACTTAAAGTATAATAATTAAAAAAAAAAAATCAAGGGTCTAGTTATATACACTAAGTATTTTTTCACTAATTATTTTCAAGGTTTTTTTTCCCCGTACCATATGTACTTTACCAAGATAAAAAGAAAATCTCTCAAGAGTATTTTTGTATTCATGTTCATTAACATTCCAGTGGAATAATAAACCTCAAAACGATTCATGTATGAATCAGTGAGGCATGGCTAATTACAGTTTTCAGCCACACAGCCAATAACATTCACCATGAAATGTGGTGTCTGTTAAATACATCTCTCTGAATTTTTGTTGGGGGAGAGTGGTAGGAAATAGGGAGGTTGAAAATTGCAATTAAAAAATGTCTAAATATTTTAGGGCTTGTACATTATAAATATCTTTCAGGCAAGTATTTATCACAAGCATGACATTCTGTTATCAAAACATGGAAATAAAACCCCACAGATTTGCCTTGAAAACAAAACAAAACAGTACACCGCAGGTCCTGAGAATGGACCATGTTCTATAAGGAAACCGAAGAAACTTCTTGGAACATTAGGAAATATGATTTACCATAAAATTTAAAAATATATTTTACTGAATTTTAGATATGAATTTCCTACTCCTTACAAAATTATCTTTATACTATGACCCTATAGTCCACAAAAGTATTTACAAGACAAAAATTTGAAAAGCATACAGAGACACAGTAAAAGTTGAATATTTCATTACTAAGAACTCAAATATAGAAGCAATTATATAATGAATATTCAAAATCTTCTCTATTACTTTTTTTGTTTAAAATATTTTCCCTGATTTCCATTCATATTGTTAATACCCAAAGACTACATGAATAAAAACACTGATATCTACATTAAAAAATATTTTTAAACTTGTGTTATTTCAATGACATAAATAATACATGGTAAAGAAGTGTATTCGGCATGATAAAAAGTAGAATAAAAGATACTTCAGCCACCAAAGCCATCTCACTCCTCCAACCTTTGTTCACAACAATGAACAATGGGACACTCCTGGAAGTTTTCCACACATGTACAAATAGAGATTCACAATTCTGGATCTGAAATTTTGAAATCCAAAAAGCTTGAAAACCAAAAGATTAACCTGGTGTAAGACTATATTTAGTGTTTGCTTATCCCATATATGTTTTGTTGCAGACATATCAATATGTTTGATGACAGGGTGCTGTCATAAGACTTCTCTAGACGTGTTATATACCAAATGGTATAGACATATACCTTTCTAAAAAACAACAAATTATTAATTTCTAAAACACATCTGTCCTCAAAGTGATTATGAGCCTCAATAATTATGTGTGTGTGTAACACACAATCTTTTTATGTTCACACGAATGGGTCATACTGTATATACTGTCTGATGGCTACATTTATGGACCAGTTTAACATTTGTCCTGGAGATCTTACCATGGCCTACCAAACCCTTCATGATCCGGCCTCTGATTGCCTTTGACCTCCTTTCCATTACTTTTCTTCTCGTTCACTCTTCTCCAGCCACATGGCTTTCTGGCTATTCTTCTACCACGCCAGCATGGTGTATCTTAAGGACTTGTTTGTATCTTAAGGACTTGTGTCTTAAGGACTTTGCACTTACTGTACCGCCTGTTTGGAACTTTCTTGCATAGATTTCCTCATGGCTGCCTCCCACCCCACTTCACTGAGATCTTTGTTCAGATGACATCTCTTCAAAGAGGCCTTCCCTGACCCCCTATGTAAAAGAAGACCACCTATCACTTTCTAGCCTTTCACTCTGCTTTTTTACCGCTAGCATTTATCAACACCTATGATAGACTATACATTTGTATATTAGAGTATGGCTTGTCTACTCTTCTAGAGGTCCCACAAGGGTAGGGATTTTTTTTTTTTCAATGATTTACTCACCATTGCATCCCTGGCATATAGTAAATGCTCAATAAATATTTGTTGAATGATTTTCCCCATTTTGCCTCCAAATTAAGCTATTTATTTTATAGTTACAAGGCTTTCAATTACTTTTACAGCAAACTAGGGAGTTACCTAGGAAACCCTCATGAGCTGGTTCTTGAGACTCTTCTGGTTTCTTTCACTGCTATCCTACTTCCAATTTAGGTTGTAGACTGATTCGTTTACCTGCCTGAACTCTGGTGCTTGCCATGTACTGTTGCCTCTGCCCAGAACCCCTGTCTCTCCTTCACTATAGGTGGCAGAATCCACTCATTCTGGCATTGGCATTGGCTCATATGGGGAATCACATTGATTTGCTCATCTGTTTACATGCTTACAGTATTCACTACCGTACCACTCCAGAGACTGTGTCTTATTCACTTGTGAATTACAGCCTCTAACACAATGGCTCGCAGAGTAACCCTCAATATATAAAACACGGAACTGAATTGAAACTGCACTCTCCTCTACTATATTTTTTAGTTTTTAGAAAATGCTTTTAATGGGTCTTATCTTCTAGAATGATGAAATGTCTTTAAAGCTGCAGTGAAACCAGGGCAATAAGTTTAGAGCCATAATTTCTTGAAAGAGAGTGATGAAAAATCATCGCTTAATTCTGAGCCACCCTACTGAGATCACAGCTTGGACACTGAGCTTAGTTTTATGCACCTTATGTTCTAGGTAACTGGAAGATGATTGCAAAAGATGGCACTAAGAAGGATTAAGTGTGATTATTTATGAGGCACAGTTAAAAGCAGACAGCATGCATATGTTCACAAGCTATAGGGAATAGACAGATCTCTAAATATCTGATGAACAAATCTACCCAAGGAATACATTTAACACAGAACAACAAAGGGAGAAATAAGATGACAGAAAAAAAAAACATAGGTGAAAAATTTAGAAAATTTTCAGCACATCATAAGATGGCTCTTACTGGCAACCAGAATTCTCCAATGGTAGCCAAAAAGCTTAATGATCACAGGTTAAGAAATGTGTGAAGCAGACTAGAGCATTTGGGTACGACTGAGTTTCCCAAACTTTCTATACTTTGTATTACAAAAATAATGCATTGTTTCTCCTTTTTTCTAATATAATATTTTTGTATTAGATATTATTTTTTCAAATAAATTTGTAATAAATTACAAATAAATAAAGATTCTTGTCTGAAGGTCTGAATTATGACCTGTAACATATGGCTAAGATGAATTATGCAGAGGGTTGAACTCTTTGACCTCTACGGACTTTTTAGTTTTGAAATTCTGTTTCCATGGTAAAGATTTCCTTGTAGGCCATGTGTGCTTGAAGAGGATGCTGTTGGAAGTGTTTGACTAAAGCCAGAGAACATTATGTGACCTCCAGTTTTTCTACACACAAGGATGGCCCCAAGCTTCGTGATAATGGGGGGTTATGGTGTAGTTACCAGTGCCTCTTACCTTTATGATTTAGTTGAATGATACAAATGGTACAAATGTCAGGCTCTTCTAGTACTTACCCTGTTTACTTTTTGTAGCCATAATATAGTCATTTGTTAACCACATATTTATTGAGTGCTGACTAATGAATAACACAAAAATAAAGTTTGTTTTTTTTTTTTTTTTGAGATGGAGTCTCGCTCTGTCACTTGGGCTGGAGTGCAGTGGCACAATCTTGGCTCACTGCAGCCTCTGCCTCCCAGGCTCAAGTGATTCCTTGCCTCAGCCTCCCAAGTAGCTGGGACTACAGGTGTGAGCCACCATGCCTGGCTAATTTTTGTATTTTTGGTAGAGATGGGTTTTCACCATGTTGGCCAGGCTGGTTTCAAACTCCTGACCTCGTGATCTGCCCACCTCGGCCTCCCAAAGTGCTGGGATTACAGGCATGAGCCACCGTGCCTGGCCTGAAAACAAAGTTCTTACCTTCATGGAGTTTACCTTTTGTTTGAAGGAGACAGATGATAAACAAAAGGACAAATAAATGTGGGTATAATTTCAAGTAAAGATATTTGCTATGAAGAAGTACTATAATGGCACAATCCACAGAAGTCTTTCACAAAATTGTCTTCTGGGTCTAAAAGTCACCCAGATCTTGATGCTACCTTCTTAAAATATCCACACCCTTTACTCATGTTTCAAGACCATAAAATGAAAAACACAATGTTTTTAACACGTTTCTTTAAATGTCCTTTTCCCCTTTTCTTAATCTTCTTTCTCCTTGCACTACCATGCCCCAAAGCTCCCAAAGCACCCTCCTTAAATGCCCAAAGAGTTCCTATTCCCCAGTGTAAATGAGGCTTCTGCTATTGTTTGGTTTGTATGTCTTAGTGAGGATTTAGAAAGTACAATCTATCTTAATTGTTGATGAGTGATAGAAGGTGGTAGGCTGCTTGGGCTTTTTGTATTTATCTACTTAGTTTCTGACTTATTCTTATTCTGTTAGTTTCAGTGACATGAGCTTGTGGTAAACCAAAGCCACCTGTAGCAGATATTATTGGTGCCCCGCCAGTATGCTATATTCCCTTACTATTTCAGCGTATACCAATGTGACTCTTAATTCTTCTATCTCTGGCTTTCTGTGGCCACTGAGGCAACTCTGTCTACTCTTGGAGCATTGCAGACAAGCCAGGGTCTTAATAATCCCTGAAAGCTGCCCCCAATCATTGACTGACGGTAGTTGGTGTTTAAACAACCCAGTTATCTTGTCCTCTTGGTGGAATCACTCAGTCTAAGGTACATGTTCCATATTGTTTCCCAGAGATTTCTAGGAGGATTAAGTTCTGGGTGCCTCTAGCGGTAATGTGCTAGATAAGGCATCTTTTTGGTCTTCTCTTCCCTATTTCACTTTCTTAGTCTCTTACTGGTGTTTCCTGCGATAACCTCCTAAATAAAATACTTGCTCTTGAATACCTGTCTCCAGATCTGCTTCTGGGAGAACCCATACTAAGGTGGTTATTAATTCAGTCAAGTTGCAGATCAGACAGTAACCTCCCACTGATTGTCTTGGCACTTGAAGGTCCTGAATCCAATGCAAGTTCTATGTCTTCATGCTCTTTGTGAATGTATCTGTTGCTCAAGGTCGTGGGTGACCTTGAGCCCAGCAGTCAGCATTATCCACAGCTGAAGTAATACCTATGTGCTCATATTAGGCTATCTGACAACAGTGCAATAATCATTAGACACCACTGTTTAGACCCTGAGTATGTTCATGACATTTGCCTTTTGACTGCTAAGTAGAAGATGTAATGATTATAGGCTGATGCTTTCTCAGGAGGAGGAAAGTTATTGAGCTTTACAGTTTCAAATGCTTCTGATTTTCTTCCACGTTTAGTCTGGCTGCTGACACATGTGTTGAAATCTCTCATGTCGATCAGCTTGAGAATAGCTGGGACTGCTGAGCTAAGTCTGTGCTCATAAAAGCAACAAAGAATTGTATTACAGGAAATGACCCCAAATTGACAGAAGATTAGGCTAGGAAGCCTGAACAGGTGTTTTAATCTCTATGCACAAAATCAGTCTGTACATATATTGCTCACATTCCTGCTGTTTTAACTATATTTTTTTTTTCAATTTCACTTTGTTATTCACAATTTGATAATATTTTATGTGGCCATGGTGTCTGTGTGATGAACTATAATCCAATGTGACATTCTCTGAGAGTCAAGCTTCCAAGGACATCAGATTTTCACACCAGGACACTTTGTAGGACACCTTGCTACTCTCCATGGGATTCAAATATTAGAAATAATGAGAGATCTAAGACTTGATGTAATTGCCTGCATGTAATGAATCAGGCCAAATAAAAAAGTGAGAGACAGAGAAAGGAAATGGTGCTAAGGAAAATGGGGACCTATCTTAGTGTTTGTCTGAGAGAAAACTGCTCTTTGTTTTTCCCGATGTAATGGCAAGAGTCTGCAGCCAGGAATCTAGTCCTTGCTTAGGAGCTGCATGACCTTGTGAAAATTACGTAGGTGTTCTGCAATTTGTAATTGCATTTATTGTAAAATTAATTTTACTTTTCATACGTCACTAGACAGAGCATTTTGAGGTTAGGAATTGGGTCTGAATCAATGATTTCTCCAGCACCCACATGGCATTTGGCACAGAATACATCAATAATGATTTTGGATTAAACAGGGGAACAAGCACAAGGAACCATGGTGGTCAGAAACGGGTTGATCTGCACCAGAGAAAGGGAGACTAGGGGAGAAAGGTCACTCTAGATTTCGTTCAATTATTGAAAATACGGTGTATTTACTATGTGCTGGGCACTTTTCTAGGTGCTAGAAAGACTACAGTGACCAAAACAAAAATCCACATCTGCAGGGATCTTGCATTCTAGTGAGAAAGTAAGATGGTAAAAAAGATAAATACGTAAATTTTATACAATGCTTCGTAACGACAAATGCTAAGGAGAAAAACAGCACAGAAAAGACAGAAAGGAAAAGAGAAGGGGCGCATGTGGTGCAATTTTGTTAGGATGCCAGGGAGGGCTGAGCGTAGTCGTAAATGACCACATTATTTGATGGATCAAGCCAGGGACTGCAAGTCTGTGTTTCTGAGAGACACATAAAGAAAAGAAGGCTTAAGGAATCCAGAAAGATCCAGAGTGGGGAAATGAAACGAAAAGAAATCCAGCCAGTGGGAAGTCGTGAAGGGATAGTTAAACGCGTTTTGGGAGGAAAGAAAAAAGCAAAAGTGCGGTACAGCCTTTCGTTACACGTGAAAAGAATCATGTTTCTTTTTCTAGTTAGAAAAAGCCAAAGATTGTGCGATTTATGCCCCAAACCCCCTTGTAAGGGGATTCTCACCTCAACTTGTCTTCTGTGGTCAGTGTTTCCCGCCCCTGAATCAGGGTTACTGTCACTATGGCTTTCAATTGGCCCGGCGTAGGCGCATGCTCTGCGCGTATTGGCCTCCGCTCCTGTCCCCAGACAAGCGGCCATCTTGGGTCCCGCCCCTACCGTGGGGTCTTCTGGGAATTGCAGTCCCCGCTCTGCTCTGTCCGGTCACAGGACTTTTTGCCCTCTGTTCCCGGGTCCCTCAGGCGGCCACCCAGTGGGCACACTCCCAGGCGGCGCTCCGGCCCCGCGCTCCCTCCCTCTGCCTTTCATTCCCAGCTGTCAACATCCTGGAAGGTAGGGGCGGGGAGGCAAGCCCAAGTGGAATACTGTTTCTGGGGCGCGGGTCTGGGTTTCCACGCGCGTCAGGTCATCACCCCGGAGCCCAGTGGGGCCGGCGCCGCTCACGGGGCGGTGGGCTTCTGTCCCGAGTACTCTTCCGCCCCACGAGGGTCTCAGGGTGGGGACTCGGGCCCCCCAATTCCCAAGCACCGACCCTAGCCCTAACCCGTTCCTCCTCCACCGTGTTTATACATTGGGGAAACTGAGGCACGGGGCCACGCCAGCGGGTCCGGGGACGCCACAGCTCTTGGCTCTGGGGGTGTAGTCGGCACCCGCCGTTTTGGGATGGTTCGTCAGTTTCATAGACAAGTAGCGAAAATCCGTCCCAACAGGTCTGTGTTAAACACGCAGCTCTGGATTCCCCTAAGGGGTTGCTGAACACGTGCCCAGGACAGGAGCAAACCGGAGTATAGAGAAGGCAGCATTTTGGGAGATAATTTTACATTACTACTTCAAAAACAGGCAAAGAGGCATCGAATTTATTGTTGTGGGAGAACTCATCGGTACTTGGTCGGACTTTCTTACACTTATTTTATGGTTGTTGTTTTTATTTTTAGCGTCAAAGGGGGGAATTTTAAAGGTATATCCAAGTTGGTGGTGGTGGGGGGTAAGGAGGCAGGTTAGTGGAACTTGAGATGCATCTGCAGATTTCTCTGTAGGCTCACATTCTGCCCTCGCTGTGTTACCTTGGAACAGCCACTCACAGCGCTTATCTGGGAAACAAGGAGCTCAATGCTCCCAGGTCAAGTGGCCAAAGGATGTTGCCTGAAGCCGAAATCTAAATTGAGGTTATGCTTGTGAAAGTTTACCACTTGCAGATTTACTGCTATTATTATTCTGGTCTCTCAGAAATGTGCTGGGACCAATAGAAAATACTCACAGTGGTTGTTTTAGTAAGGTTCTGACCTGGGCCGGGCCCAGACTACCAAGGGTGGTCCCTACTCGCACCTGATGTTAAGCCGGATCTACCTGAACTCTCCCTCCTTGGCTTCAGCCTGCGGCCTGAGGCCTTGGCCGCGGAGGCTTCTGGGAGTTGCAGTCCCGCCTCTTGTTTCTCGTCGGGCAGGTACTCCACCTCGTGGCGTGCCATTTTGCACGGCGAGATGTCTCCTGGGAGACGAAGTCTCGCTTCTAGCCGTTCTGTAGAGCAGCCGCTTGACTCGGAACTACAACTCCCATGTGGACCTGCGTTCATGGCTGCCGGCCTGTGTCCACCTGCTGCAACCTGGACTAGAAATATTTAGTAAAGAAAGAAGTCTAGGGTTTGTGTGTGTGTGTGTGTGTGTGTGTGTGTGTGTGTGTGTGTGTGTGTGTGTGTGTGTTGTTATTGATTGCATATGCTGTTCTAAGTGTTAGATATGGGATTGTTGTATACGGTGTTCCAAGTATTAACGTACATGCTTCCAAAACCACTAACACTTGACCATTTAGAACCTGTTCACATGATCTCTTTTTAATACTACATTTCCCATTTGTATATGAGAAAAAACTTGAGAAGATAGCCCATGATTACACAGCTAGCAATATAATATATATTCAATAAAATATATGTGTTATAATTTAATCCTCTTAAAAGCTATATGAGAGTGAGAACCATTTTTATATCAACTTTACAGATTAGAAAACTAAGGCTAGGAAAGTTAAGTAACTTGTTCAAGTTAAAACACTGGTGAATAAAAGGACTGAGACTGTAAGCCCTTCTGCTTAACAGTCTCTGCTTAGAGAAAGACCTTACCTTACAGAGCTGAGGAGGAGTCCAACCTTTCTGGCTACAGAATTTGGAATCTTTTAATTATACCATGCTGCCTCTGTACTTAGATACTAAACATTTGAGCTGCAAAAACCTTTGAGATCATTTAATTCTAATGCAAAGATCTTGGAACACTTCTTGGCCTATAATAAAGATTCCATATATATATGTATATAGTTTTAGAATACCTTTATTTTAGAGATTAGGAAACTGGCCCAGGTGGTAAAGCAGTTTGCCCAAGGTCACACAGTTGGTTTGTGTCAGAGATTAGACTAGAACCAAGCATCTTATTTTCAAGTCCAGGGTTATTTTCATTCCACCAGCAGTCAGCTAGCAGGAACACCAGATGTGTAGCTCTTTAGATAATGGTTTCTCCTCTAATTTGCTCTTTCAAGGCCACAGACCAGGACCAATTGTTATAAATTATCTTATTTATTATTGGTAAGGTTGTAATACTTCATGAATTCAACAAATGTTTTTTGAGCTTCTTTATATGGTCATCTCTCTTAAGGTGCAAGGACCACATAGATGATAAGGACTTAATGCATTCAGACTGGAAGGACCTTATAAATAATCTAATCTAACTCTTATTTTATAAATGAGGAGAGTGTGTTACGAAGTAGTCTGCAATCTTCATCTCATGCCCTCATGTCAAAAGTATCCCGTTTCTGCAAGAAGGCAGGTTTCTGGAGTCCTCACAGTAGTGTGGATAACCTTTTTAGGCTTATGCTTTTCTATTTGGTATCCTTGTCTTGGCCTTTTTCCTGCAGCCTTTGATAGAATGCTTTAGGAAATGTTTTTGTGTCCCCATCTTTATTTGTGTGTTTATGCAACTTCAACATGCTCTGTTTCTATTTTGGAAGTTAGTCTGGTTTTGGCTCCCATTACTCTTTTCTCTTTTGTTCTTTCAGACACTTGAGAACAAATTCTGACACTATGTTTGCATTCACATGTTAAAATCTGACCCTCTAATATGAACTCTCAGAAATCTATCAAGTTGTGACTTTCATTTTGGAAGACATATTGGCCCTTTCAATTATGTATTCACAGATAATAAGGCAGGTAACTCTGGTCTCTTCTGAAAGATGATTTCCATATAGTTAGGTAATAAAGTAACAGTTTTATGAATTATTGGCTAAACATTCCTGAAACAGTCTATTTGAGAAGTTCTCCTCATCACCCCCATGCCCCCACCCCCACGCTCTCCCAACTGATAGTCTGATCATTCAGCTTCCACCACAGTGCCTGACCACCAGTAGACACTGAAAAAGTACTTGTGGCATTGCATTCATAAGCACCCTGTTCCCACATCTCTTCATTGAATCTGTTTACTCTTTTAATGCAGAAGTGCAGCTTTGAAATATAAGATGTAGGAGGTTACTTTGCTTTCAACATGTACATTGCAGAGAAAAATCTCAGCCTTTGAGATCATTCTCCAAGGGGTTGTCTCTTTGGGAATGTCCATATCTGTGACTTCTCAGATGAGAAAGTGATCTATATAGTAAGACATAGCAGAGAAGCAGTAGAGGGGTTGTCTGGGGACCCATGATTTAATTCCCAGCTGTGCCTTTTAGACAGGTTACTTAGCCCTTGGTTTTCTCTCTTAAAATAGGGATAATAAGCATTTCTACCTCACAGTGATGATGAAGAAGAAAGTGTGTTTAAAGCTTTGAGCATGTTGTCAGGCTCTTAACAGCTTGCAGTCAATAGATAAATATAATAGCTCTTATTTTTGTTATTGTAAGCCTGATATATGAAAATTCACATTTCCTCAAGATTTAAAACTTTAAGCAGGTATTTATATTATAAAAGGATTTGTTTGCCACTTGTTTTCTTAGAGTAGCACACTTGGTCATCACATTTAAAATATGAAGTTCCTCACAACTCTTGATAACCTGTCTTGTCAGCACAGTGACACTCTCTTGTGTGGGCAGAGAGACAGTGAAGCTTTTGGCTCGGTACTGCCTGCTGAGAGGCCCCTGATCTATGGTTCCACCTATATATTAAATCCTTGATTTAAAAGCAGCCTGTTTCTGTCAGTGGGGCCTTCTGTCCATCTCTAGAAAGGATTGGTCCTATCCCAGGAGGCTCAGGGTTAGAGTGAGGCAGTTGTCATCCAGCTGGTGAGTAATCCTGGGGCAATGACCGTGGGGATGTGGCAGTGCTTCTTTCTAAAGCTGACAACTTCAATAGCCATGAGGTTACGATAAGGAGGTGAGTTACTGAAAAGAAGTGATGCAGGGAACAGGGAAGGAGCAACAGGAATGAGGATCACAGCAACAGCAGAGGAGAAGGACAAAGGAAACAGCGGAGGCCCTCAGTATCCTAAACATATTTTTATTCAGCACATTTATCTTGCTCCTAGCTCTGTTCCAGGCACTGCATCTGCTCTGGTGAGAGCAGTAAATGGGGCTGGTAGGGAGGCACTGATGGGGTGAGTGAGGGTATATTCTCGGCAGGGAAGAACCTAGTACAATGGAGGACAGGAGGGAGGGAGGGAGGGGATGTTGGGATTTGATGAGCAGAAAGAAGGTCTGTGTGCTTAGGGTATGAAAATCAATGGCTGGAGGAGGTGGAGAGAATAAGGCTGCAGAGGTGAGCCTGAGTAATAGATATGTTTTTCTTTTTTTAAATTTTTTTAAAATTTTACTTTAAGTTCTGGGATACATGTACAGAATGTACAGGTTTGTTAATAGGTATACATGTGCCGTGGTGGTTTGCTGCACCTGTCAATCTGTCATCTAGGTTTTAAGCCCTGCATGCATTAGGTATTTGTCCTAATGCTCTCCCTCCCCTTCCCCCTCTACCCCACAACAGGCCCCGGTGTGTGATGTTCCCCTCCCTGTGTCCATGCGTTCTCATTGTTCAACTCCCACTTATGAGTGAGAACGTGTGGTGTTTGCTTTTCTGTTCC
This sequence comes from Homo sapiens, assembly GCF_000001405.40. Taxonomy (NCBI): domain Eukaryota; kingdom Metazoa; phylum Chordata; class Mammalia; order Primates; family Hominidae; genus Homo; species Homo sapiens. Next base: position 61,246,591 of record NC_000003.12, on the reverse strand, counting down.
TGTGTTAGTTTGCTGAGAATGGTGAGCCTGAGTAATACTATGCAGAGTCCGGTTACCTGCATTTCGACCTTATTCCGAGGGCATTTGGGAAATTGTTTAATGGCCTTAAATGGGGAAATGAAATTGTTGGATTTGTTTTCATAAAAGTATGGATGTATAGCTATGTATTGTATTATTGAAGATTACTTAGAGTGTAGACTTTAAGTGTTCTTGTTCCCAGAAAGGGGTCTTGATCCAGACCCCAAGAGAGGGTTCTTGGGTCTTATGCAAGAAAGAATTCAGGGCAAGTCCACAGAGTAAAGTGAAAGCAAGTTTATTAAGAAAGTAAAGGAATAAAAGGATGGCTACTCCATAGACGGAGCAGTCCTGAGGGTGGCTGGTTTCTCATTTTTATGGTTATTTCTTGATGATATGCTAAACAAGGCATGGATTATTCGTGACTCCTCTTTTTAGACCATATAGGGTAACTTTCTGACATTGCCATGGCATTTTTAAACTGTCATGGCGCTGGAGGGAGTATAGCAGTGAGGACGACCAGAGGTCACTCTTGTGGCCATTTTGGTTTTGGGGGGTTTTAGCCAACTTCTCTACTGCAACCTGTTTTATCAGCAAGGTCTTTATTACCCATATCTTGTGCCAACCTTCTATCTTATCTTGTGACTAAGAATGCCTTAACCTCCTGGGAATGCAGCCTAGTAGATCTCAGCCTTATTTTACTCAGCCCCTATTGAAGATGGAGTTGCTCTGGTTCAAACACCTCTGACATTCTCACCACAAATAAATACGTATTTGAGGTAGTGCATATTAATTAGCTTGATGTAGCCATTCCACATGGGATACATATTTCAAAACATCATGTTGTATACCATAAACATATACAATTTTTATTTGTCAAGTAAATCAGGTTTTAAAAAGTATGGATGCATTATGGATAATGAATTTATCTGAGGTAATAGTTGATGTGGGATAAGCATGTATGTTTGTGCTTCTTTAATTTTAATGTGCATACAAGTCTCCTGCTGATCTTAAAATGCAGATTCTGATTAAATTAAAGACCTGGAAAGGATCAGAGAGTCAGTATTTCTAACAGACTGATGCTGCTGGTCCATGGATCGTCCTTTGAGTAGCAAGTACTTAGGATACTCTTCAGTGGTCTAGGTGACAGATGATGTAGTTAAGAGAATGGACTCGATAGAGCAAAAGACCTGGACTTTAATCTTGGTTCTGCTACTTTCTATGTGTGTGACTCTGGGGAAAGTGTCCAAATCTCTCTGAGCCTCAATTTCCTGATTTGTGAAATGGGGGCGATAATTTCTATTGCAGAGGGATGTTTTTAGTTTTCAGTGAGGTAACCCATTGAAATGCTTAACACAGTAACTGGTACTCCATAAATGGTAGCTAATGATTTTATTCTTATCATTGTCAATAAAAAACACAAGTTGATGCATCCTGCTCTGTTTCCTTGTTTATCATATTTTGAATACTAAGAGGACTTAGATAACCTTTAATTCTACTGTTTTTGCTTACCTCTATGATATGATGTTTGGAATTTCTTCAATCCTCTGTAAAAGTTGGCGTATTATGGGGTCGGGGAGGAGAAGTATCTTTTCCTCACCCTCAGGTTCTTGGTTGACTCCCCTGTAACAAAAGACAGATTAACGAGAGAAAAGCACACAGATTTATTTAACGTAAGTTTTATGTGACACAGGATTCTTCATAATGGAATGAAGACCCCCAAAACTGGTAAACCTGTGTATTTTTTATGCTAGATTTGATGAAGAAGTACATAGTTGTGTAGAAGTATGATTGAATAAGAAAACATGAGCTAACAATGGGAGGAAACATAGCAAGACCTGTTTGTTCAGATTCTCTGTAACCCTTTGTTTTCAGAGATAAGGATGTTCTTTCATTCCAGGTATGGGAAGTGAGAAACCTTTCACAGGAGGGTCTTAGACCTGCTTCAGGAGAAGGCCAGATAATTCTTCCTAGGTTTTATGACCTGCTTCAGAGAGGGCAGAAGGAAGGTCAGAGAGTGACCTCTGACCTTCTGGCTTCTGCTGTCTTCTCAAATTCATTCAGCTTACAATATTTCAGGGTAGTATGTCCTGAACCCCATCATGGGCAAATAGATATATTTCATCCCATGCAATTGAGTCTTTCTAAATTTGATGGACAAAATCTGGGATCCTTAAATTAACACATTATATCTGATTATTAGGATGGGAATTCGAGGTACCTGGCCTCCTAATGTAAGTTTATTCCTTCATTATGTAATTTTAATTTGTTTGGATTGCTTTCCAACTAGTGGCTCTCAGGCTTGGCTGTAAGTTAGAATCACCTGGGGCTGGTCCCATCCAGATAACCGAAAGAGTGGGGAGGGGAGCAGGTGTTTTTTTTGTTTGTGTGATTTCTTTTGTTTGTTTATTTTTTACATTTCCCAGCTGATTCTAAAGTGCATCTAAGATTGAAAACCACTGATTCTAATAACACAGCATTGTGGAATGATTCGCAGCTGATTCTAAAGTGCATTTAACATTGAAAACCACTGATTCTAATAACACAGCATCGTGGAATGAATCAGGTATAATCCAATAGGTAAAAGGTCTGAGTGGGGAATGAAATATCTAGAAAGTAGCATTTTGAAGGCTTTGGGAATGAAAGAAAAGCGTCATCACAAAGCTGTCATGGAATTTGATGAACTAACTATAAATTTTGCACTAGTTATCTTTGAGATTAACTACCAGGGACACTCTTTCTCCCCTACCCTCCTTGTATCTCTTGCTGTGCTTGTCTAAGGGTTTTCCTTATATTGAATTTCAGGTTGTGTTTCTCGTCCTGTACTTAGTTTGCCTCATTCCTCATAGCTGGGGGTGGAGTGGGGGGCTATAATCCCATTAAAACTGTGTTCCAAAGAAACTCAGTGACATGCTTTCATGATCTATGGCAGTGTTATTGAAAGGGTTTAAACAGTTGTTCAGATAAAATACCACTCATTTTTACTGGTAATATTCTTACATTCTAATTGAGTAGCTTGAAATGAACCATTGAAATGAACCACTTCTAGAAAGGCTGCCTATTATAAAGTTTTCTTCCTACCCCCATCCTCTGTCAAAGCAGAAGAATAATTAAGCTAATTTGATTACATACCTTTAATTTTCTTGATAATCCATATATGTGGTGATTGTGAGGGAGGAAAAAAGAAAAACAATCCTTTCTCTACTTTCTTAGGTTCTGCTCCTGGGGCACTGAAAAGTAAACTGACAAAAGACAGATTAAGAGGAGAAATCATTTATTACATATGCATACAGAGGCCTTCATAGAAAAGAAGTGAAGACCCTAAAGAGGTGGTTAGGTCTGGGGGCTTATATATTATGTGGAGAAGAAACTAGACAAAGTGAAACCTCCTTTGCAAAAATTATGACGGTGAAAGAGATCTGACCTAACCGCATCTAACTTGCCTCTAACCTCCAAGCTGTCCTCGTTCATTCCTGTGCGTAGGCCAGACTAACTTTGGGAGGATCTTAGTTTATAGTGTAACTTTGGAACAAAGATGATAACAACCCTTTCCCAAACCCCCTAGGACTAACAAATTAGCCACAAGTTTAGAAATTATGGTTTAGGAGTCATGCAACTAGAGGCCACAAGATTCTAAACCTCCCCAGTTGCTCCTAGGGATAACATCAAAACCTAAGGTTGGTGCTGGAGATATTTTTCCAACCTTGCACTAGATGGATCAGATAGCACCACCCAGGTTGATAAACTGGCTCATTTGGTCTTGTGCCTCCATGCAGGAACTGACTCAGCACAGGAGGACAGCTTTGACTCCCTGTGATTTCATCTCCAATTCGACCGATCAGCACTCCCCACTGCCTGGCCCGCTACCCACCAAATTATCCTTAAAAAATCCCAGTCTCTGAAATGTTCCAGGGAGACTGATCTCAGTAATAATAAAACTCTGGTCTCCTGTTCAGCCGGCTCTGCATGAATTAAATTCTTTCTCTGTTGCAATTCCTCTCTCTGGATAAACCATCTGGGCAGCAGGCAAAATGAACCTGTTGGGTGGTTACAAAAGGACAAGGGGATTTGGGCTTCTGGGGTAGGGGGATAAACTGTGAAAAAATGACTAGGAAAATGTATGGTAAATGAAGGTTGTTTAGTAAGGTTTGTTTATGCAGGTAAGAAGTCTCTCTGGTAGGGAAAGGGGAAAACCTTTATTTATAGAAAATATGTCACCTTTACAAAGGAAAATCTGTGCCCTGCTTTTAGCTAGATGGAGGAGGGCAGAGGTGTTTTTTTTTTTGTTGTTGTTTTTTCTGAATCTGCTGTTCTTAATTGCCTTCAACTCAAATAACCCTTATGCCAAAGTGGCATATTTTGGGGTAGCATATTCTGATCCCCTTTCAGACCCTTTCCTTTGGAAAGTTGTTTTTCTGACTCATAGAAAATGCATACAGTTATATTTGAGTATTTATATTTATATTTAAACCCTTATATCAACGGTCCAGGAACATTCTTGGTTTGAATATATATTACCCAGCACCGTAATTTCATTTTTCAGCATTTCCTGAACCTTTCTGCCCACCAGGAGGTTATTTCACAATGTAGTGGCCTTACTTTTCTGGTCTGTTCACTCCATACAGAGAAAAAGAGAAAGGGTGGGAAAAAGAGTGTTTTTGCCAGAGTGTTAACTGCAGTTAAAAATCACTTATTTTAGGGGTATTTTGTTTGTATGCCAGTGTTTTCTTTTAATGATGAATAAGTGGGAATAGAAGAGAAAATTGAGAAACTGCTTGAGAAGTTCACAAAAGATACACATTTTCAGGATTCTGTAACTTAAAGACTCTTGCTGAGTCTTTTTAAGTGTTTATTAGTGTTCTTTGTTATGGATTTACCTCTTTTTCTTAACAATCAGAATCCTATTAAAATTCAGTATATTTTGCAGTTTCTCAGACTCACAGCTACTGGAGTTAGAAACCATCATAGATAATGTTGAAGTATCAGTACTCCCTCACAAGGTTTAATGCATGAATATTTTAGTTAGACCAGGCTGGAGGAGCATACAATCTACAGTCATTTAATCACTGAAGTCTGTGGAATGTGGTAAGAACAAGATTTTTATTTTCTGAGAAGTCTTCTTCCCACATCTTAGTTTTGAAAAAACAAAGCAAAACACAAAACTCACTGCTGCCTTTGGACTCCACATTAACTGAAGGACGGTACCTGCTTGGTTTTGTCAGTAGATGTTTAAGCTGTGCCCAGAAGCACAAGTTTACCTATGCGTTTGGAGCCCTGAGGACAGGTGGAGGGAAGGGTTGGAACCTGCTTAGAGTAAGATTGTTTCAGTCCTGGAGCACTAGCGATTCCAGTTCAATCTCTTCTAGGAATGACCCTGGCAAGAAATCCAAGGGAGAGCAGGAGAGGCAAGAGGGAGGTAAAACAAATGCAGAGAGTGTGGGAGAGGTAGAACAACAAAAAATGGTGGGGTGGAGAGAGAGGGGAATATTTTGTTTTACAGCCACTTGTGTAAGTAAAATTAGTCTCTGCCTGTCAGTTACTACATCATCAGAAAGTGGCAGGTCTGATTTTCACTGGATGTAGTCTACCACTTTGTTGGCCTGCCTGGAAGCATAGACTATGTAGCACACCATATGCCACTTTGGGACGCCTTACATAGATGAGTAGTCAGAGTCTAGCGCAGCTGAAATTGAGGTACCAAGGCCTGTGCCACCAACCTTTCCCAATTTAATTGATCTGGACGAGACATGCTCTAGTGATTCTAACTTGTAGCCAGGGCCAAGAACCACTGGTTAGAAAGCAATCCCAATGGGTTAAAATTATGTAAAGAAGGGGGCACTGTAATTGGCTACATAAATTTCCATTAGAAGGCAAGGTACCTTAAATTCCCATCTTAATAATCAGATATAACATGTTACCTTAAAGATCCCAGATTTTTTCCATCAAGTTTAGAGAGACTCAATTGTATGGGCTGAAATATATCTATTTGCCCATAATACCTCAAAATTTACAGCAGATTGAAGGAGTTCTAGCTTGGGCCATATGCCTACCACTTGGAATTGTTTCTATAGCCAGTTGGAGGGGTACTGTGAGTGGCCAGGTGTGGAGCAAATGCCCACCCTGGGAGAGGAGAGATTCACCCAGAGGAAGTGGGCCAGGGCTGCCACATTCTTAGCATCAGAGGCCACCATTCATACCAGAGTATATGTGACTGGTGCCTGCTGGAGTTGTGCTGTGCAAAGCTTGCAGGGCTGTACACACAGAAAGGCCCTGGTTAACGAGAGCTGCTGATACCTTCAGAAGAGGGATGTGACACTAGGGATACAGCAAAACAGGTAGCCACTGTAGTTTGAAATCCCATTTGCTGGGTTCTGCCAGCCTGGTGGATAAAAACAAGGCCAAGAAGCTTCAGAAAAATCTACAGCTGAGGCCCTCTCTTGGCTCCTCTGAGCAGGGATAAAGCTTCCTCTAAACTAAGGCTTCCTCTAGCCTCTTGAACTTCCACAAGGCAACAGGCCAAGGTTTCCCTGGCCTAGAGGTGTTAGCTGTGTTTGGCTTCCTGTTGCAGATGGAACAGCTGGGTCCAACTCCTGTGGGTTGAGGACTGCTGGAACTATATGCAAGGGCCCTGGTGAGGCCAGAAGTGTTTGCATTTCCAACAAGCTGCCAGGTGATATATATGTTGCTGGTCCATGGGCTACACTTGAAATAAAAAGATTTCAGATTTTTGTGGCTTCTACTAAGTTGCCATTCTGTTTTAATGTAATGAGTAGTATTGTTTAGAATTTGTGTATATATATATATATATATATATGGCCAGTTGTTTTTCTTTGCAGTTTTATTTCTCTTTGTAAAATGGACATAATAGTACCCACTTCGTAGATTGTTATGAATTAAATGGGATGATCTATATAAAATATCAGCACTGCCCTCATGGAGTCTAGTGAAGGGGACAGATAACACATAGGCAAACACCTGTAATAATAATATGTCAAGTACAAGAAGGAAGATTATAAGATACTGTGATAGAAAGAGGGATGAGTAACCTATTGAGATAAAATGGCCAGACAGAAAGAGCTGAGAATTAAGCAGAGACCTAAGTAAAGGATGAGAGGGAGCTGGCCATATGAAGAGCTGGTATTAATAGAATGGGGTCCCAGGCAGAAGGAATAGCCTATACCAAGGCCTTAAGGTGGGAAAGAGCTTAACACCATCAAAGGGAGAAAAGAAGGCCCCTGTGGCTGAACCATAGAGAGGGAAAGGGAGACTGACATCAGATGAAATTGGCTGTATAGATAGGGCCCAGGCCATACAGGGCCTTGAAGTCAAAGTATGGAATTTGGATTTTTTTCCCATGGGTAATGCTCCTGTCCCTGGATCTCAGTATTGTGGTTGGATCCATGCTGTTTGCTGTCTAGACCTCTCTTCCACTCATCTGCTTCTCCACTACTTCTAGACTTTTTTTTTCCCCTCCCTTTGGCCAGAACATGAGTTACAGTCCTGGCTGATGCTTCCCTAATGCCTACTATCTCCACAGGCTAATTTGTTACCTGTTAATACACTCTCTGGACCCTAGGTTCCATTTGTATAACCCAATTCCTTCTCATTTCCTTCACTAGGTTCTGATCAGAGCATCTGCGATACCCACTTCTGCCCCCTAATGCGGTATCACATCCATATCCCTCCTGATTTGACTTCTCTGCCAAATGGCAGTGAAAATCAAGAACAAAGCCCTAGCAGTAGTGAGGCAGATGAATACAATGAAAGGGACTGACAGTTTGGGATCTTTTAATTGGTGGAAAGAAGAGGAGATACATAATTTTTATATGTTAGAATCATGGCTTCAAGAGATTTTTAAAAAGAGCTTGAAAGAAGCTGGTTGGATTCATCTAGTCTACTCTCCTTTATTTGCATATTTGAAAAACTGGCTGTAAAGAGGAAAAATGACTTGGTGTGGGTCACAGACAGTGCAATTGGCAGAATGTTGACCTTTCTTAGTCTCCTATAGGTTAGCTCCTGTGTCTTTTGCTTCCTTCTTATACTTTTTACAGCTTTTATTTAACCTTTGATTTTAAATCAATGCTTCTCTTCCCTTTGGACTGTAAGCTCTATGAAGGGCAGCGGTAGTGGCTATTTTGCTGATGGCTGTCTCCCCTGCACCTGGTCCTTATGCAGGGTGAGTGATTTATGTCAGGTCCCTAACTGAGAATTCAGTGTTAGATTTTGCACTGTACCACACTACTTCTGGGCCATCTTCTGTTACTGATTGTAAGTCATTTCTCTGGTTAGCTGAGTCTTGGCTGCATGGGGAGTATATGCAAGTGAAATCTACAGAAACTGCAGACTTCATCCCCTTTTACTATTTCTCTGAATTTGCATAGCCTCCCGTTTCCTCCCCATAATGGTGATAATGCTTTGTTTATTGTGTTAATATTATCTATCTTCCCTCTCTAGAAAGATAGCACTATGAGGGCAGGGACAATTGTTGGTGCTGTTTATTGCTGTCTCCATGCATAGAACAATGCATGGCCTATGATAAACAAAATGAGGTGTGACTCATCATAGCCATCAAGATCTGAAAGTCTGGGTTGTCTGAAGACTGTTGCTCTGTGCAGATGGGTTATTTATACTTTGTAGAGAATAAGATTTTTCAAATACTGGGGAGTCACAGAGGGACCCTTGAGAGAGGAATTATAAATAAGAGCCCATTATCTGACCCTGAGGACTCACTTCTGGCTTTGCCTCTCATTTGCTGTGTCATCTTGAGTGAAGTGCTCAACCTCTCTGAGCTTCGCTTTCCTGTAAAATGGAGATGATAATACTACCTAGCTCTTAGAGCTGTTGTAAGAATCAAGTGAAATCATTGATTTCAATTATGTTCTACACAGTGCCTGATACATACTCAGCACTCAATACGTATGACCTGAGATCAGTGTCATTAAACCTGGAATGTTACTCTATTCCTGGCTAGCAGTTATACATGCATTCCAGTTTTTACTTTATAAATCATAACTAAACCTTTCCCATAGTACTATGTTATTTGGTGAAGTTTCATATTCACTTTGACCATCAAATAAATGTAGAAATCATCAGTTCTGGCTATTTAAAGTTTACTGAAAATGTTGATGAACAACAACCCAGGATTCAGCACAAAAAAATAAATCCTGGTTGATGTTAAAGACAGGAATATAAATCAGAAAACAAACATATCTGCAGTACTGTAATATTTAAATGGCTTCTCATAAACACTTAAGATTCTCATTAGTCCAACATCAGAAAAATGATAAATATTAATATCTGTCATCAAAGGAAAGCTTAGAAATCAAAGCAGAGTAAACAACTGTTGTATTTCAAGGATTACATAATACTGAAAGCATTTTTAATTAAACACCCCAAAACTCTATTTTTAAAAAACTTTCTGTACGAGTTGGTTTATTTTTATCCAGTATACAAACTAAGATGGATGTACATTTAATCAGAAAAAATGCAGGTAATTTGTTGAGTCAGATCATGTTCTCAAAGATTTAGGTTGTGTTGTATGTCTACAAAAGAGACCCACATGTGTCTGAGGCAACCCTCCATCTCCATTGATCTTTAATTCTATTTCAGGGGGATTCCATTGGAAATGGGCCCTAGGTAGATCATGTAAGGGCATGGGTGCTTCCTGTCTTCATTGTGGGTTCTCTCCTGAAGAGCCTCTTCTCAAGTCATGTTGCTGCTACTCTGAGTGGGCCAGGAAGCATATGCAGCAGTCCCAGGGTCAGCAGGGAGCAGAGAGAGGGAGGACAGTCTGCTGTCATCACTCTGAAGCTGTCAGCTTTCCCTTCCTGCTTTCACAGTGCCTGAGATAGCTGACTCAACATGAGATGGCTACATCATGTCAACTGGGAGACCCAGGTTTTAGTTCTGGCTCTCCCACTGCCTTATGCAAGTCTCTTTTCTCTGGGCCTCCCTTTCCACATCTGTAAAGTGAGGGCTTGGATCTGATCATTCTGAAGTCCTATTCCTCTCCAACATTCTGTGACCTGGGTAGAGCACTTCAGGGACCTAATGAGCTGTTTTCCCTGCCCTCTGTAGAAGAGTAATTCTGGAGTGGCTGGCTTTGGAACCAGTCAGAGCTATAGCTCATCTTAAGTAACTCATTTAAGTTCTCAGTTTCCTCATCCATTAAATAAGAATAGTAAAAGATTGTTGTCAACACAAGAGATGTCACTGGGAAGGCATCTAGAGCTGCATTTGGCAGGTCACAGGGATTGAATAATGATGCTGTGTTATTATTATTATTACTAATTACCATAATATATATTATATAACAATAATATATATTTATATTTATATATCTATATTATATTATTATAACATATAATATAATATACTATATATTATAACAAAAATATATTATTATAGTATATGTTATAATACATATAGTAAATATAGTATATTGTTACATACTATATTTATATCTTGACTTAGCACTTTCCTGGCTCTTTATACCACAGTTTTCTCATCTAAAAATGGGGATAGTAAGAGAACTTACCTCATTGGTTAGTTGTGAGGATTAAATGAGATAATACATGAAAACACACAGGGCACTTTCTGGTACATATTAAGCACTAATGACATGTTAGTGATTATTTTAGCTATGATTTTATTATTGGTCACAATACCTTGCTTTTAGTGAAAGTACTGGACAGGACAAGGTGAATGGGGTAGTTACATTCTCTAATACACATGCTGAAGTCAATTTCCAGTGGTCTAAAAAAACCCAACATTTTCCCTAAACATCTCATTTATCATAGGGAACGCTAAGTAAATGATACTGAGTCTGCATTTAAAAGTCAAGTATCTGTATCCAACATGGGTTCTTTTTTTTTTGAGACAGAGTCTCGCTCTGTCATCCAGGCTGGAGTGCAGTGGCGCAATCTTGGCTCACTGCAACCTCCGCCTCCTGGGTTCAAGCGATTCTCCTGTCTCAGCCTCCCAAGTAGCTGGGACTACAGGCATGCGCCACTGCACCCAGCTAATTTTTCCAACATGGGTTCTTAAACCAGGATGCTTGGGCCTCTTTAGGACCTAAAATTTCAGGTCCATGATCTATCTGCACATAAAAATTGAAAGCAAGTTAAAAGAGACCTTACTTTTTTTTTTTAAATTAGATTACTATGGCCAGGCACTGAACTAAGATCTTTATGTAGATTTTCGTATTTCATCCTCTTAGCAACTCTATGGAGTCGATACTTGTATTATCCTTGTTTTACACACGAGAAAACTGAAGCTCAGAGAGGTTAAACAAGGGCTCAAGGACACCCAGTTGGCAAGTGGTGGGCCTAAGATATGGACCCAGGCCATCCGGCTAGGGAGCTTGAGCTCTAATAGCTAATGTCCTTAGGTGGCAAAAAGGTCAGACCTGCCTGATAGCTACCTTTTCTGTAAAATGAAGTCTAATGGATAAGGACAAGGATATAAAAGGAATTGCTTTTATCAATGACATAGCAAATTAACATTCATTTTTATTGTTTTCAAGATCATTCCATTTCAAGTGAGGGGATGAATTTCAATACAAATTAGACTTATTTAAGGAAACATCAATATTTTTCTCAAATTAGCAGTATCAAAACCTTATGGAATTAAAGAAAATGTACTGCATTTATACAATGCAAATTTATTTGGAAATAAAATTTCTTTATCATTTTCTGTAGCTTAGCTTACAGCTGTTGCCATGTCTATTTTTAAAACACAAAAATAAATTGTTTCTTGTTAACTCCATTGGATCTGCAGGCAGGTATTAGACAAAGTTGGTGTGGATGAATTGAACATCTTGGTCGGAGGGCCCAGAATATTCTGTAAGAAGGTGCTATTTAGAAGAAATTTTCTTACCAACTGCACAAGAAAATAAATTTGGAAGATTTAAAAAAATATAGAAATACTCAAAAAATAAAATAACATTGCATTTCACCCATTCATGATAGCACTATCAATATTTCAGTGTGTGGCTTTTTTTCCATTGTTTTTATTGCATGCATATTTGTTCTGTTAGTTTTCTAACAGAAAATGGACACATTTTTCTAAATTTGGATAATACTTTACATACAGTTTTGTTTTCTGTTTTCACTCGTCAATATATTGTATGCATTTTCCCATGGCATTAATGTCTACAGAGTATTCCACTGTTAGAACATGACATTATTTTTTAATCTATCCCACTTGGTCAACATATAGGTTTTCCTCACCATTTTTTCTGATGTATTTGCACGTGTGCATAATCACATTCATGATTTTTTCTTAGGAGACATTTCCAGGAGTGGGAATGCTGGGCCACGTTGTAAAGCTGTAGGAGTAGCTGCCTGGTTTTTCTTTGCAGCAAGCAGTGCTCCCCTATGGATCTCGAATCCTCACTAACAGCTTCTCCTGGGCTCTACTTCCCAGGAGCTTCAGAGAAGAGAATACAGAGCCAGAAGCTAGTGGGGCAATTAACCACATCAGTCTTCAGTTTCTGCTGGTTGATCAAAGAAATTTGCTGGGTTGCCTGTACTGGCCTTAATGTGTCATGTATTATTTAATAGGTTACTATGTCAGCTTCAAATGCTTTCAGCTGCAAGTAACCTGCTTAAAAAGAATAGAGGTTTGTTTCTTCCACATAAAAAGAAGTCTAGAAATGGTTAGCTTTGGCTTTAGTTCAGCAGCTCAGAGATGTCAAGGAGAGTGTATCTTGCAGTTCTTGGCCTTTCCATAATGGCCACAGAATTGCTGCAGCTGAAGCAAGCATCATGTTTGTATTCAGGGAGTCAGGAGGGGGTGAGAGGACAGAGAGATGAATGAGACACATTCTTGATCCTGGGAGTTGTTAGCCTGATTAAAAAAGTGGTGCTTTTTTCTCATATTGCAGAAATAATATATGTTCATTATAGAAAATATATTTCACCCATAATCTTGCCACTCAGGTAATCACTACTCTCATATTGGTGTCTATCCTTCTAGTCTAGTTATAAATGCACAGATGCACAAAAAATGGAATTGTCCATTTATATACTGTTTTGTAACTGGCCTTTTAAATCAGCATTTAGCTCAGTGCCTAGTACCTGGTAGATGCTCTAAAGAAGGTATTGAAAAATTAATGAATGATTTAAAAAATATACTATGAATACTTTTCTGTGCCACTGAGTATTCTACGGTATATGTTTTACAGTGTAGTTTTTGACAGTTGCATGTTACTGGATTGTTTAGATGGCCCATAATTTCCTTCACTGGTTCTTTATTATTTTACATGTAGATTAAAAAAATTTTCTTAACTATGATAAATAATTCTGCAGTGAATGTGTGTGTGTGTGTGTACACAAATCTCTTATTATTTTCTTAGATAACTTCCTTTCAAAAGTGGAATTTCTGGGTCTAGGGATATGCCAGTTTTAAGGACCTGGATGTATACCACCGAATTGCCCTCTCCAAATGTGTGACTAACACCAGCAATGAGAATTATAATCTTTTAGCTCTTTATTTTTACAAAACAATATAAAAAGGTATAAAGTGAAATTTTGTTCTTGCTCCTCTTCTCATACCCTCATCTTTGTACCCATCTCCCTTAAGGTAGTAGCCACTTTTATTAGCACACAGGCAAATATGTATGTACGTTATTTTCCTTCCTTTCTTATATAAAGATATTGTACAATACACATTGTTCTGTACCTTGCTTTATTTGGTTTGACTGTTATATAATGTTCCATTATGTGAATATTCTATTTATTTACCTGCTCTCCTGTCCAGTCTTATTTGAAGCCTGTGTCTTTTCAGCCAAACTGGGCCCAAGTTAACCTTAATATTCTGGCCCTGCACCTAGGCCTAATAGGAGCAGGCAGCTGTATCTTAATTTCCTAGTCCTGTGGTCTGGCCTACTACATATTTTGACTGGCTCCCAGGGCATACTTTGCAGTATTTGAAATATTCTGAATCTTCTAAGAAGGGAGAGAATTTCAAAGGTATGTTTCTCCTCTTGAAGACCTCCCTGGTCCTCCCCTGTCTTTGATTATGAGAGAGTTTTATCTTCTAGTTTAGGTAGAGAGCCAACCCCTCCTCCTCCAAGGGGTGGTGGGCATATATGGGAAATTATGACTCACATACCTTTTAAAGAATTTCATCTCACAGAGTGCTGTGTCCATTGTATGTTTATGGAATACGTTTTTTCTTTTTTCTTTTGAGACAAGGTCTTGCTCTGTCCCTCAGGCTGAAGTGCAGTGGCAAGATCTCAGCTCACTGCAACCTCCACCTCCCTGGTTCAAGCGATTCTCGTGCCTCAGCCTCCCAAGAAGCTGGGATTACAGGTGTACACCATGGTGTCTGGATGATTTTTGTATTTTTTTTTGTAGAGACAGGGTTTCGCCATGTTGGCCAGGCTGGTCTCGAACTCCTGGCCTCAAGTGATCCACCAGCCTTGGCTTCTCAAAGTGCTGGGATTACAGGCATGAGCCACCATGCCCGGCCCCCATTGTATGTTTAACTTTTACATATGGACAGTCTTGTATTGCCTTATTTGTTAAAGGCAAATGTCAACTTTACTTTTTTTTTCTCACTCCTTTTATTGGTGCAGAAGGGCAGAGCCTACCTTTAAGAGCCCACCACAGTCACAACCCAAGCACATATTTTCATTATTCAGAATTTATGCCAGTTCAATAATATAGGCATACAAAAAATAAGGGCACATTCCTGCATCACAGTTTCATTTTCCATATGTATGGCTCATGTAGTTCCTTATCCCTCCCTGTGTTTTCTGCCTCAGCCTTTCTTTTTTCCATAGCACTTGTTACAATTTGAAGTTGTCTCTTTATTTATTGCCTTTTTCTCCAGCTAGGTGTTACTCTCTGTGAAGGGAAGAACTGAGTTGGCCACCAGACTCTAGTACCTAGCATAGTGCCTGGAATATAGAAGATCCTCAGTACATCTTTGCCAAACAAATGGTTCATAGTAACTGTCCATATGCTATGTATAAAGCACAGTTGATTATATTTATTGAGTTTGAATCTGACCATTGTTTGAATTAATAAACAACATTAAGAACTTTTAGAGCCCAGTGAGCATTTTTTTTTTTTTTCCGTAAGAGACCGAGACTCACTCTTTTGCCCAGGCTGGAATGCAGTGGCATGATCATGGCTCCACCTTGAACTTCTGGACTCAAGAGGTCCTTTCACCTCAGCCTCCCGAGTAGCTGGAACCATAGGTGCCCACCACCACACCTAGCAATTTTTTTTAAACTTTTTGTAGAAATGGGGTCTTATTATGTTGTCCAGGCTGGTTTCAAATGCCTGGACTCAAGGGATCCTCCCACCTTGGCCTTCCAAAATGGGGTTTCAGGCATGAGCCATTGCACACAACCCAGTGAGTATTTTTTAACTGAAATTTTTATTTAGATAGTTCTAGATTCACATGCAGTTGTAAGAACTAGTATAGAGAGATTCATGCCTATGCGTTACCCAATTTCTCTTCATGATAACATTTTGTAAAACTATAGCATCATATTTACTAGCGACTCATTTTATTTAGATTTTTCCATTTTACTGTTGTGAACATTTAGTTCTATATGATTTTACCAGTGAGTATTTTTAAATTCTAAAAGGATGACTTCTTATTCTTGAACTTGAACACGTCAGTGATAGAATCCACAGTTCTGAAATGTCCTTTAAAAAAATCACAGAATATTAGTGTAGGAATCAAATTTAATAGATTGTTCTGTGATATACCAGTTCCAAAACTTTAGAATTTCAGAGGCTGTAAACATAATTTTTGAATTAGGAAGTGAGATAGGATGGGAGCTGACATAGGATTGCTAACTTTTAATTCTGCCAAGCAAAGACATTTAAAAAATTATTATTTTTTAAATTTTTCTCATTTTGCTAGGTACTGGTTAAAAACAATATTATGGTTTGGTCCTGGTTTGTCAACTGGTCCTTAGCAATCCTTACTCTAGTCTAATTGCTTCATTTCTGAGAATCAGAAAATTTAAGTGTGTGATGATATTAGGCCATTCTTGCATTGCTATAAAGAAATACAGGAGACTCAGTAATTTATTAAAAAAATAGAGATTTAATTGGCTCACAGATCTTCAGGCTGTACAAGCATGGTGCTGGCATCTGCTCCATTTTGGGGGAGGCTTCAGGGAGCTTTTACTCATGGCAGAAGACAAAATGGGAGCAGGCATGTCATATGGCAAAAGCAGGAGCAAGAGGATAGTAAGGGGAGGTGCCATACACCTTTGCACAACCAGATCTCACAAGAACTCACTCACTATTATGAGGACAGCACCAAGAGGATAGTGCTAAACCATTCATGAAAAATCCACCCCCATCATCCAATTACCTCTCACTAGGCTCCACCTCTGACACTGGGAATTATAATTCAACATGAGATTTGGGGGGACAAATACCCAAACTATCTCATTGATCCAAGTCTTTCTCATTGTGTCTTGGCATTTTCAAGTTGGAAATACTAAGACATGATCAGAATATGCTTATTTTATAGCTAAAGACAACAAGGTACAGCGAGGGGAAGGGACTTTTTAAGGTAGCAGCCAAACCCTGTGTATACCTCACTTCCCTTACTGGGTTAACCTGCCTAAGGATCTTGACCTGATGCACCAAGGAGAAATGGTTACTGGGTTGATCTAGAAGGAAGGCTAGTGGATGTTTATTCCAGCCTCCCAAACAATATAAACATCCCTTTTCCAGTATTTCTGGAAAATGATTTATCTGGTCTCTACATATATTTACCAGTAGAGAGAGCCCTACTGCATAAATTAGCTGTTATTACACCTGTTGATATATTGTTCTAAGGTCTACACAAGCTTCCCAGTAAATCTGAATCCATTAATAATAACACTATTATGTACTGAAAACTTACTTTGTTCTAGGCCCTGTGCTGCACGTTTGACATACCTCCTTAATCTCTGACCTGTGAGATGAGTATTTCTATTGTCTCCAGTTTCCTAATGAGGGCCTGGTTCTCAGAGGGCTAGAGTTATTAGCAATGGGTAACACAGCTAGTAAGGTACTACAGCTAGCTAAGTAATTGGGAGTTATATTAGTTTTCTAGAGCTATTGTAACCAATTGCTACAAATTTGGTGGCTTAAAACAACAGAAATTTATTTCCTCACAGTCCTGGAAGCCAGAAGTCCAAAATCAAGGTGTTGGCAGGGCCATGCTCCCTCAACAGGCTCTAGGGGAGAAAACTTCCTTGCCTCTTCTAGCTTCTGGTGGCCCCAAGCATTCTTTGGCTTGCACCCACATAACTGTTTGCTTCATTTGGCCTTCTCTTCTATATCTTCTTCTTTTCTGTCTGTCTGCATCTGCCTTTCTTTTGTAAGAACACTGATCATTATATTTAGAGCTCACCCAGACAATCCAGTATGATCTCATCTCAAGATTCTTAATTATATTTGCAAAGACTTTTTTTTCTAATAAAGTAATATTTGCAGGCTCCAGGGATTTGACACAGACATATTGGAGGGGTGGGGAATGGCATTCAACCCAGTACAGGTTTTTACTCTAGTGCTCTGATTCCAAAATCTGTGCTCTGCTCTACTCTACAGTATCTTGTGAAGTGACATGGAGAAAATCCATTTTCCCTTCCGCATGGTAAGAAAAGACTGGCTTTCTCTCTCAGTGCTGTATCTCCTTTGCCTTGCATGGTACCTTGTATAGAGGAAGTGCTCAGTAAAACGGAATGGCCTTATTGATGAATGACCCATCGAATGTATGAAGGTAGTTTTGCTGTCTCCCATTGCTTTTCTCCAGGCTGAACATCCCCAGGTTTCTTATGTGAAGTTCAGAACCTCTCACCATTCTAGTTGTCCTCTTGGAGATATTTTCCAGTTTGGCCAATATTCCTCCTAAAATATGCCTTTCAGGTTGAACTCTAGATAAGACCTAAGTAACAGATGTAGGGGAAGCAAAATTTCACCCCTACCTTCTTAGGGTTTTTGGCTGGGCTTAAAAATTAAATTGATACAAGGCAGATTAATAGAAGAAAAGCATACAAATTTATTTAATGTAAGTTTTTTTGTGACATGGGAGCCCTCATAAGGAAATGAAGACCCAAAGATGAAGTTAGAATTGAACACTTATATATGGAATTGGATAAAGAGTAGTAAATTGTGAAGATGTGACAAGGCAAAGGGCCTTGGGCCAGGATATTTAACTGGGTGGAGAGGTGACGAGGAAAATAAGAGCTAGTTTAATAAGGTTTGTTTGTACAGAGTTCTCTTGGTCTCAGTATCCCGCCCTTGATGATAAGAATGTTACTTTCCTTCTGGTGTCAGGAGAATATTTTCCATACAGGGATTTTAGCTCTTGCTTTTATGAAGAAAAAGAAGAGGGTCAGAAAACCCTTCTTGCACCTGCTGTTTTTTTTTTTAAATTATTTTTTTATAAGTGCCTTTAGCTTGAAAATAATTCTTATGCCAATGTGGTATATTTTGGGGTGGCATATTCTGCCACCTTTCACCCAGTAGAATGTTAATTCTCATGGTTTTTACACTGTATTGCTTTAAAGTAGCTGTAGATTGTGTTTACTTTAGAGCAGCTGCTAAAGTCATTGCTGGTGATTAATAACTACAGACATTTTTTTAAAAACCTCTCCTCATATTAGTAGCTCTACTTAGTCATTGAGTTTTTAGGCCAAATTCAACCCTCAGTTTTGCTAGTACCATTTTTATTGATTTTGGATTCTGGGAATGGATTTTGAGTTTGGAAAGAAAATAATCCGAACATCACACTCGGGCTTTAGTAGAAAGGGCAAACATACTCATGAATATATCCGGTTTTTCCTCTCCATTCCAATTTGTTGATCCCATGGAAAAAAGTTCTATGCTGTAAGAGAGATGAATAATGATCCAAAAACAATTTTCTGCAAGAACAAATCAGAATTTTCATGACCAAATATTAGAGAAAAAGAACCTTTTTCTTCTTTATTTCCACCCATTGTGGCATGTAGTTGGTACAGTCTTTTTTTTTATAAGTCACATTTACCAACTGCTTATATTAATTTTCATGTACTTATACCCTGAACAAATTTATGCTCTTGGTATTGTATGTGCTGCAAGTTTCACTGCTGTCAAAACATATTTTTAAAAATAACCCATGGATTTTAACCAGTACAGTCAAGATAAATTAGATTTTTTAAAGTAAAATCTACCTTAATATTTAGATCAGCAAGAAAATGTGATTATGATTAACTTTTGCCCTTATGTGGCAAGATAGGACAGAGGTATACTAATGTTTAAAAATTTTTTTTAAAAATTAATTTTCTAAACTAGGGATTGAAATAAGGAAAGACAATAAGTCCCAATGGTAGACTTGATGGCGTCATTTACTCCATTATATCTTCTACTGTGTCCTGAGGCCTTTGTCTTAATGGTTTCTTTGAAAGGAAACATTCTGAGGAGAAAAGTCCTCCACTTGTCACTCTTCTCTCTCACCTCTTATCTGGCTGCTCTAATACTTCTGACCTTAACTTAAATGTCTCTTCCTCAGAGAAACCTTTACTGACCTGAAAGACTTGGTTAGTTCTTATATTGTAAGCTCTTTTAGTACCTTCTACTTCGTTTTTTTTCAGGCTTCATTACATTAATCTCAATTGCTTGTTAATCTTTGTCCTTTATCCTAGACTGTAAACTCTAAGAGGGCAGGGGCTGTGTCTGTTTTCAGCATTCTACCCATTTCAGTGTCTGGCTCATACCACATGCTTACTAAACATTTCTTGACTAATTGGCTGGAGGATGAAAAAAGTCATGTAAGGGTATATGGGAACAGTAATTTTAACAATTATTTGCATTTGCATTTGTGTATGTATGGACACTAAACTAATAGTGGTGAACTTTTTTCTCTTTCTCTCTCTCTTTCCTTTTCTCTCTCTCTGTCTGTGTTTTGAGTACCACTGCATCAAATTACTGAAGTAGAAAGAATGGTTGACATTCTGTTTTAAAGTGACCATGTATTTGACCCACTTCTTCTCTAGTAATGTCATCACGATTGTATCTCATTGCTGTGGGTTCTCGGAGGCTGACAGGCGGAACAAGTTGCTTCAGCACACAGTCCTCATCTGTCATACAGAACAGCTTGCAGATTCTTATTATGTGAATGAAATATGGAGAGAGGGATATTTTTCTTCCTGGACTATCAGGGTAATTGAAAGTAACCATATCAGGGCATGAAGGGGAAATGCAGGAAAATAGACTGCCTTTGTGAAGGGCAACTCATCTGCTCTCAGAACTGCAGGTGTGGAGCCTCATCTCCAAATGCAAAGGCTTGGGAAGTGTTTCCCGTTATCAAAAGGCCTGAGATTTGACTAGCACCTTCTTTCAGTAAGGAAAATGCCTTGCTTCTCATTACCACCCCTCAGCGCCTGATGAGATGCCACGACTGTTATCTTTGGAGGCACATCCCATGGGACTAGGGGCACAGGGCTTTTTGTGTTCTTTAGACAGGGAAGAAAACTGTTTTAGTATTCCAGATCAATAAACTGTAGTAGAAAATTGGAAATGTGCTATGGAAAATCATTAAGCAGAGAAATTCTACTGTTCCTGAGTTTTGTATCAGAAGAAATAAATAACACTTGACTGCTCTTATAGTTAATATTTTATAAGCTTGGCCCTGGTGAAATAGAATATCAGATCATACTGTATCAATGACACTTTACCTTAAATGGTTTGGTTCTGTAGATAGACATTGTATTTATAGAATTGTTTTAGTTAACAGGAAGCTTTTTATTTAACACTGGTGAAAAGTACTAACATGGTGATGGAAAACAAGCTACAACTCAGCAGTCATTCAAGTCATGACTTCGTTATATTTTGAGATAGCTTTAAAATCACTTAGTCCAATAAAACTCTAAAGTACTCTAACTTCCACGTTGCTTTATCTAATTTATGAAACAGGCAAAGGAATCAACAATAACCCTCCATTTACCATTATTAGATTAGCTATTACTGAAACCGCAGAAAGTATATAACGCTTAACTTTGTGTTCACTTGAATTGGTTATTAAGCTTTGATGGAACTTTCATTTAACCCAATGCCTTTGTTTACAACAAGAAGCATGTTAAGTCTATTGTGTTCTGAATTTGGTATGACCATTTTAGAACATGCCTCCTGCAAAGGCATGTTAAAGTTACAGATTCTATTCATTTGTGTTCTGTCAAATATTTTCAATTTAATCCAGTTAAGGTCTCATTTTTCTTCCCAACTTTCAAAAAAATATATATATTTTTCTCTATGAGGCCGCTACTTTTTCAAGAATATAACCAGGCATTAACAAACATGAAACTACTCATAGCAACTCCATAAAAATTGATTTTTCAAAATTGAATAAGCATCTGGTGGTCTGAAAATGTTTTATACCTGATATTTAAAAGATATTTTGACTGTTGCCAAAAGGAATCAATTCCTTCATGCTGTTTCCCTTGCGGATGCTGTCATATGCCACTGTGTTGTGTAGAGCACAGGCTCTGGAGGAAGGGCAGACTTGGATTTGCACTTAAACTCTGCCGCTTACATGCCTGTGACCTTGACTTTACCTCTTAAGGAGGTCAGTGAACTGTAACTGCCCTTTCCTCAGTGTGTTACAGAGTTCATAATAGTACTTATCTCATGGTGTTATATAAGAGAAGATGCATGTAAAAACCTCAAACATGTGGCTATTACTATAATTAATGTATGTATATATATATGTGTGTGTGTGTGTCCATCCACACTGTATGTATATATGTACATGCTGCCGATTTGAGTGACACATTATTGATTCTAAATTAGGTTACACTGGTGGAAATGCTGTCATCCTTTCAGTGCTTAATGTTCTGGTATCATGGCCATATCTAAAAGTAACATGAGCTGGATGTGGTGGCTCATGCCTGTAATCCCAGCACTATGGGAGGCCAAGGCGGGTGGATCAGCTGATGTCAGGAGTACAAGACCAGCCTGGCCAACATGGTGAAACCCCGTCTCTATTAAAAATAAAAAAATTAGCTGGGTGTGGTGGCATGTGCCCGTGGTCCCAGCTACTTGGGAGGCTGAGGCAGGAGAATTGCTTGAACCCGGGAGGCAGAGTGAGCCGAGATCATATCGTTGCATTCCAGCCTGGGCGATAAGAATGAGATTCCATGTCAATAAAATAAAATAAAATAAAATAAAATAGTAACATAAGCATGGTTACCATTTTGGGTCTAGTCAGAGCCACAGCTTGAAAACAAATTACCATGTAGGTAGTCATTTCAGTTGCTGAGATTGGAACCCATGAACCAAATCCCTACTCCAAAGAAGTATTACTTTTAAAGTGGAATTTTATTTCAGTTCTTTTGAATTGACATAAAAACTAGAATAAGGAATGTTGTAGATATGTGAACTAGAACTATACGGCCCTTAGGGATCCCAGCTACAATATATTGTTTTTCACTGACCTTACTTATTTCCCAGATCTATTAAGCTTCTATCTGCCTTGCTGTCTTTGCATTTTTCATCTTTATCTCTATCCTTGACATCCACGTTTTTGGGGTAGTAGAGATGGGCTTGGGTAAATACATACTATTTCACCCAGTGTGCTTTGGACCAGTAACCCATAGAGGAGCAATGGGAAGTCTTGCTGGGAGATCTGCTCTCTGACATTGGTTTCCAGCAAATTTATATGGTTCTTAAGAGGGGCAGAATTTTTCCCCTTATCTGTATCATATTCTGTTGGCTTGAATAATGAGTCACAGAAGAATGAAAACTTCTTTAGCTGTGAAAGTTTCAGCAAGAATAAGTGTTAGACCCATCGTGTTAGTATAATGCAAAATAAGATAGCATTTAAAGATAGTCTCTGCTTCAGCATCATATTGACAATGCCCCTCACTCGAGTCAGGGATTGGGGACTTACTGAGATACACCATCTGGCAAAATGTGGAAGGCCAGTTTTGTGCCAACTGAAAAAGCTGCATCAGTTCCAACTCTTGTGTACTTTGCACATTATTGGATGCCTTGCAAAAATGTTTATCACTTTTTAATTAGGAAGGGCTAAGGGACTTCAGTACCCCAAAGAAAATGTCAGCAACCCAAAGATAGAAAAATTATCCAGTGGATTACAAGGGGCAGTAAGTATTTAACTTTGAGCTCGCACATGAAATGAGGACAGTTTCATACTAGGATCTGTGCTGGGGGACATGAGGGTGGTATGTATTTGGTCTGTCTGGGTGGAACTGGGGATCTGGTCTTTCTGTTATTCTGACAGTTTCTCAGATTGTTTCTTCTGGAGCATGGTCAGTCCTTGAAAACACATGCCAAGAGGTCAACTCTGTTCTGCTGCTTGGCCTATCATGCAAACTGTGGTCTGTCATGTTCATTAAAATGAAAATTTGTCGAATGGAATTTGTCCGACTGGCAGAATAGTTTAAATGTCAGATGTTGTTAGGCCTGGATATAAATATTATGTTTCTATTGTTAATTAATTGCAGCACCTCAGTACCAGTGATCCAAAATCCAATTTAGTCTGCAATAGGCCTGTGGATAAGGGCCAGAGATAATGAATGCAGAAGGAAAAAATGTATTCACAATTTTCATTGTATCTGTCAATGTCCTCTTAGAAAAATAGCAAATTTTGGTATGTCACTGTAGTTCAAGAGGTGCAAAACAGGACAGAATTAAGACCCATTGTCTTTTGAAACCTCTCAAATATTACTTACTATCAAATCTATTCCACTGCTAGCGCTAAGTCTGTCCCAGCATCAAAATTCGTGACAGATGCTGCCCTGTTCCGTTGCCTTGATTCCCCCCATTGTTTCCACCCTTGAGTCTGTTGTTATGTTCACAGCTCATTTCAGAGTTGCCGGACTGAAGTATCTAGTACTGTAATCCTCCTCATTTTTCTTTGCAGTATTCATTTCCCACTCCTCGTCTTGTCATCAACCCTTCCTTTCTTTTTCTTTTCATCCTTTGTTTTGGTCCCCAGGCTCAGCAGCCTGTCTATCAAGTCTGCCACTGTTTGTTAAGATCATTTTGCTTCCAAATTGAGCTGGTGGCTGAATATCACTCAGAATAACGCTGCTAGAACTGTCTGCATTAGTAAAGAGAGCAGAAATCTTGCCGCTGGTGCCCAGACCTCAGAGCTGACTGTTGTTGCAAAGCCATGAGCCAGCAGGCATTTGTGACCGCCATTCTCTACCAATATTTTGTTGAATACTTGCTGTGAGCATGGCACCTTACCCGGCCACCTCCCTGGTGGTAGGTGTGCCAGGCACAGGAAGACTAATTAAGACTTTGGAAGGCAGGACTAATGTGTTCCAGTGGTCAGGGACCCTCATTTAATTCCTGGCATCCTGGTCCATGCCAACCTTGTTCTGCCCCTGTGATTATGCCAGCCATGAAGCAGGAAAGGGAAGATGAACTTTGGTCTGCTCTGAGTTTCCCTGTCCGCAGTGTCTGTCAGATTAAAAATGAGAGGGAAGG